>NC_000006.12:43696363-43999393 GCF_000001405.40 Homo sapiens | reverse complement strand
AGGACTACAGATGCGCCCCATCACGCCCAGCTAATTTTACAACTTCTGTAGAGATGGAGTGTTGCTGGGTTGCCCAGGCTGGTCTTGAATTCCTGGGCTCAAGCGATCCTCCTGTGTCCGGAATTGGTGGGTTCTTGGTCTCACTGACTTCAAGAATGAAGCCGCGGACCCTCGCGGTGAGTGTTACAGTTCTTAAAGACAGCGTGTCCAGAGTTTGTTCCTTCTGATGTTCAGATGTGTTCAGAGTTTCTTCCTTCTGGTGGGTTCGTGGTCTCGCTGGCTTAGGGGTGAAGCTGCAGACCTTCGCGGTGAGTGTTACAGTTCTTAGGGCGGCGCGTCTGGAGTTGTCTGTTCCTCCCGGTGGGCTCGTAGTCTCGCTGGCTTCAGGAGTGAAGCTGCAGACCTTCGCGGTGAGTGTTACAGCTCATAAAGGCAGCGTGGACCTACAGAGTGAGCAGTAGCAAGATTTATTGCAAAGAGCAAAAGAACAAAGCTTCCACAGCGTGGAAAGGGATCCCAGCGGGTTGCCACTGCGGGCTGGGGCAGCCTGCTTTTATTCTCTTATCTGGCCCCACCCACATCCTGCTGATTGGTAGAGCCCAGTGGTCTGTTTTGACAGGGTGCTGATTGGTGCGTTTACAATCCGAGCTAGACACAAAGGTTCACCATGTCCCCACTAGATTAGCTAGATACAGAGTGTTGACACAAAGGTTCTCCAAGTCCCCACCAGAGTAGCTAGATACAGTGTCGATTGGTGCATTCACAGTGCTGATTGGTGTGTTTACAAACCTTGAGCTAGATACAGAGTGCCAATTGGTGTATTTACAATCCCTGAGCTAGACATAAAGGTTCTCCACGTCCCCACCAGACTCAGGAGCCCAGCTGGCTACACCCAGTGGATCCTGCACCAGGGCTGCAGGTGGAGCTGCCTGCCAGTCCGGCGCTGTGCGCCCGCACTCCTCAGCCCTTGGGTGGTGGATGGGACTGGGCGCCATGGAGCAGGGGGTGGCGCTCGTCGGGGAGGCTCTGGCCGCACAGGAGCCCACGGAGCCAGGAGGAGTCTCAGGCATGGCAGGCTGCAGGTCCCGAGCCCTGCCCCGCGGGAAGGCAGCTAAGGCCCGGGGAGAAATTGAGCACAGCAGCTGCTGGCCCAGGTGCTAAGCCCCTCACTGCCCAGGGCCGGTGGGGCCTGGCGGGCTGCTCCGAGTGCGGGGTCTGCCGAGCCCACGCCCACCCGGAACTTGCGCTGGCCCGCAAGCACCGCGCGCAGCCCCGGTTCCCGCCCGCCCCTCTCCCTCCACACTTCCTCGCAAGCTGAGGGAGCCGGCTCCGGCCTTGGCCAGCCCAGAAAGGGGCTTCCACAGTGCAGCGGCGGGCTGAAGGGCTCCTCAAGTGTGGCCAAAGTGGGAGCCCAGGCAGAGGAGGCGCCGAGAGTGAGCGAGGGCTGTGAGGACTGCCAGCACCCTGTCACCTCTCACTCCCCCAAAATACTGGGCTTATAGGCAAAAGCCACCACACCTGGCCTGATTGTGAAATTTAAATGAGATAACCCGGCTCAGAGCAGGCCCTGAGTTGACATTACTATGAGGAGACCTTCCCAATATCCTGTCGCTTGATGGTGGGCTTGCCTAAGAGAGCTGCCCTAGGGAGATAAGAAGCCCTCATTCTGGACCTTACCTGACTGCTACATGCTCCCCCCGTTTTTCTTTGATTTCTGGGGTCCAGCCCCAGCCAAGGTGCAAGATACAAGTTGAGAGGCATGGCAGGGCATAGGGATGGGTGATTGGGTGCTACTTTGGACTAGGCTGGGGGTGGGTCTAGGGAAGGACTGGCTACCTGCCCCGCCCCTACCTGGCTGGCACAACAGGTAACTGAGTGCTGACTTTTATTCCTGGGAAGGGAGGAGTCAGGCAGTGCCTCTCTGTCCAGGCAAATGGGATGCAAGGGTCAGGAGCATGGGTGGAGAGGGTTTCTAGGAATATTCCTGAAAGAAGACCTGGGAACAGGCACTGCTGTCAGGAGCTACTGCCTGGGCCTACCAGCCTGTATCCCAGCTCAACAAACATCCTTGTCCTTGTTTCTCAGAGTCTGTATCCACCAGCTACTCTTCCAGATTCATGAGGCAAGGCCTGCCTGCTCACCTGGCTGGCCCCAAGCACCTCTTCAACCTGTTGCCACCGTCCTGCCTTGCTGCCCTTCTCAGCTCATCCAGCAGGGTCTCCAAGTCGTGGAAACAGAAGCACATATACACACATGCTCATATGTACATGCCCACAGTCACATAAGCACACCGAGAAACACCATCGCAGACATGTTCTCACAAGCACATGTGCATAACACTCACTACCCCTCACGCGTATACACATTAATACACACACTCATGCACACTCAGTCTTACACACACAGACACACAGCCATAATCACTGTTGTTGGTTGAATTGTGCCCCCCCATCCCCACCAAAAAGATAAGTTGGAGTCCTAACCCCCAGTACCTGGGGATGTGACCGTAGTTGGAAATAGGGTGTTTGTAGATGTAATCAAATTAAGATGAGATCTTACTGGATTAGAGTGGGCCTTAAATCCAGTGACTGGTGTCCTTATAAGGAGAAAAAGATTTGAAAACAGAGACATGGAGACACAGAGCAGAAGGCCATGTGATGATGGAGTCAGAGATTGGAGTGATGCAGCTATGAGCCGAGAAATACCAAGGTGCTGGCAGCCCCCAGAAGCAAGGAGAGAGGCAAGGAACAATCTCCATCAGAGCCTCTGGAAGAAACAGACTCTGCCAACACCTTGATTTCAGACTTTTGGCCTCCTTCACTGTGCGAGAATACGTTTCTGTTGTTTTAAACTACTGAGTCACCAAGTCTGTGGTACTGTGTTATGGCAGCCCCGGCAACAAATCCAATCACACACACACACACACACACACACACACACACACACACACACACACACACAGCTGGCTCCAGGCTCAGTGATGAGCTCAGAGGAGTTCCCCTTGGGAGCTGCTCTTTCTCTGTCTTCCTTCCTTAGTGATTGGTCCAGTGGATCCACAAAAGCTCATGGCCCAGAGCAGGAGCCCAGTCATTTTTAATTCCTCTTCCCTGGAGTTCTTAACCATGCGTTGCCCTCAAAATCTGCTCTCAAGATTTGGGTTGCCATATTTAGGAGCACCAGAAAACATACAGGAATGCTGTGTCTGCTTGCATCATATTAATTAAAAACTGGAAATAACCTAAATGTCCCAGAATAGGTACATAAACTGTGGCATATCCACTTAATGGAATACTACTCAGCAATACAAAAGGAAAACCTAGTGTTACTTGAGCAACATGGATGAACTTCACAGACATAATATTGCACAGCACGAGGCAGACACAAAAGTGTGCATATGCTATGATTCCATTTACATGAGATTCAAGAACAGGCAAAGCAGATCTATGGGGATAGAAGTCAGAATAGTGGTTACCTCTGGAAGGTGGAATTGACTGGGAGGGGCTTCAGGGAACCTCCTGGGGTGCTGAAAACATTCTGTGCTTGCACCGGGTGGTGGTTATGTGGGCATTACATAAAATTCACCAAGCTGCACCCTTAATGATTTGTACAATTTGATGCACAAATCTAACATCTCAAGAAGAATAAATTTTACAAAGTACCTAAGAAGCAAATGACCAGAAGCCACCGGACTGTTTTCTGGGGGCATTTATAGCTAGAGTCTGGGCCCTCTAGGCCCTCTGTCCCAGGGACAGAAAGCCTTGGTCCCTGGGACAGCCATGTGTGGTATCATCGTACAGTGCATGTGGGAAGGAATTCCACTCTTCAGTTGTGACAGGGCTGGACACACACACACATGTATACCTCTTGGCAGCTTCCCATCCTCATTCACAGTTGCAGGTTTGAGAGGGTATATCCCCCAGGTACCCTGAAGCCAGTCTCTGAAGCTGTCGAGGGTCCCCCAAGTCAACAGACAAGTGGTGGGGGGCAGGTAGCTAGTGAGAGGAAGGGGGAGCCTTCCTCCCCGCTTCATCCATAGCTGTGGAGTGAACTGGCCTGGGGTGGGTGGCTGCAGGGCTTGCCTTGACCCCTGCTGCACTGGTGTCCTCAGGCCTGGGGCCTCTTGTATGGCTGACTTTCCATAATATTTGTTGACTATAAATGTCCAGCCTGGGGCTGCCTGGGAAGGCCAGGTGTGTCAAGACAGCCAGACCATCACGACATTAGTCTTTGGGAGAGGACTGGGAGGTACACAAGATCCCACTGCAACTGGCTTCTCCAAAGAAAGACTAAATGCGATGATTTCTTCCACAAGAAAACTCCAAATGAAAAAGAATAGCTACATTTTACTCAGGTTTTGTGATCTGACTGGCATGAACCAAACATCTTTGAGGTGTGTGGCCATGTTGCCATTACACAGACAAGAAAACAGAGGCTCTGAGATATTGAGTAAAACCCCCAGGGTTACACAAGAAACTCAAGAGAGGACAAGTAGCATGATAGTTCCTTCCGACTGGGGGTCCCTGAGGACAGGGCTGCATCTCCCCTCAGACTGGGGCTCCCTGAGTAAGGGCTGTGTCTCCCCTCAGTCTGAGCCCTATCTAGGAGGGGCTTAGAGGAGGAGCTGACTTTGAACCTGCCTTCTTTTGCATCCACACTGGTCTCCTGGAGAGTCTTGGAGGGGCTGCTGACCTGGCTACCCCTGCTCTTTCTCACCCTGGCTGTCACCCCTAGTTCTAGCCTAGGGCTCTGCCTACAGGAATGCCATAGTGTGGGGCCATGGTTCTGACCAAGAGGGAAGTGGGGGAGGGTATGCACCAGAGGAAGCTGTCCCTTGGTGGCCATGCTAAGATCAGTGGGATGTCCCTGCAGCTTCCCTCCCTTCCTGACCAGGTCCACTGGGGGTCAGGACCACCCAGCTGATCCATGCCAGAGCCACACTGAGCAGAGGGCTGGCTGGACCCTGCCCTTCCCAGGAGGATCAGCTGGGAGAAGGGCTCCATTTGTGGAGGGGGCAGAGTGGAGTGCGGCCTCCTGCAATGTCCAGGAGTAGGTGCTCCTCACTCTGCCCATGACTCGCCAGCAAGAGCTGATCATGTGATGGGGGCCAGGTGGCAGGTGTAATAGGAGACAACATCCTCCTCGGCCTGCCCTGTGACTATATTAAGTTTTGTGCCCTGGCATTCCCCTGCCCCTGCCCCCAGGACTTTCCCTCCTCCCTCAAGGGATCCTACACTGCAGATAAAGGAGCCATCCCTCCTTCCCAGCCCCACTGTCTGAGGAAAGGAGCAGGGGCCTAATGAGGTCAGAGCCCACGGGTGGGGGAGCAAATGCAGTAAATTTAGCCTTTGGATGCTAATGAGCTGCAGAGGGAAGTGCCTGGGAGGGCCTTGGCAACCCTCAGACTCAGTCCTCCTCCCACAGCCGCCCACACATCACCTAGGTGCTCACAAGGGCACATGAAGAATACACTCACCAGCAGCTGAGACACAGGTTTACACTCTTAATTTTTATTTTTTAGAGACAGGGTCTCACTCTGTCACCCAGGATGGAGTGCAGTGGCACAATCTTAGTTCACTGTAGGCTTGACCTTCTGGACTCAAGTGATCCTCCGGCCTCAGCCTCCTGAGTGGCTGAGAACACAGTCATGTGTCATCATGCCTGGCTAATTTAACAATTTTTTTTTTTTTTTTTTGTAGAGAAGGGAGTCTTACTATGTTGCCCAGGCTGGTCTTGAACTCCTGAACTCAAGAGATCCTCCTGCTTTGACCACCCAAAGTGCTGGGATTACAGCTGTGAGCCACCACACCTAGCGTAGGTTTACATTCTTACAGGCCAATCCATATATACCCATACACCCAGGAGCCCCCAGGAGTCTATTATTACCGTGATAACCTGATAACCTTGTTCAGGAACTCATGTGTACACACCTCGCTATGCGTACAGTCATTCATGCATGCTTGCACACCCATGTGCTCACATGCATGCCACCCACTCCTGTTGGCATTTCTCCTAAGCCCCTGAGTCTATGGCAGAAGCATGTCATCTGGGAGCTGCAGGGCATTTGCACCCCATTAAAGGGCTCAATCCCTGTCCCCCCTCAATGGAACTCACCACCCCAGGAGCCCCAGGAAGCCCTGCCTTTTCCCCAGGGTGAGGGCAGGGGGCAGACACAGGGTTTATTAATAAACTTGTTCTTGACTGGAAAGGCCTATGCAGAAGCCCCAATCTCAAGCCAATCAGAGCAGAACTTTCCAGGAATGTCACCCAGAGCAAGCCTTCCTCTGACTCCAAGATTATTTCTCACCCCTGACTTCATCCCCTTGGTGTGTGTGGCTCCTGCCAGGCTCCACTGGCTCTGCCCGGCAGGCCTGCTGTCACCTGGCAGCTGGCATCTACCTTGGCCACTGCCCAGAGAAGGTCACACAGCACATGGGTGGTGGGGCCAGGATTAGAACTGCATTTGCTCTCACTCAGTCTTGCTCCACCCCACTCCTCCAAACAGAGCACAGCTGAGCCTGCTGTGTTGGGAGTGCAGAATGCCCTCGCCTTGATACCCACCCATGGCATCATGACACTGCCCTCCCTCTGAGTGGGGAGGAAGCTGAGAGCCACTGGCCCTGAAGGCAGAGAGCCTGAGCCAATCGGGTTTCTGCTACTTACTGGCCTTGTGACCTTGCACAAGCAGGATTTGACTTGCTTGTGGTTCAGTGTCATCGTTTGTAAAATGAGGATACCACCTGAAGGTAGCTGTGAGGATTAAGAATGTGTGAGGCTGGTGTCTGCTGCAAAGGATTGTACAGGTTGGTAAAGTAAAAGGTGTCTTTGTTCTTGCCTTTATTGCTAATTCCATTCCCATCTTCATCACCAACACCACCTAACACCTCCACTGTCACACCATCATCGCTACTTCCTCCAGCACTGACATAGCTACCATTGCCACCAGCACCATCAGACCACTCCCTCCTCTGTTGCTACTTCCATCACAACCACCATGTTGCTATCACCAATCATCCAATAACAGTTACTCAACACCTACTATGTTCAGGTCACGTGGGTGACTCTTTGTGGATAATCCTGCCCCAGGCCCCCACACTGTTGGGCATGGTCTATATCTCTCACATCCTTTAAGCCCTGCCACACATCCCATCTCCACCAGGAACCCTTCCCTAATCCACCCTGCACTACTCACGTTACTCCCAGACACCGTGGCTCAGCTTCACCTGTCCCTCACTATTTGCTGTGTGTGTGTGCCTCTGTGCACAACCATGCTATTTAAACTACTCTGCGAAGTCAGTCATCACCCAGATCTCCTACACACAGCACAGTGGCTCTGGGTTCCAATCGTGGCTCTGATACCTGACCTTGGACAAGTCACCATACCTCTTTGTGCCTCAGTCTTCTCAGCTGTAAACAGGACTGAATAATATCATGTCTTACAGAGTTGTAGTGAGGATTCCGTGAGATATTGTATTTACTATATAGCACTTAGACTAGAAGCATGCATACAGCAAGTGCTCAATAAACATTAGCTTTTGTTATTTTTATTATTATTATTATTAGTCTCTCCCCCCGCCCCCGCCGCCCCCGACCCCACCAATTTTTGGCACAGGAGTTTACACTACCAATGAGAAAGAATTCACAGGAATGAATGCACTCTGGCTTTCCAATAGAAATATCTTAGGGAAGGGTGGAGCTTTTGGAAAACCGTCTTGTCTCCCTGCCTGCTCATCTGAGCTCTCTGGGTAAGAGGTGGGCTGTGGGTGGGAAGGACCATGCAGGGAAGTTAGAGCCAGACAGAGCTGAGTTTGAATGGCGACTTCACCAGCTGAGTAACCGTGGGCAAGTCACTGAACCACTTTGAGCCTCAGTTTCTCATCTGTAAAGTGGATCTCTGTGCAGGGTCACTATGAGGCAGTCATCTCTGCTGGCTTCTCACTGATTTTGAACGCAAGCACCGCAGACAGCTATGGTGGAACTCAGGACCGGCATACCCTTTGGGCCTCAACCTTCCCATGCACACAATGGACAATCCCAGCAGAATTTGCTTTTCAGAGCCAGTGGGGAAGATGCTGAGAGATCAGAAGTGCTCAGAAAATGAAAACATCCTGGAAAAGTTCCAGAGACAGCATGAATAATGATTAACCCAAGCCAGGCCCAGCTTGGCCTGACCTCAGAAAATCCACGAAAGCTTGAGCTGGGTTCCTGGGGCAGGGCTGAGGGCCAAGGGGAAGGACGGCCAGGGGGCCCCCCAACCACAGACTCAGGGAGGCCACTCTGTACTCAGACTCCCACGTGCATCACGGCATCTTCATTGGAACAGGGAGGGCAGCTGGGACGTGGTAGGAGGGAGTGGCCTGTGAGGCCTACAAGCTTTCCTGGGGTTCTTAGTACGTTGACATCCACACAGCTGCAGCCACCCAAGGATTCCCTCCACCCTCCTCCTATGGTGGCGCCCTGTCCATGAACCCCCAGGGAATAAACAGGGGTAAACAGGGGCAGCAGCCGGCCGACTGCTGTGTACTCACGGCCCACACAATGTAAACTCTCAGGATGTATTTATGTTGTCTGGGCCTGGCCAGGGTCCTCTGCCCAGCTCAGAGGAGTCACGTGTGCAAGGCATCTGGATTCCTCTGTGTGGTGGGTGGGGGAGGGCAGGAAAGGCAGAGAGTTCATGGGGGACAGGGATCAGAGATAGCTGGAGCTGGTGGCCCATGGAAGAAGGCAAGAGCTGCAGGAATGGCGAAGGGGAAAGAGGGGGTGAGCGCTACCGTGCAGTGCTCAGACTGTGTCCTGTTCCTAGAACTGCAGGCCCTTTAGAAGGAGTTGGGCAAGTGGTGGGCAGCTTTCAGTGGCCCCGGAGACTGGATTCACATTTCCGTGCTGCCCTGATTAGGAAGCAAGGCTCATCTCTACTTTCCTACCTCCTCCAGCCTGGGCAGGACTGCCAACCTGGCCCTGCCCACCCGACTGGGAGGGACAGGAGGAACATAACCGTGTGACGAGCATGCTGCTGGGATCTGAACACGTCTCAGGAATGACACCCAGGGAAAGCTATTTTAATCTGGAAAGTCGCCTGCTCCTCCTGCCCACCCAAAATAACTTGGCTCCCGCAGGAACCTGCAACATTGTGGCTTCCACCAGCCCTAATGGAGTGCTCCAGCCCCTGCAGCCCCCATGCCCTCACTGTGGCCAACCCCCTCCTCAGAATGGGCCTCTCCACTCAGATTTGGAGCTCTCTGATGCCAGGTCTGTGTTTTCTCCCTCAGACTGAGGGCTGCCTCAGGGCAGAGGCTGTGTCTCTCATGGATTAGAAACTCCTGGGGTATAAAGATTGCATCTCCCCACTCAGACTGGGAGCTCCTCCGAACACTCAGGTCCCTGGAGTCAGCTTCCTTGGGGAATATGGGGGTGGGGCAGGTGCCAGGTGTCCTTTCCCCCACTTCCAAGCTGTGCTACAGAGGATGCCCTTGTGGAGAAACTGGATCTCCCTCCCTCTGTGGCCACAAATGTGTCTGGCTGATGGGCTCATGTGGGGCCTAGGCTGAGCCCGGCACTGCCAGGCTGCCCTGCTGCTGACCACATGGCCCCCGACAGGAGGGTTCACATGTCCCAGCACCAGCCAGCCACCTGCTGCCTCCTGCCTCCCAAAATAAGAAAGGGCTGGCCTTCTCCCGTTACCGGCACATGCCCCACTGCCCTTGTCCTCGGGACGGGGCTTTCACTGCTCTGCTCCTTTGTGTGGGGTGTTGAGGGGGCAGCCCCTCAGCTCTGCCTGTCCCCAAAGCTGGCGACTGCACGTGGCCAGACGGAGTTGCTCTGTTCCTAGGCTGGATGCAAAATGAGGAGGGGCTCCACTAACTTCAGTGTTCCTTCTAAGGAACCAGTGTCCACTGGTCCTGTGAAGAGGGGCCCTGCACCCCAAATCCTTCCCCTTTGCCAGCACCCATCACAGCCCGTGACATGGAGTAGGGACTGAGGGTGTGGCTGTTGACCCAAGTAATTAACTACTGCTTCCTGAGGGCTGAGAAACTGAGGCTGAGAGTTTGAGAAGACACTCCTTCTAACACACACACACACACACACACACACACACACACACACACACACAGGCACAGACACCTTTTCCATTCATTTCACAAATAATGACCCTTTTCTATTATTTTAATTTTTTATCTTTTGTAGAAATGGGGTCTTGCTATGTTGCCTAGGCTGATCTCAAACTCCTGGCTTCAAGAGATCCTCCTGCCTTGGCTTCCTAAAGTGCTGGGATTACAGACATGAGCTACTTTCCCAGGCTACAAAAAACAACCATTTTTAACTGAGCACTTACTATGTCTGAGGCACTGTACTAGTGCACCCCATCCATTACTGTGTTTAAACATCACAACAGTGGTGTTTAAAGAGAATGGGGCCCAGAGAGGTTAAGTGACTTGCCTAAGGTCACACAGCAAAGAAGTCGAATTGGTATTCAAACCTAGGTTAGAACAGCATTTGTCTTTTTTTAATGAGAAATTTTAAACATTCAGACAAATGGAGAGAGCAGTACAACGAAACTACAAGTACCGATTACCAGAATAGCATAATGAACATTTTGTTTGCCAGATTTGCTTCATCTTTTCTGTGCTGAAATATTAAAAAGTAAATTATAGACATATAGCATGTCACCTCTACTCATTTAAGAATGCATCTCTAAAAAATAAACCAAATTTTCTATATAAACCAGCATGCCATTCTTACATTGAACAAAACAGTTTGCAATATCTAATATGCAGCTCATGTTCAATTCCCCCAATCGGTCCCCCAGATTTTTATCACTCTACCACACTACCATTGAGGAGTGGGCAGATGGGGTTTGGGGAGGTCTCTGCCAGTCTCTGTGCCTCAGTTTCCTGTGGGGACGCAACTCTTACCTTCTCCTCTTTTCCTTGCTGGGGCAAGGTTTCTGGACAGGAGAGTGACGGGGACCCGAGGGACCCTGTGGGGTGCTAGAAGCTGTGAGGGAGGCTCAGGGGAGCCCCTTATCTCCTGGGGTGGTGACCATGGAGTGAGGTGGATGTCCTGATGGGCCAGAGAGGGGCCATGTCCTGGCGGAAGGAACCTCAGCAGGGCTCTCATGCCTGGCCTTCCTGTCAAGGTATGGGCTGTCTCAACCCAGTGAGACCTTGAGCCTGCGACCCCCTACCTCACAGGGGACCCTCTCCACCATGGGCCCACCAGACCAAACAGCCCACCAGCCTGCCTCAGCCAAAACAGGAGCTGAGGAAGGTCAGCTTATCAGGATTCCCTTACTCCCTCACCCCATGGGCCTGCTTTTCAGCCACTATCAGTGTCTGGGGCAAGGGAAGGGGTTGACGGGACAGGGCAAGGCCATTCCCGGGGGTCACTCCTAAATGGAGAGAAATGCTATTTCGCAGGATGTTGGGAGAGTCTGGGGACCCACAGGTGACAACAAAGGGGCCTGCCAAGCAGTGGCCAGTTAGATCAGGGGTCTCTAGGCCTCCTTCCTGTCCCATGCCTGTTCTGTCCTCAGTTCATGGGGTGAGTGAAAGGACCCTGACTTAAGACAGGAGGTGGCTCAGGTGACCTCTTGGTCATCACTCCCTGAATAGGGATTGAGACGTTGAAGGTCAAGTCAGACCAGCCCTGAAGGGGCAGAGCTGAGTCTCCCCTCAGTCTGGGGCCCCATGAGAACAGGGCTGTGTCTCCCTCAGACTGAGGCTCACTGAGGATGGGTCTGTGTCTCCCCTCAGACTGGGGCTCCCTGAGGATGGGGCTGCGTCTCCCCTTGGACTGGGGATCTGTGAGGATGGGTCACATTCACCTTCCCTATCATCATTGCCCCTCAGGGCCCATTCTGCCCTGCTGGGCTGAGTGGGGAGCCCCAACTGAGGATCCCCAGTTCCTCATTGCTCCAGAACCCAGGGCAGGGCTGAGAAGAGAATGAGTTGGTTTCACCTTACTAAGAGGGGAGAGGAAATGGAACAATTTGGTGAGAGCCCACTGCTGGATGGGTTACAGAACCTGCTCCCTCTAAAGGATTTGGGCATGGAGGCAGAAGATGGAAGAGACAGCTTCCTCCTGGGCTCCCCCTTCCTTCTCTAGAACACCTCATCATCTACACTTCTTGTAAGATGCTCCTAGACACTCCTAGGCTCAGGAGCCAGGAGGTGGCTCCCAAGGGGCCCTCCACGGGCTCTTGAGCAAGCTCCTTCCCCTGCGCCCTAGTACCCAGCCTTGGACTTGCTGGGCAGAAGCAAAAGAGAGGGCTTAACCTTGAGTAGGGGCTGAGGGGAGCAGGAAGAACATGTTCCAGGGAAAACATGGAGCAAGGTTGCCAGATAAGCATGGGAGGGGGAGAGGTGGCAGGATGGGAAAAGGGTCTTCAGGAGCTCCCCCAGGCCCAAAGCTCCAAAGCCACTGACCGCTGCCCTAAACTGGACCCTAACAGGGTCTCCTTTGAGAAGGCTGCCTGACTGAGGAACTCACTCCCTTTCTTCTCCCAGGAGCCCTGAGTGTCTGTGCATCCCCTACCAGGCATCAGCCTCTCTCCCAAGAGCTCAAACACCATGCATAAGTCCTCTTGGTCCTCCCAAAGTACCTGTCAGTGGGTTTGCACACAGCAGGCACTTGATAGAGACAGTTGGCTGGAAGCTCGAAACAGAACCCTCTGATTGCAGCCTTTGCTATCCTGAGCCAAGTGCTCAGGGAGATTACCCTTTATCAGCACGTCCCTCCTCAGGAGTACCCGCAACCTGCCCTGTGCACTTCTGCTCAGCAGACCCTATCACTCTGTTCTCTTGGGTGGTTGTTCCGTGAGACAGGAGTACAGCTGGAGAGCCTAGGGGCTGAGAGCAAACGGAGCCTCAGTCTCAGAAGGGAGACATGGCCTGTCCTCAGGGATCTCCAGTCTGAGGGGAGACGCAGCCCCATCCTTAGGGAACCCCAGTCTGAGGAGAGACTTGGCCCCATCCTCAGGGAGCCCCAGTCTGAGGGGAACACACAGCCCCTTCCTCAGCATGCTCACAGTCAGTAAGGGAGAGCTATCCCTCCGCCTGCACTCACTGTCAAAGCAACATTGAGAATGGCCAGAGGAGAAGGGTTAATGGCTGAGGGCTCCCACATCAGCCCTCTCCAAGTTCCTGACACATTTCTGCCCTGTCAGGATCAGGGTGAGCTGAGTCCCTGCTCAGACTCATATAGACTTATTTTCACCTCTCAGAGCGAATATCAGGAAAGCCTGGGGTTTCTTTCACCTCTTGGAAGATTTTTTGTGGATGAACTGAGCCCCATGCCTGGCACAACTAGATGTGTCACTGGCAGCCAATTGACTCTCCGTCTTCTTTCAGCTGAGCTTACCTCAGCCATATGCCTTGATGCATCCCTGTTTTATAGATGAGGAAACTGAGACTCAGAAACTCGAGTGGATGCCCAAATGCCATAGCTACAAAATGACAGAGGTCCATTTCCGCTTGGCTTCAAATTATGCTTTCCTTCAGGCCTGAGCTCAGGAGGGGGTGGCCTCTCTGTTTTCTTGGGGTTGGAGCCCCATCTGGCCCCCCACACCTTGGCTTATACAGGGCTCATGAGTGAAGGTCCAATGGGGAGTGTGTGGATTTGCTGTGGGGTGTCTGTAGGTCTAAGTCTCAGGGCCTTTGGGGAAATGCCTTGTGGATACTTGGGGAGACCTCAGGGAGGAGTGTGGGGCAGGGTAGGGGTGAGGGAGAGAGGAAACTTTACTGGTCACCATTGTGCAGTGGGTGGGGCCTCCTGGAGCAATGAAAGAAACTATCTCAGCAAATAACAATAGGCTTTGTGACCAGGCAGGCTCTGCAAATGCTGGTAGGCTCTGCAAACACTGACAGACTCTATATTTGTTGACAGATCCACAATGGCAATAGAGGTGAGGGGAAAACACTGGTGCAGAGGCGCTAAGGGAATTTTCCACTCACCTTAGAAGCCAAGGCAGGTGCTTGGTTCCCATCAGTGGCTCTGCCTTCATGAGAGAGTCCTGGAGGTGGGTAGCCTAGCCCTCTTCCCTCCTCTCGCAGCTCTCTCCAGTGCCTTCTCTGCCTGGTGGGGTGGCCTCCCCCTTAGCAGGCCACAGAGGTGCCAGGGCAGAAGACTATGATGGGGGAGTCCACAGAGAATCCCATGGGGAGCAAGCATGGGGTGGGGGCAGGTGAGGATCCCCCAGGAGATGGGAGTCTGGCCAGCTGGGGAATGGGGCGGTTCTGGTTGCAGGTGGCCATGAGGCAGGCTGGAAGCTTCGCCTGCCCCAGCCCATGGGCCTTTCTGAGCTCCAGAAAGTCTCAGTGCTTGTTTCTCAGCCTTGGGAGTAGAGGAGGGAGTGGTGGGAGCAGCAAACTTTTCCGAATGGAAAATGATGAAATCTTCCTGGAAAGCCGACTTTCCCAAGCTCTGGTGGATACAGCTGATGAGGAGAAACCTGAGCCCTGTGGGCAGGCGGGGGGTCCAGTGGCAGGGGATCGGAGGCGCCTGTCTATGACACAGTCCTGGGAAGCCACCCCAGAGCCGTGGAGGGCGTGCTGCCCATGTCCAGCCCTGGCGGGGCGGGGGAGTGGGCAGTTACACTTCAGCCAGTGGCCCCAGACAGTCTACGCTCAGCTCTGCAGTGAGAATGAAAACAAAGTTTCTCTTCTGCCTCAGCTCCCATATCCCTCTGGGTGAAGGGAGAGTCCTAAGTGTGGCCTGCAAGTCCCCAGCAATCCCACCCTACCACCAGTCTAGCCCTCGCTCACTCTGCTCCAGCCTCCTATTCCTCAGATGTACTGGGCACGCTCCTGCCTCAGGGCCTTTGTGCTACCTGTTCCCTCTGCCTGGATGCTTTTCCTTCAGATAGCCATATGCGTCACCCCCTCACTTCCTTGAGGTCATTATTTGAATATCACCTTCTCAGTGAGGTCTTTCCTAACCATCCTATTGAATGCTCGGCCTGCCTTCCCAATCCCACCACAGGGCCCCTCTTCTGTATTACCCTGCTTTATTTTTCTCCAAATCTCTAATATGTTTGCAGTGGGTTGGATGGTGGTCCCCCAAAATGTCCATGTTCTAACCCCTAGAACCCGTGCATATGGCCACAGTGAGTTGAATAGTGTCTCCCTCCAAACTTCATGTTCACCAGGAACCTCACAATGTGACCTTATTTGGAAATAGTGTCTTTGCGGATATAATTAAGTATCTCAAGATGAGGCTCTCTTGATTTAGAGTGGGCCCTAAGTCCAATTACTAATGTCCTTATGAGAAGAGGAGACACAGAGAGACAGAGGGAAGAAGGCCACCTGAACATGGAGGCAGAGATAGCAGTGATGCTCAGATGCGTGCCCTCCGGAACTGTGAGAGAACACATTTCTGTTGGTCGTAAGCCACCAAGTGGGTGATTTGTTATGGCAGCCACAAGACTCCGTAATTTACTGATTTATTTAGTTTATTGTCTACAGACACACTCCCTCCCACCGTCTCATGAATCTGAGCTCCAAGAGGATAGGGTTTTTTTTTCTTTTGCTCACTTGATATATCCCCTGCGACGAACACAGTGCCTGTTATCTTACGGGTGCTGAGTAAATATTTGTCAAGTGGTTGAGTGAATAAATTAGATGAAAGCAGACAGGAGGGGTGGGTCCTCAGGGGACCGACTTGGCTGCCCAACATCTGGGCCTGCTGAATGCAGCTCAGTGTGGTGGGAACTTGGCACCTGTGCAGGAGATCACCTGGAAGAGGAGAGGAAGAGCTGGGGTCCCTTAGGACCAGCCTCCCCAGGACAGGTGGCCTCAGTTCATCTGTCACAGCCTTACCTGTGGACAGGTGAACATGGAGAGCTAAGTGGAGCCTGCCTTGCGTCCACATTCAGGCTCTGCTCAAGCCTTTGTGGGAAGGGCCTCTGCATGGAGGGGGCACCCTCTCCCCACATCCCATAGCCAAAGTCCCATCCCTAGATCAAGTTCAGATGCCTCAACAGTTGGTATGAAAAGGGACCTAATTCCTCCCCACCACCCTGTGCAGCTCCGATCCCAGCCCTTCCCACCCCCAGGCCAGGCCTCCAGGGTCACTGTGAGCAGAGGGACTCAGGAAGGTCATGGTTTGGGGGCTGAGGGCAGAGAGTCCCAGGGGCAGGAATGGGGACTTCATCCATCTCTAAGTTTCCAGGTCTGTGTCAGGCAATCTGGCTCTGTCCTGACTCTCCAGAGACTGATAAAGGTCCGAGGTGGGTGAGAGATGTCCACAGAGTCTTTGCTACTCCTACTGCCAAGAGTTGGTTTCTATTTTCCCTCTCCTTGATTCTGGCTTGGCCTTATGACTTGCTTTGACTGAAAAAAATGCAATGATGCTGTGCCAGTCCCAGGCTCAACCCTAGAGAGGCCTGACTGCCTTCCCTCCCTGTCTCCTCTTCCTCCAAGCCAGGCACCGTGCTGTAAGGAAGTCCAGGCTATTCTGCTGGAGAGAGAGACTCTGGAGGATCAGGCACTAAGAGGAGGCACACGGAAGCCGGTTGATGGCACGGAGGCTTCAGAGTTGCCATTGAGGCCACCCTGGACCTTCCAGCTGAATGCAGCTGATTAAGTGGCCTAATCCCAGGTTAGACTTGCAGAACAGCCAGGACTACCACCAGAATTGTGAGAAATTAAGCCATTATTGTTTTAAGGCACTATGTTTGGGAATAGTTTGTTTTGCAGCCATAGAAAACTTGGAGGGCTGTATCTCAGAGGTCTTGTGACTCCAACACTGTGGGATTTCTGAGAGCTTACCTAGAAGCTGGTTCCCCAGGGCGTATGGAGCAACACACATCTCAGACACTGTAGGCACAAGGTCTTGAGCTGCAGGGATTCACTGATTCTAGAATTTTGACACCCAGGGAGACCATGACCAGCCCCTTCTCAGCTGCTCTCCCCATCACCTCCCATCAGAAAGCTTTCCTCCAAACTTTCCAGCCTCCAACCAGTTTCCACTCTGGCTCAGGCTTGTAGAGCCTGGGCAGAGTGTAGGGGCAGAACCAGCAAGCTTTGTCTGGGGTGGCTGGCAGTCTCCTCTCTCTCCATGTGCCCCCCATCAAGGTCAGCTGGGTGAAGAGGCTGCTGGTGAAACATCCTGTTACAGATGCTGCCCAGAGATGTCAGAAGATGTCAAGGCCATGCAGGGCAGCCAGGCCTGGGCTGCAGGAGGCATAACAAGGGCGGCAGATGCTTGTGTCCTGCTCTGGAATGTTCTGGTGTTCAGCCTTTTGCAGAGGACAGAGAAGGCTATGAGGTATCAACACTGGAGAGGATAATGCTGATTCAAGCTCCATTGCAGAGGACAATGGCCTTTCCCAAGTTTGCTGGTTTGGTGTTTCTGTGGCCTGGGCTATCTTGAAGGGCTAGGGAGGCTGGACAGTGTAGGCTTGAGCCTGACCTCTTGATACCATATTCACCCTGCTGTTCTGGCAACTGGCCTGGGGGTTGTACAGGGGAGGGCCTTCTCACTGCGACCCATGTCCTCAGGGCAGGGCCTGGGCTGTGAGAGACGTGACCCTGGAGGTCCCTTTGGACCCCCAGGATCTCAGTTACAGGGTTTCCCAAGAACAAAAATGCCCGGCCTGCCCATGGGTGGTCACTCAGGCCCACCCAGGCTCCCTGGGTTACCTTTGCCCTGTGGGGACTAAGTCTCTTTGGCTCCTTCTGGGGGCTTCTGGG
The DNA here is from genome assembly GCF_000001405.40 of Homo sapiens. Taxonomy (NCBI): domain Eukaryota; kingdom Metazoa; phylum Chordata; class Mammalia; order Primates; family Hominidae; genus Homo; species Homo sapiens. The sequence continues at coordinate 43,981,706 of NC_000006.12, read as the reverse complement.
CCTTGGGACACTGCTGTGAATGTTGGAAACAGCTCTGACTTCCCTTGCAAGTGATCCTCCTGCCAATCCCTTCCCCACCCAGGAGCCCACCAGGGTGATCATGGCTGTGGGGAAGCCAGATATGGGCAGCTATGCCCCCAGGAGGTGTCTTGCACATATCCCTGTCTCCAGGGCAGGGGTGTCCTGGCTGAAAATCTCCCTTCCCTAATGCGGAGGGGAGAGTGTTTCATAGGTCACCAACTGCCCCTCAGGGCAACCCTTCTGGCTGGCCCCACCTGCCTGGAGCCAAATCCCCAAGTTCCAGCTCAGTGAGGAATTCTCCACACAACCTAACCAACTCACTGTCCCCTCTCCCATAAAGAAGAATAGAAACTTCTTCAGGTCTAGCTCTCCCAGCTCTGCTATCCTGGGGTTCTCTATAGGTACCTTGTTGCATCCTTCCTTCTTCCTCTCTCCCCTTGGGTAAGTTAAGGAACATCTCTGAGCCCCTATATCCTTGTCTATTAAATGGGATCGTAAGACCCACCTTGGAGGGCAGAGGGTTGTGAACTTTTTTTTTTTTAGAATCAGGGTCTTGCTCTATAGTGGTATGATCATAGATCATAGCTCACTGCAGCCTCAAACTTGGGCTCAAGTGATCCTCCTGCCTAAGCAAGTAGCTGAGACTGTAGGTACGCACCACCATGCCTGGCTAATTTTAATTTTTTTAGAGACAGGGTCTCACTATGTTGCCTAGGCTGGTCTCACACTCCTGGCCTTAAGCAGTCTTTCCATCTTGGCCTCCCAGAGTATGGGATTACAGGCGTGAACCACTCTCCTGGCCTTATAGTAAGGATTAAGTGAGGAGGTAGGAAGGAGGAATGGAGGGAGCATCCATCTAAGGGCCTGAGCAGAGGGAACTCACAGCTGAGAAAGGACCATACCTGCTAAGGCCTCAAGTGGTAGCTGCCCGTGTATCTGTTCTAAGCCTGCATCCCCATTCTGTGCCCATCTTGTGTCTGTTCCAGGCCTTGCATGTCTGTCCTCTGCACCTAACCTGTGGGCCCATGAGGCCCACACGTGTTTGGCCTGCACTTGCCATGCAGTGGGGAGGACACAGCATGAAGGCTGTGCTGACGACCCTGGGTAAACAACCTTTTTTACTGCAACATGAGCACAGATGGTTCTCCCTTGTACAGTGGACAATGGCTACCTTGTGTGAGTGAGAAGGAAAAGTGGGTACTTGTAATTGCTGATTTGGGCTGGGTCCCAAACAGGCTTGGAAAGGGCCAAGCAACAGGGGGCCTGGAAAGCCAGCGCCAATGTCTGGGGGTGGGTGGGCATGCAGGAGGGGGCTGGGGTGCAGCCCAGGAAAAAGTGGAGCTAAGACATTGAACAGGGAGAAAGTGGAGGAGCCCACATGCGCCGCTTGAGAAATGAACTGAGGCCGGCTGGGCAGGAAAGAAATGTGTGCGGAGAGAGGGCTCAGCAGGGCTGGGCGCAGGGAGGCTCTTCAGGGAGAGGTCTGGCTGCAGTTTCAGGCTGAGTGGCCTTTGCTTCATTCTGGCTCCCGGCCCCCTGGCTAGGGAAGCACTTAAGGAGAGAAGGCAGACTGGTCCTGAGGCTGGACAAAGCAGAGCAGAGCTCTGAAACCTTGCTAGGTACTTGGAATTTGCTGACTCCCACCATGACGTCCCACCTCCGAGCTTTCTCTGACTCTATGAAAATATTTTTCATACTCTGAAAAGCTGGCCCTGTAACACGCTGCTGATGCTGCTGATGGCTTGGTGAAGGCACAAAGAAAGGACCTTTACTGGACACTTTGGTCCAAATTTCTCTGTGCCCATCGCTTACTCTGACCTCTGCTTTAGAGGCCAGCTCCATGCAAGCTTCGTGGGCTCTGCAAAGGTGCAATTAAATGGCACTTTGCCTTGGCCTAGAACCTCCTACTTCCTGCCAGAGACTTCTCTGATGTCCTACGGGTGGACACCTGTGGAACTGCTTAGCGCTTAAGTAGTGCACACCAGAAGGGACTCCCCTGGAGTCACCTTTGTGCAATGGGGGATACAGGAGCCAAAGGATCCCTTTTTGCCCTTCTGGGTAGACTGTTTTGAAACACATTTCATAAGTCTCTTAAATAGATCTCTGTGGGGTCAACACCCATCACAGGGGTGGCCAACTAGATAACATATCCTTGTATTGGTTGACACCCTGTTCACTCTTTCCTCACCCTCATCTTTTGATCCTGTTCCTGGGATCACTTCCCAAATCAGCTTAGTTGCCCCTGAGACCAAAGCTCCCACAGGTTCCACTTTTAGGGGAAACTAGGCTAAGACAGAGGCCTCTGTTCTGAAAGAGTCCAATTTGGGGGTGCCAGGATGGGAGGTGAGTAGGAACTTGGGCTACAGAAGGAAGCTCTCTATCCTTCTATGATGAAAGCACAGGTCGCGGCTGGCTCCCTTCCTGCACAGAAACCCAAAATAGTGATGACCTGATATTTGCCTCACTGGCCTGCGCAGACTCTACCAGATGTGAGCACCTCCCCAGACCTTGACGCCTCAGGGTGTACCTCAAGGCTGGTGCTCCAAATAAGTAGCATATTTTACGCTGGTCCCTTGTGCAAGCACATCCTCTCACTCACAGGACCCACCCAGCCTTGCTCATTCCCTGATGCATAACTTCAGGAGCAGAGACTGGCCTCCTCCGATTCTTTCTGCAGGCAGTACAAGCTCAGAGACTGTTCTACTCGGGGCTCATGCAGGAGTGAGGAGCCCATGCAGACGCCCCCTGTGGACACCGCCACAGACAGGGCTTCTTAGACAGTCCTGCTTTCCTCTTCTGATGCTAGTGGGACAGCAGGGCTGCTGTGCGGGAAACTCTGCTCAGTTAGCTTACAGCCAGGACCCAGGGACACACAAGGGTGGGAAGCTAGATTGACCGGGGACTATAGCCTGAACCCACTACAGGTATAGCCATGCATCCTTCTGACCTTTGGGGTATGAGGAAACGCTGGTTCCCCCGTCCTTCATGACTTTCAGGCTGGCACTGAGTCATCAGCACCTCCTCCTTCTCCAGAAGCATCAATTTCTGGCAAGCCCAGCTTCTGGCTGGAGCCTAAGAGGAACCTTGGCCTTCAGCCTCATCATCTCCATTCTGAGTTCTTCCTACTCTTCTGTGTAACTTGCTCTACACACTCCCCACACTGACTGCCCCAATCCCTGTGCTTCTCTCAAGGTGTGCTGAGTGAATGAGAAGGAAGGAAAGAGAAGATAAGGATGGAGGGAAGGCCTGCCTGGGAGGTACGCGTGTGGGGCAGATATGGGCTAAAACCTTCGTAGAGCCACAGAAACCCAGGTGGGAGGACCTCAGAGATGAACAGGCTGAGCCCTCCCTGCTGCTGTGAGGCTCACTCATGCCCTTCCCAAGGCATCCATTTGCAGAGGCCTGGAGCAAGGGAAGCCCCTGGAATCCACCCTGGGTCTGTCTCCCTGTGAGACCTTTCCAGTTGTACCTCTGGAACTAATAGCTGACCCCCAAGGGTTTGAAGAAAGTGTCTATGGTGTGATGCTTTATTTTACATGTCCATTTGACTGGACTAAGAAGTACCTAGAAATCTGGTGAGGCATTATTCTTGGGTGTGTCTATGAGGGCGTTTCCAGAGGAGATTAACATGTGAGTCTGAGTGGACTAGGTGGGGAAGATCAGCCCTCAATGTGGGCCCTCCCATTCAACCCTGGGCAGGGTTCTCCCTGGCCACCCTCTTAGCCCCTTCCACCTTCTCACACCTTCTAACCAGATGTCACTTTCTCCACCCTCTTGTACTTTCTAACCAGATCTAACCAGATATCAACCTCTTATCTCACTAAGTGTGCATCCCCCCTCAGCTATGTGAGGAGACTTTGGCCCAAGAGGGATCAGGGACTCAATCAGGTCTCCCTCGAGGCCAGGCAGGGCAAGGACCAGCCTATGGCCGCGTTTCACTTCCCACTCTGCTAACTTGTCACCACACTCGCTGTCATCGCATGCTCTGCTGTGGTTTAGGCTGGGGGGCTTTCCAGAATAGCAGATTCCGAGTGCACAGTGACATGAGATATCTTTGGGACCAAAGTCCTGCCCATAACTGCGAATGAGCCATGCCTGTGGTCAGCACACTTCCTCAGAGCCAGTTCTCGATATTGAAACTTTAGTCCAGGAGGAGTTGTCTTGTGTGCTCTTGATGCTCCCCTGGTGGATGGCTGGGGTTTGTGGACCCGGATTTGGGTGTCTGGGGGAGACAACATTTGGATGGATCTGCTGAAAGCAGCAGTTTGGGGGTGAGTGCAGTTAAGGGCAGGCACCTAGCAAGAAGCTTTATTAGTCTTTTGGATCTTCTGTGGCAAAGAAACAAAATCCTTCCCCTTTAGTTTATTTAGGCAGAAATTGACTCTGAGAGGTAAATTACTGAACCAGGAGACTTACACAAGAACGTTCAGAGTAGCACTGTTCACAATAGCAAAAACCTGGAAACTGCCCAAATGCCCATGAGGAGCAGAGTGGATGGATGAGTTGTGGGGATGTGGTCACATAGTGAAACGTTACATAGCAGTCAAAATGAATGACATACTCCAACACAGAGCAATATGGATGAAGCTTGGCAACAGAAAATTGAGATGAAAAAGTCCCAATAGATTACGTACTGCATGATACCCTTTTTATAAAATTAAAAAACATTACAATTTAAAAAATAATTTTATGCCATTAAACTTCATAAAGCAAGGGAATGATGAACACAGGACTCATATGACAATTTCTGCAGATGGGGAATCGGGGGCAGGATGTGGGGCAGTGGTTAGATGTGGGTTATTGTCAAGGACTAGCTATTCTGGGTGGTGGGTTTAAGGGTGCTTATTGCATTAGTAAAACCAACTAACGAACCAACATAAATAAAAGTGGGCTGTGCATGTACCATTAATAAGACTGTCATAGACCAAGGATTCTGTAATCCTGATATCCAAACAAAGATAAAACAAAACAAAAGGCATAAACAAAAAGGCTCAAGCCCCCAAGAGGAGAAGGCATTGGGAGACAGATAAGTAGTTGAGAGCATAGCTCAGCAACCCAGGAGTTGTGTGAGTCCCAACTCTGGGTCCCTAGGAAAGGCTTCCATATTAATTTTCTATTGTTGTGTAACAAATTACCACAAGTTTGTTCTCTGCTCAGGGTCTTGCCAGGCTTAAGTCAAGGTGTTGGCTGGACTGTGATCTCATTTGAGGCTTGAGGTTCTCTCCCAAGTTCCTTGTGGGACTGAGGGCCTCAACTACTAGAGGATATTGCTGTTCTCTATCATGTGACCCTCTCCATAACATGGCAGTTAGCTTCTTCAAGGCCAATAGAAGAGCAGCTCTGCTGCTTTGAATCCCTCTGACTTTTCCACCTTGTGTCCTCCAGACTCTCATTTAAAAGGTCTGACCTGATTAGGTCAGACTGATCTGGGAAAATCTCCTTTGCGATAACTTCAGAGTCAACTGATTAGGGACCTTAATTACATCTACAAAACTCCTCCACCTTTGCTCTATAATGTGAACGAATCACGGGAATGATATCTCATCGTATTCATAGGTCCTTTTTCCACACTCAAGGGAGGGAATTTTATAGGGCATGTACACCAGGAGGCGAGAATCTTGAGGAACATTCTAGATATGTTCACTATACCTCCTTTCCAAGCCTCAGTTTTCTCCTCCATGAAGTAAGAAGTGTAATCTCTAACCTGATTGTGGGTAGATTAAATTAGATGACAAATGCAAAAGTGCTGTTATTCACTCAGAGATATTTAGTGAGGACCAACTGCATGCCAGGCAGGCCCTCTGGAAGCTCAGTAAATGCAGTGGTATGTAATACAGACATGGTCCCTGCCTCATGGGGCTGGTAGTCTAGTGGAGGAGACGAGTGTGATGTGCAGGATCTGTATGCTGAAAACTACAAAATGCTGTTGCAATAAATAATGAAGACCTAAACAAATGGAAAGGTATACCATATTTATGGACAGAAGATTCAACATAAAGATGTCAATTTCCCAAAGTGGACTATAGATTTAACACAATACCAATCAAAATCCCAGCAGGATTTTTTTGTTAGATATTAACAAGCAGATTCTAAAATATTGTGGAAGGACAGAGGAACTAGAATAGCTAAAACAATTTTGGGGAGAAAAAGAATAAAGTGTGAGGAATCATACTACCTAATCTCCTTTCTTCTTCTTCTTTTTTTTTTTTTTTGAGGGGGACAGTTGTTTTGTCTTTTGAAATGAGGTCTCTCTTATGTTTCTCAGGCTGGCCTCAAACTCCTGGGCTCAAGCAATCCTCTTGTTTCAGCCTCCTGAGTAGCTGGGATTACAGATGCACGCTACCTTGCCCAGTTTATGCTACCTAATTTTAAGACTTAGTTCAAAACTACAGTAGTCATCAAGAGAGTGTGAAATTTGCAAAAAGATGAATATACAGATCAGTAAAACAGAACAGAAGGTTCAGAAATTGATCTACACAAATATGAATAATATGTACAAAGGCAATTCAATGGAGAAAAAATAATCTTTTCAACAAATGAATTTGGAACAACTAGTCATCCATAAACAAAGAAAAACCTTTGACCTAAATACAAAGATTAACCCCAAATGAATCACAGATCAAAATGTAAAATGTAAACTATAAAATTGTTAGAAGACAACATATATGAAAATCTTTATGACCTGGGGCTGGGTGAAGAGCTCTAAAATGATACCAAGAGCATGATTCATCCATGAAGGAAATATTCATAAACCAAACTGCATCAAAATTAAAAACTTTTGCTCTGTCAAAGAAAGACACTGTCAAGAAAGTGAAGAGACAACGTACAGACTGGGAAAAAAATATTTGCAAACCACATATCTGACAAATTACTTGTATCCAGAATATACGAAGGACTCTCAAAACTCAAAAGCAAGAAAACAAGCCACCTCATTAAAAAAATGGGTAAAGGACTTGTACAGACACTTCACCAAAGAGGATATAAAAATGACAAACGAACACATGAAAAGATATTCAACATTACTAACACTCAGAGAAATGTGAATTGAATCCATGATGGGATACCTCTACATACCTGTTAGAATAGCACATTAAAAAATGTAAAACCAAGAGCTGACAAGAACACAGAGAAACTAGTACTCTCATACATTGCTGGTGGGAATGTAAAATGGTACAGATGCTTTGTAAAATGGTTCGTCACTTTCTTGTAAAGTTAAATCTTTGAGTATACACTTACCATGTGACCCAGTAATCCCCCTCCTAATGTAGTTACCCTAGAGCAATGAAAACATCTCTTCACATGAAAACCTGTACCTGAATGTTCATAGCAACTTTATTTGTAATAGCCAAAATCTGCAAACTGCTCAAATGTCCTTCAATGGGTTAATGGTTAACAATGAAATACCACTGATTAGTACAAAGGAACAATATTGATAAGTGCAACAATATTTGGATAAATGTCAAAGACTTTCATACTAAATGAGAGAAGCCAGTCAAGATGTCACACACTGTAATTTCATTTACTTGATACTCTCAAAAAGACAAAATTATGGTGATGGAAAACATATTAGTATTTGCCAGGACTATGGGTGGGGTGAGGATATAACTATAAAACAACAGCATGAGTGCGTTTTTAGGGGATGATGGAGTTTTCCCGTATCCTGATGATGGTGGAGGATACACACATCTGCACATGTTCAGATCCATAGAACCGTATACCAGAAGAAAAACAGTAAATTTTACTGTATGATAATTTAAAAAACCCAGTAGTGTGGACAGAAGTTCCGAGAGAGAGACGCTTGGCTCTTGGAGAACAGACTCATATTTCAGAGAGGTTATTCTTGTACTGTGAAAAAGTTAGCACCACGCATAGAACTTCATAAATGCTCAATAAATCAACAGTTACAATAAAGAGGTTAATAGATTCTGAACTCAGTGAGTCTAGAAAGTGATGTCGCCAAGAAACGAATCACTAGATTCTGCTGGGAAGTGGATTCCTGAAGTCAAAGCAGGGTGCCAGAAGATGCTCAAAGCTAGCTGGGAGGTAGAAATGCCCCCAGAGGGAGAGATAGCATGTGGCCCACAGGCCTAGGGAGCTAATTCCAGACCTTCTTCCATTGTCAGACCTTGCTCAGAGCTGCCCAGGAGGCTGAGTCTTCACGGGTGAAGGAGGAAGTGGTAGGCTCTGAAGGAGCTCTGTTCCCTCCTGCTCACCTCCCAGGTGGCCCATAGCCATGACCTACTTTTCCTACCTGTTGGTGCAGGTGAGTTCCCTTGCCCACAGCTATTTTTATCCAGCGGGATTCCCAGCTATTTTTACCAGCCTGGCCTTGACTGTGGGGTTGGGGTTCTTGCCCTATGGGAGACCCTGATGGACATTCCCTCCCCTCCCTCCCATCAAGAACCAATTGGTCTTCCCACAGCTGCTCCAGCCAGAGGAGATACCCTCAGAGATCTCTCCTGCTGCAAAACCTGCAAGGGCTCACCACTGTCTGCAGAATAAAGCTCCAACTCTTTTACTTGCACATTCAGAGCTCTCCCTGACTTGGAGGCCAGCTTCCCTTCAGCGTCATGTCTCTCCACAGCTGATGCTGGAGGAGCCAGCCAGCCCAGGCTCCTTGCCAGATGCCTACAAGGCCTCTCGATTTCCTGCTTGTGTGCATGCTGTCAGGAATGTCCTTTCCCTTTCCATTTCCACTGGGCAAAACTGAACCCATCCGCTGGGCCCAGCACTAATGCACCTCCCCCAAGGAACCCTCCTTCATTCCTCACCTGCTAGAGAACTATACTACCTAATTTTAAGACTTAGTATAAAACTACAGTAGTTCTGGGACCTCTCTGCTCCCTCTGCCTCAGAGGATGGCCAGCTAGGGATATGTTCTTGGCACCGGCTCTTGCCCATCTCTGGCCCTGCACCCTGCACAGGATGTATATGAGTAGAATGTTGTGGCCTCTCCTACATCTTCCAGGCTGCTTTCTTTCCCCAAGGCAGGGTGGAGTCCTCTGCCATCTTCAGGCTGCCAGACTCTCCACCTCCGTGAATCAGCAAACCTTTCCAGGGCCAGCAGTGGGCTCAGCACTTTTTTGAGTGCTTTTCGGAGCGTGTGAGGGAGGAAGTCAGAGAAGCCACACTTGGCATAAAGGAGCCAGGGCATGCAGACCTGAAGCTCCAGGGACTACTCATGTGGCAGGGTGTACCCAGGGACCCCAGAGGTGCTCTCTCACCTCCCTTCTAACCACTGCCTCATCTTCTCCCTTTTCCTGGAGAGCTGCGCCCCTTCCCCATGGCCTGCCTTCCATGCTGTCCTCACCCCACAGCCCAGCCTGGTTCCTGCCCTCTGCTGTCCCTGCTAGAACCTCCTGGGCACCAAATCTGGAGGGTCCAGTTTGAGTTTTTATTTCCTTGGCCTGCTCAGGGCCTCCCCATGCTGACTTCCCTCATTACTAGGATGCCCGTCCTCCTAGGTCTCCCCATGTTGACCTCCCTCATTTCCAGGATGCCTGTCCTCCTGGGTCTCTGTTTTTGTTTTCTTGAAGGGCTCCCAACCCTCTGCTGGTCCCTGGGAGGTTGGGAGTCCTCAGGGTAAGATGGGGGCTGCTTCTCTTCTCCCAGAACCCACTCAAGGTCTCAACCATCAACACTGGCCCCCAAATCCATTCCTCTACCTCAGGTTTTCCTTCCTGAGCTCCAGATCCCTGAAGTTCTCATGGGCCCCTCAAAAGTAACATGATCTAAACGCAAGTCATCACTTTCTCTGGCGGTCCCTCCTCAGCTCCACCCCAGCCAACAGCACCCTGTGGATCCACTTTGCAGTTTGGGGCCTTCTCCCTCTCTCTGCTGACTTAGCTTCCTACACATAGCAGGCCAGGCCCTCTTTTTCTCAATTACTGCCACCACTTCCTGCCCAGCTCCTGTCTCCTGCCTTTCCCATTCCCATTCATTCTCATTCAGCAGCCCCAGGGAGCTTTTCAAAGTACAAACCTGGGCCGGGTGTGGTGGCTCAGGCCTGTAATCCCAACTACTCTGGAGGCTGAGGTGGGAGGACTGCTTGAGCCTAGGAGGTTGAGGCTGCAGTGAGCTATGATCACACCACTGCACTCTAACATGGGTGACAGAGTGAGACCCTGTCTCAAAAGAAAAGAAAAGAATAAGAAAGTACAAGCCTGGCATGATCCTCCTGAAAATCTGTTGTTTGCAGAAGCAAGTCCACGTGTCTTTTGGAAGCAGGCCAGGTATGCGCAGTACCGGTGAAGCCAGGCTGCTGGCTGTGTGACTTGGGCAAGTGCCTCTCCCCTCTTGAGTCTCCTTTTCCTTCTTTGTAAGGTCTGTCTACCTCCTAGGGCAGTTCTGAGAACCATATGAGATAACACACATAATGGGTCTAGAACTGTGCTGGCCTGCAGGGGTGCTAAAACAGGGGTGTTAGCGTTACTAGCTGCTTCTTCTCCCCAAGCTCCCTGTGGCTTCAACTCTTGCCTTGTTCCTATATGATAATGCAGCCAAACCTTTGTGCCTCTACCCCTCTGACCTTACTCTTCTTTCTGCAGGATATGCCCCCTACCACAGGCTTAGCTCACCTACAACTTTTCCTACTTCAAGGCTCAGAATGAGTTCCAGCCCTCCGTAGCACCACTGACTCCTTGCGGTTCTAGCATCTAGCGCCCTATTGGGCCTCAGCCCCTGGGGGGCAGAGCAGGAAGCTGTCAGTACACCCCATCAGTTGCAGAGACCTCAGGTCTCAGGACAGGGTGTGACCTAGAAGGGAGCTTCCAGCTTGAGGCCCTGGTGTGGGAGTGCTGTCCATATATGTCTCCCCAGTGGACTCAGGTCACAAAGTGTCCACCAAGGAGGGATGGGTCCCCTTCGTGGGAGAAGTGCTCTCTCCCTGGTGTCAAGAGAGGTTGCCAGCACCAATAGGCCAGGCTCTACAGGGAGCTCACTCAGACACCAAGGACCAGGCCAGGCCCCTGCATGGGGCTGTCCTGGTCTTCCAAGACAGCTTCAAGCATGTCAGGAACAAGGAGGCAGCTGTGGGTGGAACACACACCTGCTGATGGACAAGGAAGCTCTCACAGGGGAATGTGGGAGAAAGGGAGAACTTTCCTGGAAGTCTAGGCTGGAAGTAGCAGGAGGAGGGTAATGGGAGGATGAGAGGGACAAATCTGAATGATCTTCAGTGATGACCTCGTCCTGCCTGCCTGGTGTTCCCAGGGTCTCTAGAGCTGCACTGTCCCATACAGCAGCCACTAGCCCCATGTAGCTACTTAAATTAAAATGAAGTAAAAGTAAAATCCAGTTTTTTGGTCACATAAGTCATATGGCAAATGCTCATGGCTGCCACACTGCATAGCACAGATACAGAAGGACTCTTTCATCACAGAGAGTTGTAGCTTGAGTGCTAGCATTGTTCCAGAGCCTGGCTGCCCCGATTCAAACCATCACTCTGCTACTGCTAAGTTTAGGCAAATTACTGGACTGCTCTGTGCCTCAGTTTCCCCATCTCTAAATGGGGATCATGACAGTTATTGAGAAGGTTAAATGAGTTAAATATATGTAAAGTACTTAAAACAGTGTCTGGAACATGGAACAGGAATTGTGAATCTGCTGGTAGAGAAAGATACAGCTATGCTAAGGCATTAAAAAGATATTACTGACTTTTTGGAAGGGCATATAAAATTCATATATACAGGAAAAAGCCACCCACACAGCCGACCCTCAGCCGCCCATGTCACTCTGCCATTAGAAGCCTGTGCGTGCCTTGTTTGCTAAGATAGCATCATCACCTCCCTTCCGCAGAAGAGGCAAAGGACCTGCTCAAGACCAGCAAGGTTTGAGAAGGGAACCAGCTCTCTGGCTCCAGGCCCAGAGCTTACCTCCACTGCCTTAGGTGGTGCCCATGATTCCTTATTTCCTTAAACGTGCCCCACAGGCGCCCCTCCTTTGATGATGTATGTTACTGCCTTATCTCGCCCACCATTAGGAAGTCCTTTCTCATGTCTGATCTCAGTCCCACCACTTGTGGTGCAACCCCTATATCTAAGGCTGCCTGCATGGAGATAGCACAGGACCGGAGGGGGTAGCGGGTAGGGAGACGGGAAAAGGCTTCTCTGTGATCTAGTTCCAGAAACCACTCTCACTGAGGAAGTCAGTTCATCCTGATATTTAACTTTAGCCCCACCATGGGTCAAGCCTGTTCTTCCTGCCTATCCTTGGAGGACATGGGGCATTTACCCCAGGGCTTCCATATCTGCCCTGCAGAGATAGGAATCAAGCCCTTGTACTTCCTGACTTGACTCTTGGCAGGGGGACTCCAGGGTTATATATAAGGTAGACTCAGTGCTAGCCCAAGCAAAAAGGCACATCTCAACCCTGACTATCCAGGGAAGGCTAGTACTCCAGCAAATCCTGTACGGACTATGCTGCCCATTGCACAGATGGGGAAACTGAGTCCCTGGGCAAATGAGGAGCTTTCCCCCAAGCACACAGCCAGGAAGACTGTGTTCATTGCAGTCCTCTCCCCACTCTACCCAGGTCGCAGGAAAGCACTGGCAGTTTGCAGGATCCCTGAGCCTGAGCCATAGGTGCCGAAAAAGCAGCTGATTGACTGTCCTTTATAACTTCAAAGCAAGTAGCATCATCTTTGTCTCCTTAAGATCCAACATGGAGTTTAAGAGAGAAGTCAGAAAGAACCTGCTGACAGTAGGAAATGAGGGAAACTGTGGAATTCACTTTTCTGAGGGCATTTTAACTAACAGATACGCAAGCAAGTCTGCCTAGTCCAGCAGTTCAGGTTGTCTGCTGTATCAGAGGATGAAATTTCTTTAATTCAAACTGACATTTTCAAAAGGGTTGTGGGGGTGGGTGCTGTGGACTAGCCACCCTTGTACCATGCTTTGACTGGTCTGGCCTGGGAGAGAAGCGGTGGTGCCCGTCCCTACTCTTGCTCCTGGCCTTGTCTGCTCCCTGCCTTGCCCCCCTGCCCACCTTGGCTGCCTCCGGTCTCCCGTGATTGAAATCTCCCTGCTGGTCTCAGAGCTGACCTTCCCGCCTTTAATTCAATCAGGAATCACAAGCCCTTTTAATATAGGAAATAAAAGGCTGGCTGCTGAGCAGGCTGCACCTGATTGACGGGGCTGCCAGCTTGGTCAGGCTGGCCTGGGGAGGGGGCATAGACCCGTGACCTCAGCTGGCCTCTCTGGGGTAGGAATGCTCCCCCGAGCCTGGGGAACAAAGGAGGACCACCCCCCTCCTGATTCCCAGCAGAGGAGGGACCAAGGCCACATGGTAGGGGGTGGCTGCTGGCTGGCCCAGAGAAGCTGGGGAATGTCAAGCTCTCACTGCAGCCTGAGGGACTTGGGGTAGACACGAGGGAGGACTTTGCAACTGACTAATTCCTCTGTTCTTGTTATGTGATTCTGGGTTGATGCTCCAAAGTATTGCAACAACGCATTTTTATTTTCCAAAAAAGTAGAAGGGGTGCCAGAGGAATCAATGCTAGCTTTTCTGGACTTTGGTTTCTCATCCATATATAAAGGTGGGCAGGGACCCAGCCACCGGGCTGTTGTGAGCATTAAATGAGTTAATGAAAGCTCACTGGCACATAATAATCGCTCATTAAATTATAGCTAATAACATTCTTAATAATTTATTCTTCTAGAGGCATACAGAGGTCTCCACTTCTACTTGGAAGTGGAGGAGACTTGGGGGAGAGAGTCCAGGGTCCTGGGCCCTGTTGCTTGCTTTCTCTCCTTGGAGACAGCCCAGGACAGGTCCCGTCAGCACCTAGGTTCCTTCCCCGGGGGAGGCAGGCTGGGGCAGTGGAAAGCTGCCTGCTCAAGGAGTAGAATTCTGGTTCAGCATATTTTGGCCTCACTTCTCTGAGCCTTAGTTTCTTCCTTTGGAAAATGGGCTAGTAGCACCTACCTGGTAGGATTGCTTTGATGCTCTTTAAAGTGCCCAGGCCAGAGCCTACCAAGTATTAATAGGAGGTGCTCAGATTGTGGTACCTCTCTCTCCTGAGCCCCCAATCAAGTGCTCAGCCCAGCCTACCCGAGTGGTTTTGGCTTCCATCCTGAACCTACCCTGGCCCTATGGGAAACCCCATTTCCCTGTGATCTGAAGCTGAGCTCTAAGAGGCCACTACCCTGTTCCTGTTCAACCATATTGCATAAATGTCCTATGGCCTGATTCCCACAGGGTTCTGCCTGTGGCCAGGATCTGCCTCAGATGCTCCTTCCACTGTGGCTGGTTTTACTTTCCAGAGGTGAATGAGCCTGTAGAATGAACCACCTTAGGGCAGGCGGAGATGGCTGGCAGCTCCCCATGTGTGTACAGCCCAGTGCCTAGCATGAAGAGATGCTCAAGGAGGTCTCTCCCCAAAGTCTGCCCCACCCTCCTGTCCTAGGCGTATTATAAAAACATATACTATAACATCATTCTTTGGTTTCTCAATAAGCAATGCTACACAGCTCCTGTATAAAATATGTTTGGCGATAAAGGTAATAGTCACAGTGGACGCCCACTTGAGCTTCAGGCTTACTCCGTGCTAGACTTGGTGTTGAGTGCTTGAGACACACTGTCTCTCTCCTACTTCCCTATGAGGTAGAGATTGCACTGCATCTTTGAGGAGACTGACACTCAAAGAGGTTGAGTAACTTCTCCAAGCTGACCCAGCTACTAAGCAGCAGTGCTGGGATCTGAATCCAAGCCCATTGTCAGCCCTCTGCAGACTTGGCTGGGCAGTTCGTAGAAGAGTCTCACGTCCGTTGTTGCATTTGATGGCGTAGCAACCTCAGGGTTTTGCCAAGTGTGTGATTGTCATTATTATGATCCCATCCTACAGGAGAGGAAATGGAGATTCCCACATCACACAGTAAGTAAAGATGGGACAGGGACTTGCACTTCCGCACTGTGCTCAGGTCTCCACTGTAAGCACAGCCTCCCTCCTGGTTTAAAAGCATTCCCTTACTGCTTAACATCAGTGTTCCAACGGGATAGTTCATTCATCCATTTGGTAAATATTTATCAGGCACCTACTATATTTTAGGCCCTGTGTGGGAGATTAGTGCTGAACAAGCCAGAACCTGTTCCCTTCCTGAAGCTTTCCATCTCTGTGGGTGAGAAAAACTTGAAATAACTGCACACACAAAAATGATAAAAACTGTGATAAGTATTGTTCTTGAGGTGGGGTGGGTGGGTGATCAGAGAAGAACATTGAAGTGTGAATGCAGATCAGCCCTGGAAAGTGGGTTTGGAGGCTGGGAAGAGCAGTCTAGGCAGAGGCTCTGAGACAAGAGTGAGCCTGTGAATAAGGGTGGAGGCACTCAGAGGAAGAGCAGGAGGAAAGGGGCCAGAGCCTACATGGCCTGGGGGGCTCACCCTCACCCTAAGAGGAGGGCCTAAGGTTGGTTTTTATTTCAGGATAGTAGAGAGGAGAGTGGAGGGGGCTGAGTGGGTACAGGGACCTCAGTCAGGAAGCAACCTTAGTGGTCCAGGCACAGGGCTGAAGGGGGCTGGAGGGGAGGAAAAAGGAGATGGGGCTGAGTAGCTCTACCCACACCCCCCATCCAGGGCCTTTCTAGCCCTTTCCCAGGTGCTTGCTGCTGTGGTCAATGTTCAGGGTACCCTGACCCCCAGGCAGTGGCTGGTTATTGTTTCACGACCAGCTCTCTGGGTGAAAAAGTCCTCTTTTGTAGCATTTGCCAATTTCTGTGGTGTAAATACTCCCACCATGGCTGACTTCAGACTACCAACCTGAAGTCAATGGATAAGCAGTTGGGAAGAAAAGTTTACAACTGTCCAAGCTGCAGCAGATTGGCTCCAACACACTACTGCCCTCAGGTCTCAGAAAGGCAGTAGTTCTGATGAAGTGCCATTGGTATACGTCTCACCCTCTATGTAATTCCCGATTCCTGTGTGTATATTGGGGGTTGGGGGAGTAGAGAGGGTGAAGGCTGGATGAGGAGGGGTGTGGGGGAAGGGAGGTTGGTAAGGAATTAATAATAATGACCACTCCCTCTAGTCTTTCTGATGACTCCAAGAGATTGGTACTATTATTAATCCCACTTCATAGATGAAGAAACTAAGACACACATTGAATAACTTGTCCAAGGTCTCACAGCAATAAGGGACAAAACTGGGAACTCAAACCACCTCATTCCTGGGGTGAAGACTTTGCCCTCCTGAATCTCTGCCCTGTCCTGCCTGTGAGCTGGCTAAGAGGGAGGGAGATGGGGGAGAGTTAGGAGGGGACAATGAATGGAGGAAGAGCTAGCTAGGAAGAAGGAGGAAGCTGTCAGCAGCAGGAGGTTGGGGGGTGGGGTGTCATTTGAAATTATCTGGTTGGAATCCTAATGTGGGCGAGGTGGGAGGTTGGAGTGGCCTCTACAAGTCAGTCTGGGGTGAACCAGGATTTTTAAAAGGAGATTATGAGCTTCCACTGAGAATGTTCCCGGGAGAGGGTGCAGCAAGTTGGGGTGGGCAGGGGTCAGGCACCTGGAAGGCCCCACACACACACACCAGGTACTGCCACAGAGAGGGGGCACCAGGCCAGAGTCCACACAGCCTGCTGCCTCCAGATTTGTAAGGCAAGTGACTCTACAGCCCCGACAGCTCAGCAATGACATGGGAGCAGTCGGGTCAGCCCAAGCAGCCCTGGAACAGCTCCAGTCAAACAGGGATTGCTGGCCCCTCTCCCACCCCCCACCTTCCCTGCTGTGCCCACCCCACACCCAAGGTCAATGACCTAGTGTTTGGCAACATCCTCCAGGGCCCAGTGCAGATTGGGCAAGGTAGGTGGGAGTGGGTGGACGTGGGGATGGGGCTTGGCCAGGGAGCCAGGATAGCCAGTGAGTCCTCCCCTCAACCAAGTGATCTGCAAGAGTTGGGCTCAGCTCTCCCACCACCTGAGTTCTCTG
The DNA here is from genome assembly GCF_000001405.40 of Homo sapiens. Classification (NCBI taxonomy): domain Eukaryota; kingdom Metazoa; phylum Chordata; class Mammalia; order Primates; family Hominidae; genus Homo; species Homo sapiens. The sequence goes on along the minus strand of NC_000006.12, from coordinate 43,964,769 downwards.
CTCTGCAAAGGCTGGTGGCTCACTGGCAGCTCCTCGCAGAGCACCAGGCTGCAGCTTATACACTCCCACATCCACAGCCTGCTCCTCCATGCACTATCATTCCCTCTCAGCTCCCCTCTCTCCTTCCTCCCTGCTTGGCTCAGAATTGCCATTGTGCTTTTGACATTTCCTTTTCAAAGTTCTTTCCGGCCCTGGGAAGAAAGTCCTGCTTGTGTTCTAAAGACCTAGTGTCCTCTCTTTGGCCCTCAGTTTCCCCATCCTGCACAATGGAGAGAAGTTCTCACGAGACTCTGTGAACCCATTAAGCAGTCAGCATATTGTGTATGTCTGGGGTCAGGGGAGCATCATCCTTCAAACCTACCTGCTTGGTGCTAAGCACACAGTAGGTGCTTTATGGATTGGTTGGTGAGTCTGCCTTGCCTGGAAGTTGGGGATGAGGAATCTTCTAAGGGGCAATGGGCTTGCACCCAGTGGTCATCCTAGGGATGGTATGGGAGTGGCCATGCTGTCTTTGTCCTTTCAAGGAGCCCCTGGCTATTCTGCTTAATTGCTATTATACTCATCATCCCATTTTACAAATGAAAGACCAACCCGGAAGAGGTTACATTGCTTCCCCGAAGTCCCTCAGCTAGTATGTGGCAGAGCCAAGATTTGAACTCAGGCAGCCTGGCTCCAGGGCCCACAAACTTAACCGGTGGACGACATGCCCTTCCTTGTAGTTGAAGTCAATGATTTCCAAAGTGGGAAGAGCTTATATACATATAATACATATATATAAGTTTATAATATATATGTTATATATTATATATATATACTTGATATATAATATATATTATATAATATATTATATATAATATATACTTTATATATAATATATATTATATATTATATAATATATATAATATATACTTTATATATAATATATATTATATAATATATAATAATACATATATAAGTTTATATATAATACATATACATATATAATACATATATAAGTTTATATATAATACATATGCATATATAATACATATATAAGTTTATATATGTATTATATATTATATACATATATAATATATATAAGTTTATATATGTATTATATATTATATAAATATATATATTTATATAATACAGATATAAGTTTATATATAATGCATATGTACAAGTTTATATATATAATACATATGTATAAGTTTATATATATATAATACATATGTATAAGTTTATATATATATATATATTTGAGACAGAGTCTCGCTCTGTCACTTAGGTTGGAGTGCAGTGTCATGATCATGACTCAGCAGTCTTGACCTCTTGGGCTCAAATGATCCTCTTGCTTCAGCATCCTGAGTAGCTGGGACTGCAGGCATGGGCCACCATGTCTGGCTAATTTTCTTATTTTTTGTAGAGACAGGGTCTCACTGTGTTGCCCAACCTAGATTCCAACTCCTGGGGCTAAGCAATCTTTCTGCCTTGGCCTCCCAAAGTACTGGGATTACAGGTGTCAGCCACCAAGCCCAGCAAGTTATATTTATCTTATCCTTTAATATTTCTTTCTTCATAAATATATATTTTTATATGTAGTACAAGTATATAATTTTAAAAATAACTTTATGAGTATAACTTGTATACCATAAAATCCACCCATTTTGAGTGCACAATTCAATGATTTGTAGTACAACCATCATCATAATCCAGCAATTTTAGAACACTTCCATCACTCCAAAAGCAATCCCTTCTGACCCTTTGCAGTCATTCCTGGTTCTCACCCTGACCCCCAGGCCACCATCATGAATCTACTTTTCTGTCTCTGTAGATTTGCCTCTCCTGAAAATTTCATATAAATGGAATCATACAATATGTGGTCTTTTATGTCTGGTGTCCTTGAAGTTAACATAATGTTTTTCAGGTTCATCCATGTTGTAATATTTATCAGTGTTTGGTTTTTCTTTATGGCTGAATAGTATTCTGTTGTGTAATACACCACATTTTCTCAAAGCATTCACCAGTTGGTGGTCACTTAGGTGGTTTCCACTTTTTGGCTGTTATGATTAATGCTCCCATGGATATTCATGGTTTTTGTGTGGACATACAATTTCACTTCTCTTGGGTATATACCTAGGAGTGGAATTGCTGCGTCACGTGATACATTTATGTTTAACTTTTAAGAAACTACCCAAATATCTCCTGGGCTCGGTGACTCACGCTTGTAATCCCAGCACTTTGGGAGGCCAAGGCACGTGGATCACTTGAGGTCAGGAGTTCAAGACCAGCCTGACCAACATGATGAAACCCTTTCTCTACTAAAAATACAAAAATAAGTAAATAAATAAATAAATAAATAAACTGGGCATGGTGGCAGATGCTTGTAGTCCCAGCTACTCGGGAGGCTGAGGCAAGAGAATTGCTTGAACCTGGGAGGTGGAGGTTGCAGTGAGCCAAGATCGCGCCACTGCACTCCAGCCTGGGCAACAAGAGTGAAACTCCATGTCAAAAACAAACAAACAAACAAACAAAAACTACCCAAGTATCTTCCAAAGTGGCTCCACCATTTTATGTGCCCACCAGCGGAGTATGAGGCTTCCTATTCCTCCGTATCATGATAGTTGGTGTAAAGTGATGTCTCATTGTGGTTTTAATTTGCATTTTTCAGATGGCTAATGATGTTAAGCATCTAAGTTGTCTAATTTGTTTGTATAAAGTTATTCATGGTATTCTTTGTCATTCTTTTACTTTCTGTGAGGTTAGTAGTGATGTTCCCTCCTTCAGTTTTGATTTCAATAATCTGTGTCTTTTTCTTTTTGTCTTGGTCAGTCTAGCTAAACATTTGACAATTTTATTGACCGTTACATTTGAGTTTCATTGATTCTTCTCTATTGTTTTTATGTTTTCTATTTTATTAATCTCGGTTCTAATCTTTATTATTTCCTTACTTGGGATTGCTTTGGGTTTAGTTTGCTCTTCTTTTTCTGATTTCTTACCGTGGAAGTTTAGGTTATTGATTTGACATCTTTCTCTTTTTTTGCTAATGTAGGTTTTTAAAGGCATAAGTTTACTACTAAGCACTGATTTAGATTCTATACATTTTCATATGTTGTTTTTGTGTTCATTCAGTTCAAAATACTTTTAAATTTGCCTTGTGATTTCTTTTTTGACCCATTATTATTTAGAAATGTTTTGTTTAATTTCCAAATATTTGTGGATTTTCTAAATTTTCTTCTGTTGTTTATTTCTAATGTATTTTTTGTGGTAGTAAACATACTTTGTATGATTTTAATTTTTTTCAACTCATTGAATCTTGTTTTATGGCCTAGTATATGGTCTGTTCTGGTGAATTCTTTGCGCGCTTGAAAAGAATGTATATTCCTGCCATTTTGGGGACAGCGTTCCCTAGATGGCAGATTAAGTTGGTGATGGTGTTGCTCAAGTCTTGTATATTCTTGCTGGCTTTCTGTCTAGTTGTTCTATACATTATTGAGAATGGAGTATTGAAATCTGCAACTATTATTGTTGAATTATCTTATTTCATCCTTTGTTTCTGTTAGTTTTGTTTCATGTATTTTGGGAGCTCTGTTTTAGGTGGATATGTGTTTAATTATTATGTCTTTCTGATGAAATGACCCTTTTATTATTATATAATGTCACTCTTTGTCTCTACTATCATTTTTTGGTTTTAAAGTCTGTTTTGTCAAATAATTATATTAGACAAATACAAATATAATTGGTGTTGAAGTCTTTTTTGGCTAATAATTATATGGCCACTCTAGCTTTCTTATGGTTATTATCTGCATATGTTTTTATATATTTATATGTGTAGGTTTATGTTTTCCCATTCTTTTACTTCCAACCTATGTATGTCTTTTGCTCTAAAGACAGCATATAAATAGATTTTGTTTTTAAGTCCAATCTGATAATCTCTGACTTTTGATTGGAGTGTTTAAGTCATTCACATTTAGTGTCATTATTGATATGGTTGGATTTGTCTCTGAAGTTTTGCTCTTTTTTTTCCGTGTTTCATGTCTTTCTTTTCTCAGCTTTCCTTTATTGCCTTCTTTTGTGTTAAATATTTTTCTAGTGTACCTTTTAAACTCTTTGTTGTTGTTTTATTATATATTTGAGTTATTTTCTTAGTTCTCATTCTAGGGGTTATAACATGCATTATAATTTATTACAATCTATTTCAGATTAATACTAATGCAATTTCAATAAATTATAGAAACTTTGCTCTAATATAAGTCCATTCCCTTCCCCATCCTTTGTGCTATTACTGTTGTGTGTATTACATCCATATATGTTACAAATCCAACAAGACAATGTTGGGTTTATTGCTTTGTGTCATTTTATGTCTCTTAAGGAATTTTAGGGAAGAAAGGGGAAAAATAAACTTATAGAATCTTTTATGTTAACCCACATATTTACCATATTGGTGCTCTTCATTTTTTCCTCTGGATTTGAGTTATTTTCTGTTGTCTTTTCCTTGCTCCAATATAGCTCTACTCTCTAGCATTTTTGTGCTATTATTATCATATATATTACATCTTCATATGTTATAAACCCAACAATATACAATTGACCCTTGAACAATGCAGAGGCTGGGACACTGACCCCCTTCACAGTTGAAAATCTACGTATAACTTTTGACTCCCCCCACATTTAACCACTACTAGCCTACTATTGACCAGAAGCCTAATAACATAAACAGTATGTTAGCACATATTTTTCTATGTTATATGTAGTATGTACTATATTCTTACAATAAAGTAAGCTAGAGGAAAGAAAATGTTATTATGAAAATCACAAGGAAAATATATTTACTATTCATTAAGTGAAAGTGGATCATCATAAAGGTCTTCATCCTGATCGTCTCCACATGGAGTAGGCGGAGGAGGAGGAGGAAGATGAGGGCTTGGTCTTGCTGTCTCAGGAGTGGCAGAGATGGAAGAGGTGGAGGAGGTGGAAGGGGAAGCAGGAAAGGCAGGCATAGTTGGTGTAATTTTATGGAAATACATAATATTTTCTGCCTTTTTGCTTTTTCATTTCTCTAAACAGGTTTCTATATGATACTAATCCTTCTTCCACTATCTGCTTTAGTTTTGTGCTTATATCACAGAAGGGTCTACGTTGTGAAAGAAGTCAAAAGCAGTCTTGGATAATAGAACTCATCTGCCAAATTGTCTAATGTCAATTTGTTTTCTGGCACTGCTTCTTCTATGTCTTCTTCCTCATTGTCTTGCATGGGTTTGGAAGCACTCATCTTCATCAGGTCATCTTCTGTCAATTTCTCTGGTGTGGTGTCTATTAGCTCTTGAATTTCTCCAAGATCCATATCTTGAAATCCTTCACTCTCCTCCTTTTTTTTTTTTTTTTTTTTTGCCGTGCACACAACCTCTTTCATGATTTCCATGTTTGGCTCATTTGTACATCCTGTTAAGTCAGGCGCTACATCTGGACACAGTCTTTTCCAGCAAGAATTTATTGTTTAGGGCTTGATGGCTTTCACAGCTTTCTCTATAACAACGGCATCTTCACAGGTGTAATTCTTCTAGACTTTCATGTTGTTCTCTCTATCAGGGTTCTCTTCCATAGCGTTGACAATCCTTTCCATAGAATACCAAGTGTAATGAGCCTTAAAGGCCCTTATGATCCCCCCGATTTAGCGGCTGAATTAGAGACATCATTTTGGGGGCAAATAGATCACTTCGACACCTTCAGTATTGAAGTCATGGGGTTCTGGGTAGCTAGGGGTATAGCCTAATATCAAAAGAACTTTAAAAGGCAGTCCCTTAATGTCAAGGTACTTCCTGACTTCAAGGACAAAGTATCATTGAACAAATCCAGAAAAAGTGTTCTTGTTGTTCAGGCTTTCTTCTTATTATTATTTTTTAAAAATAAAGACAGCATCCTGCTCTGTTGCCCAGGGTAGAGTGTAGTGCAGTCATAGCTTATTGTAACCTTGAACTCCTGGGCTCAACCAATCTCCCATCTCAGCTTCCCAAGTAGCCAGGATTACAGGCCCACACCACCATGCCAGCTAATATTTTAAATTTTTCCTCTCCTTCTTCTTCTCCTTCCTCCTCTCCCTCCTCCTCCTCCTCTTCTTCTTCTTCCTCTCCTCCTCCTTCTCCTTCTCCTTCTTCTTCTTCTCTTTTTGTAAAGACAGGGTCTCGTCATGTTGTCCAGGCTGATCTTGAATTCCTGGCCTCAAGGGATCCTGCCTGGGCCTCCCAAAGTGTTGGGATTAGAGGTGGGAACCCCCACTGCTGGGACAATTCAGGCCTTCTTGTTGTACAATCAAAAGACTGCAGCTGTTTACCTTTTCCCCTTGAGGCTCAAGGGTTAGTAGCTTTATGGATAAAGGCAGTGCTTATTATAAACCCAACTGCATTTGCACAAAACAATAGCATTTGCCTATCTTTTCCTGCTTAAGTCCTGGTGCTCACTTCCGTTTCTTATTAATAACTGTTCTTTGTGGTGTTTCTTCCATCCTCCTCAAGAATAGGTCACTTTTCTCCGCATTAAAAACCTGTTCAGGCAGATATCCTTTCTCCTCAATGATTTTCTTAATTCTGGGAATTTGCCACCCCTTGGTTGGCAGAAGCAGCTTCTGTTATCTTAATATTTTTCAAGCCAAACCTCTTTTTAAAATTATTAAACCATCCTTTGCTGGCATTAAATTCTCCAGCTTTAGAGTCTTTACCTTCCTTTTGCTTTAACTTGTCATATAATTACTTCACTTCTTGAATATTAGGTATACTTTTCTTATAGCAATCCTGCACTCACCATACAAGCTGATAAAAAGACATTTTACAAAAAGTGCAAGGTTTTGTGCCTACTGGCATAGCTGCAGTGATGGCTTCACAAATTTCCTTTTCTTTTTTTCACGGTGGTCCTTACAGTGGATTCGTTTATCTTGAAATGGTGGGTAACCACAGCTGCAGACCTCAGTCTACAGTATATATCAAGCAATTCAAGTTTTTCTTGAATGTAATGACTTTCCTCTGCTTCTTGGGAGCACTTCCAGCATCACTAGTGGCACTTCGTATAGATCCCATGGTGTTATTCAAAGTTTACAGCATTGCACTAAATACAATGAAAGATATGTGAGAACAGCAAGAGATCTTTCTTTACTGTGATACACAATTTACTGGAGAGATGAACTGCTCATGCAGAGATGATTAACATCGCATGGCATTTTAAGCCCTACAACACTTGAGTTCACCACAATAGCAACAAGAGGTAGCTACGAAATTATTATAGCAGTACAGCATACACTACAGTTAATTTTATGCAGTTATAACTTAATGCTGTATTTTTATGTTTACATTACTCTCAACTATGAATAGTGTCATTTACAATCTGTGTTTGTGTGTGTACATTTTGATAAATTATTAACTTTTTATATTAGATTTGTGTACATTTTATGGTAGTAAATGATAAAATGACTAGTAGCTACACGTGTTTTATGCATTCATGACATACCTGCCTTTTTCTTATTTTTTTTTTGATATTGACAGGCTACACAGTTTGCCTGCAGGTTTTTTCAAATTGTTGCAAAATCTCCAAAACATTTACCAATATATTTACTGAGAAAAATCCATGTATAAATGGACCTGTGCAGTTCTAACCTGTGTTGTTCAAGGGTCAATAGTAATTTTATAATTAGTATTTTATGCAATTGTAGTTTAGATAAGTTAAAAGAAAAATGTATTTATAGTGTCTTACATTTACCTATGTAATTACCTTTTTCGTGTGTTCTTTACTTCTTCAAGTGGATTCATGTCACTGTCTGATGTCATTTCCTTTCAGCCCGAAGGACTTCCTTGAGTACTTCTTGTAGACACGCATGCCAACAACAAATTCTCACCCTTTGTTTACCTGGGAATGTCTTTATTTCAGTTTCATTTTAAAGGAATACTTGTATTAGATATGACTACTTGGTTGACAGTTTTTGTCTTCTTTTCAGCACTTTGAATATGCCATCCCACCTCCTTCTGGCCTCCATTGTTTCTGATCTGAAATCAGCTGTTAATTATATTGTAGTTCCCTTCTATGTAATGCATCCTTTTTCTCTTGCTGCCGTCAAGATTTTCCCTGTCTCTGTCTTTCAACAGGGTTACTATGGTGTTTGTCTATGGATCTTTTTGTATTTAGCCTATTTGCACTTTGTTTGAATGTGTAATGCCTTTCATCAAATTTGGAAGCTTTTTGGCCACTATTTCTTCACGTATTTTTTCTGCCCTTTTCTCTCCTTCCGAAACTCCCATTATGTGTATAGTGATATGTTTGACAATGCTCCACAGATCTCTGAGGCCCTGTTCATTTTTCCTTGTTCTTTTTTACTTTCTGTTTTTCAGCTTGGATAATCTCAATTGATCTATCTTTAGGTTTTCTGATTCTTTATTCTTCCAGTTCCAAGTTGCTGTTAGACCCCTGCTGTAAATTTTTCATTGCAGTTATACTTTTCAATTCCAGAATTTCCAGTTCTTTTCAAAAATATACATAATTTCTACCTTTTTATTGATATTTTCTATTTGATGAATAATTTGATGAGAGTATTTCCTTAATTCTTTGTACATGGGTTCTGTTATTTTGACAACATTTATAATAGCTTCTTTGAAGTCTTTGTCTGTCAAATGCAACATCTGGACACCTCAAAGACAGTTTCTCTTGACTGCTTTTTCCCTCTGAATGGATTACACGTTCCTGTTTATTTGCATGTCTTACAGTTTCTTGCTGAAAACCAGACATTTTTGATAATACACTGTAGCAATTCTGAATGCTGATTCACAACCAGCACCACCACCACCACCTGGGTTGTTGTTGCTGAGGTTTTTGTTGGTTGATTGGTTGTCTAGGGATTTGCCTAGGCTGATTCTATGGAATCTGTCTTCCTCACAGTGTGAGGCCGCTGATATCTCTGCTCAGTTTTGTTTTATTTTTAATTTTTGTTTTAATTTTTCAGCCTGGCTTCCTAGGAATTGCCCCTGGGTCAGCATAACTTAGTGTTCAGCCAGTGATTGGTCAGAGGTAGATTATGCTTAAATACCTTGATCTCATAAGGTTTCTACCCTCTGCCAATGGATCTGTATGTGGGTTGGGGAACATATTCAAACTTCAGGGGGTTCACAGGTCTCCCCTGAATTTAACTCTCTGTATGCTCAGCCAGGGATGAGTAGATAGCCAAGCTCTTTCAGTCTCCCCCAGTGTGCATACAACCTTCCACATCGTCAGGGGTAGGTGGGAGCTCATCAAGGCTCACTATGGCTTTCGTGCTCCTGGATGTCCCTGTTAGATGTCTTGCTGTTTTGATGATTTTTCTTGCCACAACTAGTATTACACTTCAGCCTACCTGCAATGTTGGCCTTAACATACATAATTTTTAAATAAAGAAATATACCTATACTGAGATGCACAATGATATATTCACTGACAAAAGTGCACAAGGGAACAAATTTGGCAACTGTGGTCTAGTTTTTGGTGTCTCTGACTGGTCTTCCCCAGGCTGGAAGCTATAATAGAATGCTGAGCTCTGGACCTGGCACTCCTTGGGTGGGGTCTAGGGGGGCACTTAGACAGGCTTTTGCAGAAGCCATCTCGGGGACAAATGGTGGTCATCCAAGGTAGTTGAACTTGCTTCCCTGGGACAGCCAGCACTGCTCATCTGGGCAGGGACTCTGCCCCTAGGGATGCAGGCCTGGCAGTTCCATCAGCAGGCTCGGGGTGGGAAGCCAGTTGCCCTCTACACTGGCTTCAAGTCACTAGAAGCCTGCCAGACACTCAGAAGGAAGGTCTCGCAGAGCCAAGAGAATGATCAGTTTCCTCAGGGCAGGGCTGCCGGGGAGGGTCACCCAGTAAGAAGCTGGCTCCTGATCCAGAAGCCCAGGCTGCAGAGGGCTGGGGCCTGTGTTCTCCTCCACCCCCTGAGCACTCACTTAGAAGACAAGGAGTCAGAGAGCAGCCCCATCCCCTTGGGCACTGCCCCTCTCCTTGGAGCGGGCACATAGAGAGGCCTGTGCCCGTGAGCTGAAGGTCAGTGTGCTCGGCAGGCACTGTGGGGTGGGGGAGGGTGGAGGGCAGAGGGGAGAGCTGGGCTGACAGTCACGTACGCTGATGTCACTGGTCACTCCGCCTCCCTGAGGTATCGCTTTCCTCATGGCCAAGCCTGCAGCTGAGTTCAGGGGGGCAGTCACGTCCCATCCCTGGCACAGCTCTTTAGGCCACTCACTGCACTGCCTCCAGGGCTGCTGAGGTCAGGGTGGCACTTACCAGCACTACCCAGTGTCAGCTCTGCTCTGACAGCAGGGTGGAGGAGCCTAGGGAGTGGGGAGAGTGGCGGGGACAGGTGTCTGGGGGCTGGGAGTGGCCAGGCTGCTGAGAAAGTGCCCCAGGATGCCTTGGGGGCTGGCCCAGCCTGGGGGGCTAAGCTGGGCTTCTATCACAGGTGAGCAGAGGGACAAACCAGGAGCTCCCAGTCTGAAGGAGAAAGACAGAACCCTTGCCCTCAGGGAGTTTCCAGTCTGATGGGAGAGTCAGCCCCTGCTTATAGGGAGCTCCCTGCCCCATGAGGAGACCCAGCCCCTGTCTGCAGATGCAGCCGTTGTGTCTGGGCTGAGTGTGGTAGTGGCGGTGGTCAAAGCTCCTTCCTATTCTCTTCCCCATGTAAGGTTCCCAGGTCACCCAGATTAGGTCCTCTGGAAGATCCTGTCCCTTGACACGTTGAGGACCTGGCAGGTGCCCTGCATGTGACTGCCCCGCATGCAATGTGGGGGGGCTGCCAGAGCCCAAGTGCAGACAGACGGAGGCGTCCCTGTGTCTGAGCTCGTCCTTGGGGCTGGGTCCAGCAGAGGGAGCTGCCAGCCAGCAGGAGCTGAGTCAAGCTGTCCCTGACCCCTGAGATGGCCTTGAGAAACTCCCACCGCTCACCCAGGGTAGGGGATTCACCCCATGATGGGAGCTAAAGGGCCTAGATTTTTCCCATGGTTGGAACTGAAGTGCCTAACAGCATATATGGGAGCCCAGGCTGCTTCAGCCCACCCCATCAACCCGTGCTGTCCCCATGGAGACCGCTCTGCAGAATCACAAGTTCTTAATTCTTCCAACTGAGCCTATGGAGTCCTTCTCACCATCCCCGGGGTAGACAGTAATGCAAGGAATCAGACCTAGGTGTGAGTTCTCCTCCCTCCCTTACTAGCTCTGTGACTCTAGGCAAGTTAAGTAACCTCTCTGGGTCTTGGTTTCTTCCTCTGCTGCTTCATGGGCTGCTGTAAAGGGGAAGTGCATGAAATTTGCCAGGCACATAGTAGGTGCCCAGTTAAGGTAACTTCCCTTTCCTAACAGACACATCAAGCTGCATCCAGAATGAGGTGGCACTAAGGGAACAAGGGGCATGACCCTTGGCTCTTCCCTCGGCACCCTGCCTTGCAGCCCTTCCACTCATGTGCCCATGGCTGTAGGTCAGGTCACCCCCCAGCAAGACTTACTGGCCACTTGCCACCCCCATGGAGACCATGCTGCAGTCTCCTTGGGGTTTGTAGATTCTGAATATTGCCTCCCTTTCCTATTCAGCATATTTACTGAAAACTTTCTATGTGCCAGACCCTGTTCTAGGCACTAGAACGGCAGTGAGCAAAATTGACAAAAGTCCCTGACTTCATGGAGCTGGCATTCAAGTGCAGGGTGACAAACATTAAACACAATTTTAGAGGGTGGTAGGTGCACTGGAGAAAGATAAAGGGAAAGGGGACAGGAGTGAAGGGTGTAGGGTGTGATGCAATTTTAAATGGGGAGGTCAAGGAAGGCCACCCTGAGAGGATAACATTTGAGTAAAGACTTGAAACTGGGAGCCATGTGCATGACTGGAGGAGAACATGCCCTGTAGGGGGAGCAGCACATGCAAAGGCCCCGGGGTGGAAACAGAGCTGTTTATTGGAGGAATAGCAAGGAGACCAGTGTGGAATGAATGAGGGAGAGTAGTGGGAGGTGAGATCAGAGAAGTAGGAGGGACTAGATTTTGTAGGGGCTGGTGGTAGGCCATTGTCAGAACTTTGGCAATGTCCACAAATGTGGACACAGAGAAGGAACAGGAAACTTCCATTTTCCTGATGGATAATGGGACAGTATGGAAATGCCACCTGTTTAATAAAGATGAGCCCAGAACTCCCAAAATTGGCACTGGAAGTACCTTCCTGACTAAGAGCGGCAGCTTGGTGCCTGGATCTGCCCCATGGGGGTCTCTCGCCAGATTCTGATGCCATCTCACAGTGGTCTTGTGGGGAGAGGTATGAGCCTGTTCAAGGGAGTGTCCACCACAGCCTGAGGGCAGGCGTGTGTCTTGTTGATCCTACATCTTACAGGCACTGAAAGAAGGAAGGAGTGAATGAATGAATGATGGACACAGGTGCTGTCCTTTAATTCTTTTTAGCACCAGGGACCAGGCTGGAGTATTTAAAAAGCCAAAGGCAGTAAACTCAGAGAGATAAGGCCTTTGAGGTGGTGTGGCTGACAATGCATTGCCTAAGCCTGCTCTTTTTCCACTTGGAGGCCCCCTACAGGGTGCCTCTGCTGGCTTCTGGGTGGCATCTCTGTGGCCAAAGCCCCATGACACTCACTCCTGCAACACAGACTCATCTCAGACACCCAGCACCTTCAGAGGCTGAGCTGGGAGTCAGGATTCCCACCTCCTGAAATCCAGCATCTTGTCTGAGGCCTTCTCTTTCTTCCCTGAGCCCCACCAGAAGGAGCCGCCTCTTTGTGGGGAGTTCCCCCATACCCCCACCCCACACACAAAGTCCGGCCTCATGGCCCTCACCCAAATGACCCTAATCTCAGTTGGCATCAGACAAGAGCTGCCTCAGGCAGGGGTGGGGAGTGGCCTAGAGTAGAGGAATATTACTAATGACACCACCACAGTAGCGGCAACTCACACTCACAAACACTGCCCTTGTGTCAGACTGTCCTAACCACGCCATCCGCATGATCTCATTTAGCCCTGAGAGGCCTCCATGAGCTGCCTGAGGGAATGGGGGCCCCAAGAGATCAAGGGACTTGTCTCTGAGGGGCACTTCCAGGTGCTCTACCCTGGGTGGGGGTGAAAGCTCTGGCAGGGCCCTGGCCCAGAACTGATTCTTCCAGCTGCTGCTAGGCCGCCCTGCAGCAGCCAGGCAGAGGGGTTCATCCCAGGGCACCCCTATCTCCTGTGCGACCCAAGCTAAGTATGTCAAACTCCAGCCCCATCCTTCAGAGCAGGACCCTGAGCAGCCCCCTCCTGTCTCTGGCTGCACTGCAAGGACAGCAGAGTTGGCTGCCAGGGCTCGGGCCGCCCCCAGGGTGTGCTGCTGCTCCTCTGGACTGCCAAGGCTGCCTGCCTGCTCACCCTTCACCTCTGGGCCAGCTGGGCCCGCCAGGGAGAGGTGCTGTAAGCAGGGACAAGCCCAACTTCCCTCTCAGGCTGAGAATGTGTCTCCTGCCTGCAGAGAACAGATGTGGGGACCCACATGTACAGAGGAAGACTTGGAGACTTCCAGAGCCCATGCCTCCTGCCCTGGGAGAGGTTGCTGGAGAGCTGGGCCCTGCTTGCTATGAACCCTGACCATTCCAGGCTTTACTTGCCCTTCCCAGGCTAGCACAGCTGCTGCCCTGCCTGCCCAGCTCATGGCAGGTAAGACCACATGTTGCAGGAAAACTGCAAACTGCAAACAGGGGCTTCTCCCAATTCACCCCCTGCATTCTCCTCTCCCTCTGCATCTGCATGCCCATGCCACCCCTTCCCTTCAAGGGCCTGTCCTGGAACCCAACAGCTGGATGATGCCCACTTCCTTCTGAACGTGGAATGCCGGGAACCATACCTCTCACATGGCCACAGCTCGCCTTCCTCTTGATTTCTAGTCATTCATGCACAGGTTGGACTGCTAAACATGGAGACAAGCCTGGGGGGACAAGACTGATGAGATATGAGTCCACTCAGCAACAGGGCTTGATATAGAGCCCTGTTCTTCCTACTGCCTCTTCTTTCTAGAAAACAGTGAGATAGAAGTAGGTGAGGAGTAAGGGAGTGAGACCGGGGCTGAGGGCTTGGGGAACAATAGAAAGAACCTGGGCTGGGAGAACACAGACCTGGGGTTGTGCCCTGGCTCTCCCTAACTGCTCCTACCCCCATGCCCCTCCCGTTTAAACATTTGAGAAAAGAAGTGATGCCTCTAGGGTCTCAGGCTTAGTCTACCCATCAGACAAAGGCTCCACTCATCTCAGAACCCAGAGCTGGCAGGATGGGAGCCAGAGACCTGATGGAGGTCATGAAACTGGCAGAGAGAAAACTCGCAGAAGTGGCCCACCCTGTGGCCTGGGCGCGTGCAGCTGCCTGATTCACAGCCCCTCCTGGCAAAGCCTTCATGAAGCCTTCGTGCGTCTTCTCCAGAGCTGGGTTGGAGGCTGCTTTGCGATCCCAGAACCTAATGGAGGGTCTGGCCTAGAACATGCCCATAATACTTGATTGTTGAACAAACGAGGCGGAGTTGAATGGGGTCCTTGCCCACACCCACATCAGCTGGCACTGACAGTAGCCTTATCATTGAGAAGGCTCAGCAGTGAGCACAAGGAGGTGGGCCTGAGGATGATGGGCGTCCTGGACTCCAGGAAAGCGGTTTGCTGGTAAGCAGTTCCATGGAAAAGAAAGGATCCCATGGCTTTACACTTTGGAAGGCTTGGAGAACCCGGAGAGACACCAGGTTTTGCAGTGGAGCCCTTCCTCGCCCATCTTGGCCAAATAGAAGGAGGTGGGTGCAGGGTGCTAAAAAGCCCTCCATTTTGAAAGTCCATGTTCAAAATCTGGCAAAATGGACTTAGGCCAAATACCAGTGCATGGCTCACCCTGGAGGAAGGAGCTGAGATCTCAGGGATGAAGACCTCAAATTGCATTCTTTCTTTTAGCTCTGTTGGAGCAAAAAATAGCCCCAACTTCTCCCCCACAGGGGGGACAAGCCAACAGCAGAGAAGAGTGAATCCGATGGGTGAGTCCCAGAAAAGACAAGAGATGTTAGGATTGAGCAAGCCCCCTTCATGGGGCCAAGTCTGGGGCTAGAGGGACTTTCATTTCCAGTGCTGAAAGACCTCCTGCTCATAAGCACAGAAACCTCAGCTACAGACGGAAGGCAGAAAGCCAAAGCTGGGCTGAGCATGTTCTAATGTATAAAAGTGTGAAGACTCTATTTAGGAAATGACAGACTTCTGAGCTTGAAGTCAATTCCCAGTGAATACTTGAGAGTTGATTATTATGTGAATTCATAGATAAAGAAGACAGATGGACAGACAGATAAATAGTAGAACCCTTCTGCTTACATGTAATTTCATATATTCTTAAAACATGGAGAGATGGGTTTTGTTACCATAGTTGGCAAGTGAGGAACCTGAGGCATTTGGAGGTTAAGTAATTTGCCCCAAACCACATCGCTAGAACTGGGCAGGACAGGCCCCCAGCTCTGTTGACCACAAATTCCAGGGATTTCCTCTCCAGACCCTCCAGCTGGTTCTACTGGAAGCAAACAATGCCGTGCTAACCAGCCTCAGCTCTTTCTCACTGGGATGCTGGACTGCTGGAGGTGAGAATGCTGAGTTTTGGCCAAGAGGGTAATATAGGCCTGTTAGGATATGCTAGTGAGGCCAGCTCCCATGCTAACAGCAGGGACTCAACCATGGTGACAAATGATGAATGGACACCTGGAATTCTCTAGGGCTTGTTTCACGGCCCTTGTCCTTGGCCCCATCCCCCTCAACATTTTTATCAATTGCTTGAATGGAGACCTGAGAAGCTCCCCTCCCTCTGTTTGCAGATGACCCACAGCTGAGAGGAGCAGGCTTGGCAGCACAATGAGGATTCAAAATTAGCCTGACAGTGCCTGGAACAATGGGTAAAACCAACAAGAGAGATCAACAGTAGGCATAAGTGACAAGTCCAGCTCTAGGGAGAGAAAAAAATCAAGTCAAAAGGCACATGGGGATTGATCCTACAGAAATGCTGACTTATGTGCAAAAGGAGTCCTGGCAACATGGCCTTAAATGCTGCAAAGGCCTAGAAACAACCAAAATGTCCACCAGTAGGGGATTGGTTGAATACTTTAGGTAGATCCACACAATGGAAGGCTATGGGCCTGATACAGAGAATGAGCCAAGGAATTATGTACGGATAAGGAAAATTCCCCAAGATACCTGGTTAAGTGAAAAAGCAAGGTGCCCGACAGTGCACACTGATAGTGTAGACTATGCAGCTCTTTGTATGATTAGGAATGTGTGTCTCCGTTTGTATATGTACAGATCATCTGCAGACAGATACACAAGAAAAGTGTATCTGAAAAGTGGCTGGCTGGGGTCTTGCTTTGTACTGTATGTATATCTTTTGTGTATTTTTTTGTGCCATATATATATTTGTGTGTGTGTGTGTGTGTGTGTGTGTGTAAATGGATAAAGCAGCCCTTGTATCAATTCTAGTGAAAAAGACCTGTAAGTCTGGCCCACCATAAACTCACTGAGCGCTAATTAAAAACAAAAACAAACAAACAAACAAAAAACACCAAACTGACTGTAATGTGAGGTTATACCCACAGGAACACAGGGCCCTGACAGGAGGTATATGTTCTGCTATGCTCTGAGCTGGTCAGGCTGTACTCGGAGTGTGGGGTCTCTCTGAGGAGCCATGTTTGAGGAGAAACATTGGCAGTTAGAACAGACCTAGGGGAACAGCTTGGCTGGGGTGGGAGCAGGGTAGAGGAGAGAACCTTGGTGGGCTTGGAGATGCTGGAGGAATGGAGAGCTATCGAGTTTGGACAAGATGCCTGTGCCTGTGGGATGGGAGAGGAATATGCTGACTCTCTCTGGTTTACTAAAGGACTGGCATGCAGAAGCAGGAGGAACCTGATTATTTTATTTGTTCTGAAGAACAGAACTTGGATCAATGGTTTGGAAGGTACAGAGAGGTAAATCTTGGCCTTAGGAAGTCCTATCAAGAATTGGAACAGCCCACTAGTACAGGAATGGGCTCCCATCACCAGGTGTTTTCAGGTAGCCACTGTGATCATCTATCTAGGATGTTGGAGTGAGCATTGACAATCACCAGGGCCCATATTCTTGGGCTCACTACAGGCTTATTGAAACTGAATCCCTGTAGTTAAAGTCTAGAAATCTGCTTTACTTATTTATTTTTACCTCAGATATAGATAATTGATTCAATTATACTCATTGATTCCCAGCATCCTAACAGTAGTCTATTCAAAGCCCCCTTGAAATGTTACTTTTCATTGTATTTTTTCTCCTTCACCTACATTTCCACTCTCATTCTTCCCGCCTTCCGACCAGACCTAGACCTTCATTCTATGTGTTTGATATAGGTCTTTAAATATGCATCTTCTTTGTATGCCGGGTGGTGGTGTTTTCTGCATGTTTTATAATTTATATAAATGGTACTATGCTGTAATTCTCCTTCTGTTTCTCACTTTTTTCATTCAACATTGCTATTAAGATCTATGTCTGTACATCTGGCCTGTTTCTAACTGCCACTTGGAAAGAAGCCACCCACCTTACTTATCTACTCCTCCAGGGATGAACATTTATGTTGCCTCCGACTTCCTACTACCCCAAATTTTGCTGCCACAAGCACCATGTACAAGTCCTCTTTCATTCCTGCATGATCATTCTCCCCTGCTATAGACCCATTTGTGAGATTCTGGGATGCAGGCCATACACATATTTAGTTTCACTAGATACAGACAGATTGCTCTCAGAATGGCTGTACTAGTTTATCCTCTCGCCTATAGGACACAAGAGTCCCATCTCCCTATACTGAGCATGATCCACCTTTCTAATTTGTGCCATTCACTTAGGCGTGAAGCTATATTATTGTTTGAAGCATGCATCTCTCTGATGACTAGTGAATTAGCATATCTCTTCATCAGCCACTGCACTCCCTCTTTTAGGATGTGCCTATTCATATTTTTTGCCCATTTTTTTTTTCTATTGAGTTTCCTGTCTTTTTCTTGATGATTAACAGGAGTTCCTTGACTATTTTCTTTCTCTCTCTCTCTCTCTCTCTTCTGGCTCCAGTGCTCAACCTTGAGCTTGACTATTTTACATATTAATCGCTGCCAGGTTTTTAAGTGGCAAATGTCTTCTCCCAGTTGGAGAATCTCCCATCTTAGCAAGTGTACTAAGGATCAGCCAGGTTTGGGAAGCCCAAGGACAGATATATGCCACCCGAAATCATTTCTAATTCTGCCATTTCATGCTTTCTTGGGCTTTCTGAGGAGATTCCTTGCCACTTCTGTGGGGAAAACAGACTTCAGGAGGGGCGAGGGTGGGTGAGGGTTGGGGAGTCATTGTGAATGTGGATGTGGAGCTGGGGTGCCACCTGCATTTTGACCACCTCTAGCAGCAAAGCATTGTGTTGTGAAGATGTTTATGTGACCTGGCTCAGCCAGGCTTGTGAGATCTTCCTGGGGCAGAAGGCTGATAGGCAGTTCATTGGGATAGAGTATAGACCATCTCATTGTTCAGAAGAGATCACCAATCTACTGGAATTTTCTTAACTATAGAAGCTTAATTCTTTTACCTCTGTGGAAGTTTTAAAATTTGGCTGCAAATTTTTCAGTACTCCTATTGAGAGGTAGGAGGGCCTCTTATCCCTCCCCTTGAATTTATTCCCCTTGAAGCTTTAGTCACTTCCTGTGCCTAACAGAACTCGGAAGAAATGATGTTGTGTGACTTCTGAGGCTAGGTCAGAAAAAGTCATGCATCTTCTGCCTGGCTCTTTTGGGATACTCACTCTGGGAGAAGCCAGCTGCCATGTAAGGCATCCAACTACCCTGAGGCTGCTATGTGAAAGAGGTCACGTATAGGTGCTCTGGTTAACAACATTAGCTGAGCTCATAACCAACAACTGGCACCAACTGCCAGACACATAAGGAAGCTCTCTTGGATATCTAGCCCTAGCTGATATCTGACAGCAACTGCATGAGAGACTGTGAGTGAGAACTGCCCAGTCAAGTCCTTCCTCAATTTCTGACCCAGCAAATTATGAGTAAACAAAATTGTTGTTTACACCATTAAGTTCTGGGGGGTAATTTGTTATGCAGCAATAGTAACCACAACAATCTCCTTGAACCTAGTAAGCATAGTTTCTTTAAATCTTTGCTGATTACTCTAAAACATGTGGCCTCTATGGGTCTGTTTCTGTTGTCTATTATTTCTGATGTTTTTAATAGTGTGTTATCTGACTTCTTATGTATATGGTTATTTTTGATTATGTGTTGGACACTGTATTTATACCATCATTTGTAAAAATAAAATGAAGCCTAGAATGAGGTTATCTTCCTTCAGAAAGGATTCACATTCGTGTCAGCCAGGTGCCTAGGACAGTAATAATACAGGATCTCCTACTTCAGTTTTGAGGATTGAGTGAGTGGTTCACCCATAACTCCTAGGGTGTAGCCCTTTTGGGGTCCCTGCTTAAAGAGAGGAAGTTCATTAAGTTCCACCTCTTGGCAAGCTGGGAACTTCAATCCATTGGCAAGCTGGGAACTTCAATCCATGTCCTCTTAGTCCCACAATGCTGTCAAAAGAGTTGTTCAGCGTCTTGGACTCCCAACTGACCCCCCCTAAAAGAGCACACACCCTCAGGAGGGAAATGGCCTTAAATGCCACTCATACCTCTCTAGGTCTTAGTCATGGCCCAGCAATTAGTTCTCTGATGCCTTCAAGTGGACTTTTAGAATATTTTGTTCAGCTGTTCTAGTTGTCCTCAGTGGGAGCATTGGTCTAAATCACTTAGTCTGCCATTATTAACTCTTAATGTGCTTAATTCTTTAAATGTCAAAAACATACAGAAAAACAAAATCATGTTCTTTGAAAGTCCTATTAAAAATACATCATATACTTTCAAACCTTCTTAAACAGAAATTGCCCATAATTCCATTTTCCATTGAAGACTCAGGACCCCATTATAAATATCCCCTTCTGGAAGTGAAACAGTGATTCCCCTAAGAACTGGGGTATGTCATCTGCTTTGCTTCTACCCCAAATAACTTGAGATTGCTTTAATTTTTTAGTTCTCAGATCTACTTTTTATCATTGTGTCTTTGCCACCTGTTTGCTGTCAGCCTTGTTGCTGTCAATACGAATAACCTTAACAGCCTTTTATTCTTTTAGTACATATGCGGATTATATAACCAAGCCTGCTAGAATACTGTGTAAGGTTGAAGTAGATAGGCTCTGATTTAGGTAGGGGAAAAATTGATGAGTGAAGCTCTAACATTTATTTGTCAGACACTTGTCAGACAATTGTCAGGTGTACCCTTAGTCTGCTCAATAGTTTTTTGATCTCAGTTCTGAGTCCAGATGGTAGAGGTTGTCAAGTATATGGGCTCTCGATAAGTAAAGTGTTGCTGTACTTGTTCTGATTTATGTACCCCCACTGACAGTGGGGAGCCTGAGGCCACAAGCATTGCCCTAAAGTAGCCCAAGGGCTTTGGCCAGACCTAGGCCGCCCTCTCTTTGTTTCCTAGGCCCCACCCTGTCTCCTGGCCAAGCAGACTCAAGAAATCCTGGCAGAGAATGATATTCCCTGCTGCCCTGCGGAGATGACCACTTCATGGAGAGCAGAGAGAGGAAGGAGGAGAAAAACGAAAAGAAAGGTCCTCTTTCAGGCTTAAGATGATGTGGAGTGGCTGCCCCATGGCCTGCCAAAAGCTGACTCACCAGGCTGGGACGAGGCACACTACAGGTGCACTCAGGCCATCAGACAATAGGCGCCTGTTGCAAACAGCCCCACACCCCAGACAGACCACCAGGGTGAGGCAGAGGCAGCCCCAGAGGGAGCATGAGGGCTGGAAGAGTGGGCAGCAGAGTCTCTGGTCTGGAAGCTGTCACTCTCCGGCCTTCCCAGGGCCTGGCTCTGAGCACTCACAACCATGAAGACCTGGTGATTTCATGACTAAGGAGTAGGAGCACTGGACCACTGGTCTGGAGATCTGGAGCAGCCTCTAATGTGGGCCTCTTTCCTCATCTCTCAGCTAGAAAGTACCAGTTCTAACTGCTGCTAGTACACTCTGTGATGCTGGGGAAGGCACACACCTTTTCCGAACCTCACTTTACTCCTCGCTGGGTGAATCCTGCACCTGTGGTATCTCTTTAAATCTTTACTGTACTTTGAAGTAAGTGCCATTATTAGTCCCATTTTACAGATGAGGAAACTGAGGCACAGATGATCCAACACGCATAACTGAGAGCTAGATTTCAAAGCTAGGGCTGTGTGAGCCTAGAGCCCATGCAGCTACTCAAGTAGACTAGGACCCAGAAGCCTGCATATTGGCACACCCAAGGCCTGGTCTGGGAGTCTGACAGAGGCAACTAGGGTGGGCTGGTCAAGAGGCTTCCTGGAGGGGGTGGGGTTGAACAGCTCCTGGCATGGGCATGGGCAGTGTGGAAGGTGAGGGCTGGTGGGGTTGGGGTGAGTCGGGATTCCTAGCTGACTCCTGCATGCAGCAGTTTGGGGGTAGGGGTGGATAGACTGGGTGTGGGGCAGGCTGATCGCTGCTCTGCCCATTGCTAGCTGCATGTACTTGGGCAAGTTCCAGAGATATTATAGGCTTTGGTGTTCTCACCTGTAGAATAGGAATAATAATACTGACCTCACAAGACTGGAAATATAATAACATTTAATTCACAAAGAGATTTGACCTTCTCTTCTCTGGGCTGAGTCTTCACTTTTCTCATCTTTCCTGAGGCCTCTGTGGCCTAGTGCTGATGTCTCTGACGTCCTCTGTGGCCCAAACCATCCCTCCTCATCAGCGTCAACTCCCTGAGTAGGCCCAGCTCTTTCTCACCTGTGTCCCCCTCCTTGCCTCTTCTTCCCTGTGGGACCTAATGCAGCCTGTGCTCTCTGACTCCTCTGCCAGTGGGACCCCTGCCCAGGACCCTCCGGAAGCTCTTTCTCTGCCTTCACCCCACTGGTGAGAGATGAGGTGTAAATGGTGTATGGAGACATGTGTTTGAGGCCTGGCTCCATCTCACTTGCTGGTTGGGTCAGCCACCAGCCCTCACTGAAGTTTCCTGTCTGTAAAACATGGCTATTTGTGGGCCCACTCTCACAGGGGGCTCTAGGGTGAGCTGAAATGGTTTGAGTCCATGGCTACATTCCTGGGGAAGGAGGATGGATGAGACTAGGCAGGTGAGGATAGAGGGAGAGCCTGGCTGCCTCTCTCCTCTTGCTGCCATCTACCTCCCTCCCTCCTCCGGTCCAGAGCTCCCAGGGTTCTTTGTCTGCAGAAAGAAAACATCTGCCCTCCTGTGTCAGAGGACAGGGTCTCGATAAGGAATGAGGTGAGCAAATCCAGCCTGCATGTTAATCCTTCCTGGCTCTGAGCTGGCAAGGCTTGGGGCCAGCCAGGCGAGGGAGATGGGCAGGGTGAGGGCCCAGGCCCAGGACCAGTCATGTCTAGACCTCCAGCTATCAAGGCGGCAGATGATTAGCCAATTAGCCCGGAGAAAACCAGGTCTGGCTCCTAGGGGCTCTGCGCTGCATCTCCCATGAGAGCAAGGGCTTCTGGGACTCCTGATTTAATTGAATAAGGACAGCTGTGGGGCCATAACAAGAGGAGGGGAACTTCCTGTCTGCCATTTACAAGGGAGGAGACAGCAGAGCTGGGGCCCTGCACTCAGTACCCCAGCCTGGCCTCCTGGATGTGAGTCCTATAATGACAGAGAGGCTTGGCACAGACACTGCTTGGTAATGGCCAGCTGCTGTCATTATCATTGCTGTTATTGTTTCTACCATGCATTGAGCATCTATGTTGTGACATTATCTCTACGAAGTCCTATTATTAACCTCATTTTAAGAATGGGAAAAAGTTGAGCAGAGATTAAAACCCCGGTCTCCCAAATCGGATCTCCTTAAAACATTGTACTTTGCTATGCTTGTGTCTCTCTAAGTCACCTGAAGCCCTTGTTTAAAATGCAGATTTCCTAACTCACCCCAGGCCAGCTCAGTCGGGCTTTCTAGCAGGGAGGGTGAGGGGCAATCCCAGGCATCTGTGTTCTTTATAACCCCAACTACCACCACCACCATCACAGCTGACTATGATGCAGGAGATCTATGGATGTGACTCAGAAACGGGTAGAAGCTGTGAAGAGAGCACAAACCCCTTTGCCTCCTTCACTCCAGTGCACCCTCTAAGCTGCATGGGTCAGGGAGTCTGACTCCTTTGTGGAGAGGAGTGGGGTGCAGTTCCTCTCAACCACTTGGCTTTTTCATCCACTGAGGGAAACTCAGTGGCTCTGGCCTCCCTCCAGAGGCACAGCAATGGCAAGGTCGAGTGGGCAGCATTCCCAGCTGAGGGGCTCACCTTCATCATCTTGGGGTCAGCCTGGCAGCTCTGGCCTCATGAATCCCTTCCTGCATCCATGACAGGAAAGGCCCAGAGAGGCCCTTGGCTGGTGCCAGGCCATCCAGATCCCAGGAGAAGGGCCCTCAGGCCAACGGGTTCCCACGCTTGGGCCACCCGTGCCCACAGGCAGCTTAGTTGGGTCTGTTTCTCATCCGCTTCTCTGGGCCTTGAGGAAACCAAGGCTTGGGGCCGGCCAGAAGCTTTGTGGTTTTGGAAGGAAAAGGAGGCCAAGTCCTCAAGTTCCTGGGCCTCCACATTCACAAACCTACACAGGCATATGCACAAACACACACACACACACACACACACACACACACACATACACACACACACGGAGGGGTGAATGGGCAGGCAGATGTTCATGCATATAAGCACCTACATCCACACACACTCCAGGGGCAGGGCTGCAGGCCTGAGAGGGAGCCCTGGGCTCAGGGGTGGCCTGTTAGATCTTGGCAACCAGAGAGACAGGATGATCTTGGTCTGAGAAGGTCTCACCCTAGCTGGTCCCACCTTTTCCCAGCTCTGTCTCTTCCTCTTCAGGCTGTTTGGCCCCGGGACAGGGGAGACCATCAGCTTTGGCATCGGCTCCGGAAGTTTCTCCCTTTCCTACCTGCCACAGAAGGGCTTTGAGGCCGATAGGGGAGGCTCATGAGGTGTGAGGAGCCTCCATGGTGAAGCTCCCTCCATCCCCTGTCCCCGTAAGACCCTGAATCGTGGTCCCAACACAATGAAGACCAGAACTGGTGCCCGAGGAGCACTCATCTCACCAATGCTTGCTCTTGCTGAGTAGAGTCAGAAAGGCACAGGTCAGACCTGTCAGCCTCAGACATAAACGTCAGACCTGAACTGTCTCCCGAGAGGTGCCTCCCTCCCTGGTTAACTTCAGGGCTGGCTCTCACATCTGTGGTTATTATTCAGACTTGGATAGGGACTAGATGCTGTGGTCCTGGTGCTCTGGGCCAGGAGATGAGGGCATCAGGGGCCTAAGGCCTGGGACACAGGCCTCGTCATCTGGCCCTGCCTCTGCTGTGACCTGAGCTGACCTGGGAACATGTCATTCCACCCCAGCTTCCCCTTCCCCACTTGGATTTTGGGACATATGGGCTACAACCAGCTTTGGGAGCTCTTGGAAGGCTGGGGCCGTGCTATGCCTGACATTGTACACCCAGGGCCAGCACAGTGCCAGGCACACCATAGGTGCTCAACATACACTGAGTGTGCAAATGCACCATATTTGTCCCTAATTACTTTCTTTCTATATATTCAGCTTCTTCCTGCCTTCCTATGTCTCAGATCTTAGACATCTCCCATCACTTCTGAGCCGTGCTTAGGACCCCTAGGGAGGGGCATAACTTGAGCTTCCAAGGCCCATCAGGGTCAAATCCCCAAACAATCCCTGAGATGAGGGCTGTTTCTTACTAGCCTCTCTGGGCCTTGAGGAAACTGAGGCTTGAGACTGACCAGCAGGATATTTGCTTGACTGAAGAAAAATTTCCTCAGAGGGGGCAGGGGAGGCCTTGGGGGTTGGCAGCTCCCTCCTGGTTCATGGTTATTACAGGCATAACCCTGCTCAGGCCTCCCCTAGCGTTGGCCGCCTGCCAACCCCCAGCGCCCACTTCCCCTCCTGGTCTGGGAGCTGCCAGCTCCAGGAGTCGGGTGCTGGACCCATTCAGTGCCCAATGCTGAGGAGGTTTCGGGCCCTGCCTGCCAGAGGCTGCCAGTCTGGCCTGGGAGATGCCCAGTCTCCATAGAGAGAGGGGCCACAGGCATCAGGCCACGCTCAAGAGCGCTGGGATAGGCAGGGCGGGAATCCAAGTCACTTCTCTCCAAGATGGCCAGCTCCGCCCGGGCAGGGAGCTGGTGTGCAGCAAGACTGTCCGGGGCCCTCTGGTGGGGCAAGGGGCAGGGGGTGGGCCTGAGGGGGCGTAGAGAAACACCCCAGTCGCTAGGCTATGAGGTGAGCAGCACTGGGTTTAAGAGTTCAGCCCCTGGCCCAGACCATCTGGGTTTGTATTCAGGTCTGACCCTCAGAAGTTATGAACGGCTCCATGCCCAGGTGCCACCCTCTGCGAGGCGGGAGGGTAACAGCCCTACCTGCTAGAGCTGTTTGGAGAATGAAATAAGTTACTCCACGTGAAACACTTAGAATGGTGCCTGGTACATCATAACCCCTGCAGTCAGTGTTAGATATTATTGTTAGACCAGGGTAAGTTGAAACTCGCCTGAAAGGGGCTTAATTGACTGTCGACATCTGGTTTCCTCCACTGGACACTGAGGTCCCTAGGCCCTTTATGTCTTAGGCCTGGCACGTCTCAGGGACACGAAAATATGTGTTGAAAGGATGGACGCATGAACAAGGGAGTCGGGGGAGCAGGGCATCAAGAGAAGCTCTGGGAAGAGGTGGCCCCAGGGGAGGCCCCCACACAGGAGGGGAAGTGGCGGGAGCTGAGGTGAAGGCAGGGAGGCCTCTGGCTGGGCCCACGTCCACCAGGGCTTCGGGCAGGCTCTTGAGGAGAGGGGTCTTGGGGAGAGGAAGGCTGGAAGGAGACCGAGCTGGCCAGAGCCTACCACACAAGCTGGACAGCCATGTCCCCTGTTCTGGGTCATGAGGGTCTAGGGCCAGGTGAGAGCTGCCACTGAGGAGAGGATGGATGGGAAAGGGCCTGGAGAGGCCCCCGGGGCCGTCAGTGTGAACCCTTCCTCCTCCTGCGCCCAGGCCGGCTATGGAGCCTGGCATTCTGTTGTCGCTGAGAGAAAAACCAGCCTCGCTCCACAGACACGGCAACCAGTGGAGAAACAAGTGTTGGAGATAAGAGGATTTAAAACAAGTAAACTCCCCTGCAGGAGATGTAAAAGAAAAACAGATTGTGAGCTTTCTCTCTCACCGTTCTTTCTGTGTCTTTCCCTTTCTCTTCTTTCTTTTGCTTCTTCCAACCCTCACTCACTCTCTTCCTTCCTTCCATCCTTCTTTATCTCCCTTCCTCCTTTTTTCCTTTCTTTTTCATCCTATCTTCATGAACAACCAAACCTCCAGATTTTAAAAAACCTACAGCAGCAAAACAAAACACGACAAAACAACAACAAAACAAAACCACACACACACAAGCAAACAAAAAAACCACCTATCATCAAGGTATCATCCTAGTCTGACCACTGAGGGTCTATAGAATGTTTTATTGACCCAAAGATCCCCCAGGGTCAACCTGTCAATTTCTCTTCTTTAAAGTGTCCCATCCTCAAGGAGCCCCAGCCTGAGGGGAGACACAGCCCTGTCCTCAGGGAGCCCCAGTCTTCAGGGAGACACAGCCCCATCCTCAGGGAGCCCCAATCTGCAGGGAGACACAGCCCCACCCTCAGGGACCCCAGCCTAAGGAGAGACACAGCCCTGTCCTTGGGGAACCCCAGTCTGAGGGGAGACACAGCCCCATCCTCAGGGAGCCCCAGCCTGAGTGGAGGACACAACACTGACTAAGGGAGCTGCAGTCTCAGGGAGTAGGTAAATAAATGTACCACAGATATTAGCCTACTTCTTCACTTTGAGAGCAGAGGTGTAGGAGTGTGTGTGTGGGGGGCAGGGCTGCAGAATCTGTATTACAGAGGGGTGAGTGAGAACATGTGGGAAAAGCTGGCATCCCAGAGCTTTCCGAGTTCCCAGGAGCATTCTACCCCTTCTCTGTGCTCAGCCCAACTCTGACCAATAGGAGGGTCACTGGAATCCAGTGTCCCCTTAAGGCAAGGGAGAGTCAGAGCTGAGAAGCAGGCGGCTGGGAGAGGCCCGCTGAGTGGCTCTCTGGAGTCTGTCAGGTGAGTGACCACAGGAGATAAGCTGTCTATGATAAGGGGCATTCAGGCCACCTCATTTTAGCTTGTCCGTGACAAGCTGAGCCTCGCACGGCCCAGAGCATGTGTGTGGTGAGGAGGTGGGGGAGTGGGCACAATTCAGGAGCCGTCTCCAGAGGTCAGCACTAATGGGACAAGAAGTCTTAAGATGCAGCCCCCAGCTCCTGTTTGTCCCTATCCAGGTGGAGACATTTCCATTCCCAGACATAGGAGCTTCTCCCAGGGAACCTCATGAAGACAGAGATGGTGGGGACTGAATGGGGGGGTGTCTCGATTCCCAGCAGCTTCTTGGCTCCTCTGCTGTCACATAATCAGTGAGTGATGACTGGCAGCAGGCACTTCCCTGGGTGCTCTTGACATTCCCGTGACCTACAGGCAAGGGAGAGGGTTCCAGAGAAGGAGGAGTGGGAGCCTCAGGGTGGCAGAGTGGCTGTGGCCTTTCCACAAAAGGAGGATCTCTTCCGGGAACCAGATGATGAGCTTAGCTTGTCTGCAGGCATTAAAACACCAACACTGGGAACATCCTCATGGTATGTAAAGGGAAACTGAGGCACAAGGCAGGGAAGGGACTTGCCTAGGGTCACACAACATTGAGAGTTCCCAATTCTCTTCTCTACTCCAGGCTGTACGAGATCTGCAAAAGTCAAACTTCCACTCTGCCTCCATACTTGTATGTGTGCGTGGGTGCTTGTGGGGCATGCTCGGCAGGCCCAGCAGCTGAGGCCAGGCCCTGGAAGGAGTCCCAAGCTCAGCCCTGTCCAGGCACCCAACCCTCTGGTCAGGCGATGTGACCCACATGGAATGGCCCCCAGACTTCCAGGCGACACTCACTCATCACCTCGTTAGCTGCTTTCCTACTGAGAGTCCACAGGCAGTTCTCCTTCTGGCCTGGCACTCCCCTAGGCCCCGCAAGAGCATCCAAGACATGGCTCAGTTTTCTCCAGTCTTCAGGCACTGTCGAGCTCACAGCAATTTTAGCCACAGCACAATCTGGTTGGGCAGGCAGATTAGCTCTCACGAAAGCCACGTTCAGCCTTTACCAGGCAATGCCACAGAAAAACACTGGGATTTTCTGCAGCTGGACATGGTCCCTGCCCTGTCTTCCCTTCCAGAAGCGGGAGCAGAAGGCATGGGGACAGCCAGCTGTGAGGAGAGAAAGCAAAGATATAAGTCACAATGCCTGAGATGAATTTGGGTAGGAACATGCTTTATGCAAATAGGCACACACATCTACCCCAGGGTGGGGAGGACATGTGCAAATCAAGGCTCCAGAAAGTCCTGACAATGAGGCTCCCTGTTCTAATGAGTGGGACACTAGGATCCCTCAAGTTTGTCTGTGGACTGAACTTGGGTCTTCCTACTATATCTGAGACACAGCCCTCCCATTCTGGCGCCTCCCTTGCCCTTGTGGACCTCCTTCTGCCTGCCTCGTGTGGTCTGGCCCTGGGAAGCCTCCCAAAGGGTCTGGCTTTCCTCTACTTGCCCCAGGCTGCACCTCAAATGCCCTCCAGCTGCTAACCACTGCCCCGTTCAAATGGGAAGGATCTGTGGCTGCCTGTCCCCCACAACTGCAGTCTCTACCTCAAGCTTGGCCTGTCTCCACAAAAGGGGCCAAAAGAGTGGTCTGCCCATCAGAAACACTGCCTCCCCCATGGGCCCTCATGCTGTTCCCAGCAATGCCCAGCATACAGAAGATGCTCAGTAGCAGATGAATGGTGGAATCAACGAATGAATAAATGAAAATTCAAAGGCACGATCATTTCCCTCTGGGGACTGTCAATGCTCCCCTTCTGCTTCTTGCTCACCAGTTTTCACAGCTGTCTGTGCATTGAAGCTGGAGTATTCGTACTCTTTCTTCGTGTCCTCAACCAGCCTGAGTGCACCACAGGCAGGAGTGTGCCCTCTTCATCTCCCTGGTCCTGACACCTTTCATGGAGGGCTCTCAAATAGTGGTTGCCTCAATGAACACAGAAGCATGTGGTTTACAGATGTCTGTTTACTTCTCTGTTCCCCTCAGTGGACCAAGAGTACCTAGAGATGAGGACAGGCTCTCTCCTCTCTAGAGCTCAGGATGCACTCAATACGTGGGGGATGGACGGATGGATGGATGGATGGATGGATGGATGGATGGATGGGTGATTGGGAACCACAGGGGCCCTGACCTGATGTTAGGCCTGTCTTTCCCATTAGACTCCGAGGGGCCTGACTCCCTGGGCAAATAAAGGATGGAGTGAAGGGTGAACAAGTGAAAGAGTGAGTGAATAAATAAATGGCTGAGTCCTGTCTGGGATCAAAGGAGACCGTTGGCTGCCTTACGCAGCCCATGTTGCCCAACACACTGACACGCATGTGTTGTGCTCAGATCTGAGCTCCTCTCCAAATTTCTGCCCTGGGGCCTGGTCCAGCCTCCAGGCCTTTGCTCCCACCACACCCCTCCTCACTCCCACGCCCTCCCACATCCCTGACTCCCCTTGGTTCTTCCAGTGGCCTTGACCCCACCTGCCCAGCTGTCTGACCCAGAGCCCCACAGCCTCAGGGTGGGTTTTTTTCCTGCTTTCCTTTAAGAATAGGGGTCACGTTTAACTCAAGAGCCAGCCACACCTTCTGGGCTTGAGTTCCTTCTGCCACCTTCCTGAGGGAAAGAGACTGAATTTTCTCCAGTCTCAGTTTCCAAATCTGTAAAATGGGGATAATACCGATGATTAAGAGAATTAGATGGGGTTCCAAATTGACCCTGGGATGGAGCAGCTGCTTGGTCAGTACTTGGTGCATGGGGCTTTCCTTCCCTTCTTGTCCCCGCCACTGCCCCTGCAGGCCTCATGGGGCTTCTGTCTGTGGGGCCCAGGAGAGCCACCTTGCTTTCTAGAACAGGACTAGAAGCGACTCGCTCCTCTTGAAAGTGAGGATCCTGGAGCTGGGATGGCAGGAGGGCCCAGCCTGTGAGCCAGAAGGACCATTAAGCCAGAAAAGAGGAGATCCTGAGAGAGGATCAGAACTGGAACATATGCATGAAGGGTTCTAAAGGAACAACTAGAACTGAAATGAGAGAGCTCGAGATTAGACAAGAGACAGGACTTCCCCATTCTGAAGGCTGAGGAAGAAGCACAGTGGCTGAGGCAAAGCCAGGGCACTCCTGCCTGAAGTTGAAGGGAGCTTTGAAAAAAAAAATTATAATTTGAATTTATCTCCAGCTTCCAAGTTTTTAGAGTGTTTGCCTGATCCTCATCTTATTTCATCCTTATAACAAACCCTTAATGTGTGGCAACAGTGTAGCTTATCAAATAGATAGATAAGCATTGTGACTCCCCTCCTACATGGGGAGGAAAAAAGGTTCTGAGGCCTAAGGTTGCCCAGCAGAGGCACAAGGAACTGGGCTAGAGCTCTCTCATGAAGCTCTTAGGTTGTCAGCTTTCCCTCACCCTTTCCGAGGCTTAGCAAGTCTGCATATTTTTTGACGCTGAAGTTTGATGCTAATTTCTTTGCTTGGCTAAGAAAAACACGAGAAATGAAGAGTAGGGGAGGTTTTCCCATACTGTGGAGTGCAGTGACACCCAGGTGTGTGCCTTTACCTCTGGTACTAGACTAGGACCAGCTTGGAGGTGAACAGAGAGGATTTTCTCCCAGGCAGGGAAAGGAAGACTCAGGACAGCCAGAGGGGGCTGGGCCTCAGATGGAGCCTGGGCTTCCATCAAAGGCAGACGCCTCTTTGACCCCATCTGGGCAGCAGTCCTTTCGTCCGTGTGGCCAGACCCCCCTCTCCATTCTCACCCCAGCCCCGGCCCATCTCTGCCTTGCCCCAAGCCTGCAAACAATGCGTTGTTGACAATCGTGGGGGCTAAACACTCGATAACACGGTCCCCACCACAGCAGACATCCTAACAGCGGGCAGGGCTGTGTGCTGTGACGGGAAGATGCTTTGAATACATCATTCTGTCAACTGAGTTTATTATTCTTTTGCTCAAGATAAACTGCAGCCGCCAACGAGGGGCTGTATAAATTCCAGGCTCAGAAGTCGAGCAGGCCCCACTCCTTGTTAAACACTCACTCACACACACGCACATTCACATAAATCGTGCTGAGAAAATACCACCCCGCCGCGGCCCCACAGGTCTCTTCGGGGCTCAGTAGCCTCTATCTCATGGGGTGGTCCTGGGAGCAGCTGCAGACATCAGGGGACCCAAGGCCTGGGCCTGCCCTTGGGCCACTTCCCTGGCTAAGGCTGAGCTGACTCCTTCTGGGGGCCAGAGAAGGTCTCCCCACAGGAGCCAGCTGTCCTTGGGGTCAAACCCAGCCTCTTGACTCCTGGACTTCTGTCTATCCAAGGCTACAGTCCTGCTGTGGGTGGCCAGGGCACCCACATGCCTGTACTGGGGAGGAGACAGGCTTCAGACCCAAGGGTGGCCATGGAACAGAAAGTGAACCCCAGTGAAGTCTTCAGAGACAATCAGCATCCATCCTGGGGGAAAGGGGACTCCATGAACCACCACTGCCCACCCCCACACAGAGGAAATGCCGAGGAATCCATGTCACTTCCACATGCTGGCAGAAAGGGGCATCTCCACGCCCAGAGCACACACCCAGCCCGTTCTTCCCAGGGCCCAAGCTATTCGCAGCTGCAGGGGAGGGGTCCTGTGGGCTTCATTTCCATCTCGCCCTGTCTCACTTGGGGACTTAGAATGAAAACAAAAACAAAACTGAAAAACACCATGCTGGGCGCAGGGACCGTAATAGGAAGCAGCAGAGTGCAGTGGAAGGAGCATGAGCTTTGGCCCTAGACCTGGGTTTCACTCTCCAACTAACAGTTTCCTCCTCCATAAAATGGGGAGTACAATTTCTACTATGCGGTACTGTCATGGGCCTGCAGTCAAAGCGAGGCTGTTTTACCGTTCACAATGCCCCTTTCCCAGTCACAGCCAGGCCAGGAAGTTCAGCATTATTATCCCCATTTTATGGAGGAGGAAACTAAAACACCAAGCAGAGTCCAAGGCATCTCAGGTTGTAAGCTCGTTTCAGTTCTAACTCCAAAGCATGATTATCACAATAATTTAGCACCTGCTGTATGCAGGGGAACGCACTGGATGTTGAGGGAACATATAGGAGTTTGACTTGGCCCTGAGGATACCCCCTACCTCCCACCCTAGAGTATGGACTCTGTCAGGGCAGGGGGCTGTCTTCTCCAGGGCATGTCTCCCCTTGCCTAAGAGGACCTCAGCACTAGCAGGCGAAGCCCTGGATTTGGGATTCAAGGACTGGTCTCACCACAGTTTTAGCCACATGACCCCAGGCAGGTTGCTTGATCTCTCTGAACCTCATTTTTCTCTTCCCCTTAGGGTGGAGTCTCCGGGAGGATGGCTGTGGAAGAACTGCCAATTCCAAGGGCCTGGTCAGGCAGAGGCATTCTTACTATTCCAAAACAAGGAAAGGGTAAAACCAAGATGTCAAAGGCCCCGCTGGTGTGGAAGCAAATTTCTGCCTCCACCAGCTGGATGGCTGCTACCCCTGTACAGGTTCCTAACACTGGAACAGGGATCAACCCAAGTGCTTGGGGCTCACCATGTCCTCCTCCCCAGCCAGGACAGCAAGTGGAAGACACAGGCGAGCTGAAAGAGGCTCACTGTGTGCCCAGCCCTAACCCCCTGCCTCATTGGCACCAGGCACCCAGGACTCCTCAGAACTCAGAGCCAGGGTTTGGGCAGCCTCCTCGTAGTGCTCCTTGAATAGGATTTATAGGACTTGCACCAGGAGCTTTGGGCCATTCCAGGGGACATTGCTTTGGGGGAAAAAAGGACCCAATATGGGTATCTAGAACTTGAAGCATGTCGTCAGAGATCGGAGCTCCAGGGAATTGGAAAATTATGCTTCAGAGGTTCCCAAGGGAATGATGGCCTGAATCCCACTCCTCCCCCAAAATAAAGCTCCTTTGACCTCTTTCGTATTTTGGGCTCCACTTAGTACCTAATTGAATGAAAGATTTTACTGCTAAAAAGCAACCGAGAAGTTCACTGATGGAGTTCAACTCTCTTATTTCACAAACGAAGAGACTGGGCTTCAGAGAGGACTGGCGAATGCAGTGGCTCAGAGATCAGAGCAGAGCTAGAGTTAGGCTCCTGGCCAAGTGCTTGCTCTTCCAACCTCGCCTGTCTACAGCCATTCCCCAGTGGGTCACCAAAGCTGGTGTCATAAAGATTCTGTCAAAATCACCTAGGCAGCTTGTCAGAATTTGAAACTTGGTCATCTGGATTCTTTGTAAGTTCCCCGGGTGATTCTAATCCATACCTGGGACTGGGAACCAGTGCTCTGGGCCAAGAAGGATGCTCCCAAATCGCTAACATAGAACCACATGCCTGGAGTGTGACCTTGGGTGGATTACTTTTCTCTGTATCTCAATTTCCTCATTAGCTAGAGAATAACAAGAGTGCCTGGTACTCAGCATTGCTGTAATGTCAAATGAGTTGGCCTATGACTGGCACAGGCCTCATCTTCTACACTGTGCCACTCTGCTCCTTCCTCACTGTGCTCCAGCCACAGCAGCTCTCTGGCTGTCCTTGAACTCAGCAAGCACGTTCCTGTCCCAAGGCTTTTGCAATTACTATTCCCTCTGCCTGTCATTTTTGTCCTCCAAATAGTCCTATGCCCCCTCCCATGTCTCCTTCAGGGGCCTGCCCAAATGTCACTGAATCAGAGGCTTTCCGCTCTCCACCCTTTCTCTTCACTTACTTTTTACCACCTCACCTATTTTCTTTTCTTCTCTGTTTTGTTGTTTTGTTGTTGTTGTTGTTGTTGTTGAGACAGGGCCTCCCTCTGTCGCCCAGGCTGAAGTGCAGTGGCACGAACATGGCTCACTCCTCCCTCAACCTCCCGAGCTTAAGCGATCCTTCCACCTCAGCCTCCTGAGTAGCTGAGATGACAGGTGTGTGCCACCATGCCCAGCTAATTTCTTGATTTTTTGTAGGGATGGGGTCTCCCTATGTTGCCCAGGCTGGCATTGAACTCCTAGACTCAAGCCATCCTCGCACCTCGGCCTGCCTATTTTCTGTGTACTCACTTCTTGGTTTATTGTCTGTGTCTCCCACTAAAATGGGAGCTCCCTGAGTGCAGGGACTTTGCCTTGCTTACTGCCATATCCTCAGCACCTAGAAAAGTGCCTGGCACTCAATAAATATTATTGATTGAATGAATGAGAAGAAAGTACTTAAGTTGTGCCAGGTACAAAGTAGGCATCTACTATATGCAGTTATTATTGTCATTCACATTTTCACCTACATTGGGATGTGGTAAAGGCCAAATATGGGGCACAGCTCCACCCCTAAGGGTGGTGGAAGAAGGAAAGGTGTACCTCACAGGCTATAGGAGGCCCACATGAGCTGTGTGACCTCAGGTAGCTGTGTCCATATCCCTGAGTCCCGGTCTCCTGTTCCATCCAATGGGACAGCCATGCTTGTTCTGTGTCTCGCCATTGCTGAGAAGGGTATTCAGGCAGCCATGTCTCTGCTGTTATTTTGGCTCTTAACTCAGAGGCAGATGGGACTCAAGGACGGATACCTGAGTGAGGTCACAACTTAGGGATCTAATGTCACCCTGACACGAGAGCAAAGTGGTCACCTCCTTAGTGATGCAGACACAAGGACAGCCCCCTCACCAACAGGGGACATGCTGAGAGCTCCTGACACGTGAAAACATGCCTCACATGGCTCCCTCTCTGCCACCTCCTCACACTCAGCTTCTGTTGATTGTACTGAGGCAGCTGGGAGATCGCTGTCGGCAAGGTGCAGGCCCTGCTGGGCTAAAACACACAAGGCAGCCCCCAGTGCCACCGTCAGCCCAGCTCTGGCAGTCTGTCCACCCTGGAGGCCAACTTGCACTGGGAGCTGGCTTCTGGGATATTCTCCCAACCCACCCAAGGGCCAGGGACTTCCATGGAGCCTATAAGTGCCTTCAGGGTGGTATACGAAGCTGATAGGTCTGGTCCTTCCCTTCCCAGCCTGCTCATCCCTGCCCCCTCCCCTCACTACATGTATTCAGATGACACAAATGAATAAGTGAATGAATGGATGAGCAACTTTTCCAGACTTCACCCCAAGCCCTAGGCCTCAGGCTACATCTGCCTCTTGCTTGCTGTAGGAAAAGGCAGCAGTTCAACACAGAAGATGTTTGTGAGGGTTTGACTATGGGATGCTCAGTTCCTCCCCAGGGAGCTCATGGACTCCGGGGGACATGGCACATAAGGACTTGCTGGGCTAGAGCTTGCTCATGTTGGAAGGCACAGAAGAGCTGCCTGGAGAAGGGGTTCTGGGAGGAGGGGATACTAATACTAAAGCAAGGTTCCTAGGCTGCATCTTTTAGTTTTTTCTTTTTGTTTTGTTTTTTGTTGTTGTTTTTTGTTTTTCGTTTTTTTGAGACGGAGTTTTGCTCATGTTGCCCTCCATGTGCAATGGCGCGATCTCGGCTCACTGCAACCTCCACCTCCCGGGTTCAAGCGATTCTCCTGCCTCAGCCTCCTGAGTAGCTGGGATTGCAGGAGCCCACCACCACACTCGGCTAGTTTTTGTATTTTTAGTAGAGACGTGGTTTCACCATGTTGGTCAGGCTGGTCTCAAACTCCTGATCTCAAGTGATCCACCAGCCTTGGCCTCCCAAAGTGCTGGGATTACAGGTGTGAGCCACCGTGCCCGGCCCCTAAGACTGAACCTAAGTTGGCCAGGTGAACAAGGGGAAGGGCAGTCCGGGCAATGGGAACAGCTCGCTCAAAGGTGTGGAGGTATGAAATAGCCTGGGGTTTGCTGGAAAGGACCAATGATTCAGGGTAGCTTGGGCTGCAAGTAGAAGGAAGTGGCTGGAGAAAAAAGCACGGCCCAGGCTTGGGGAGCCTGTGGAGCCTACTAGGCCCTGGGACTTTTGGACAGGGGTGCCTTTGATGGGGTTCAAGCAGGGGAAGAGTGTGATCAGCCACAATTTTTAGCAAGGTCCTGTGGCTGCAAAGGAGCAAAGAGATCTGAGGGGCCAAGACTGGAGGTCTCTACAGTAGTCCAAGGGAGTAATGCTGGGGTCTGAGCGAAGGCAGTGCTAGTCGGGATTCCCTCCCGATCGCCTCTGCCTCTCCTTGCTTGTTGAGAATACCTACTTCTCTCCATCAGTTTGGTCCAGTCCCTCAGTCAACAGAATGTAGGTGTGAGGAGGTGGTGATGGGGATGAAAGTGAGGCCCAGAGAGAAGATTTGGGGGCCCCAGAGCAGCTGAGGGCCACAGTTCAAAAGGCAGCTGCAATATCTCTCCACTAGAGCCAGGTCTTACCCAAAGAAAGCTTCCTACAAGGCAATTGCCTCAGTTCTGTGCTTTTCCTTTCAAGAGAGAACTGAGTTCATTGAACTTAAGGGCAAATCTATATCCTTGTCCTTTCTTTGCAGAGATAATAAAGTTAATGGGATTATTTCCTGTGTACAAGAATAGGGCTGCTAAGAAAACATTGTCAAGTAAATGCTGTTTGCAAAGGCTAAACTGAAAGGCCAAATCTTCCACCAGGAGGAAGTAAAGGGTGTGTCTACACGGGCTCACGGGGAGCAGTGCCACCAGTGACTTGATTTGCCTGAGACTGACTTCCCCTCTGCTTCACCGGGCTCTGATTCATGCAGATGGCTAGAGGGCAGGGTTGCCAGGCCCATTTCCCTGGTCTCCAAGGTACCAGGTGAGCTGGCTAGTTGGTTAGTCTTTGGAAAAACAGAGTTCACCTTAGACTAAGAGAAGGCCCCAGCTGAACTTTAAAGATTGTCTGGATAACTTTCCTCCTTGTAAATGGAGAAACTGAGGATGCGGAGGGGGAGCTGGTCTCAGGTCACATGACCAGTTGTAGCAAGGCCTGGTGGGGAAGTAGAGACACAGAGATGGAAAATAACTTGCCTGGGTCATATAGCCAGCAGTTGGGTTGTAGGGGGGAAGCTGAGGCCCAGAGAGGAGAAATGGCTTGCCAGGCTCCTACAGCCTCCCAGTGGCAAAGTTTGGGATGGAACCAGGTCTTCAACTCCTAGGAGACAGCTTGCTCTGTCATCAGCCCAAGCTCCCATCCTCCCCTACTACAGAGACGGCTCAGGGAATCACTCAGGTGTATTCCTGTTTGCCGAGTCTCAATCATCCCTGACTGTGTCGCCACACCTCGAGCCCAGCAACCCTTTTAGATCTTATCAGTCCAGCCCCTATGAGGGCTCCTCACGTGGACCATCCTCAAACAGCATCCGTGTGCACAGGTGCACCAGGTGGGTGGAGCTGAGGGACATTCCAGCAGAGGGTAGACAATGGCTGGGTTAAGAGGGCTATCTTCTTTTCACACCTCCTGATTTCCTTGAGTTTGTAAATCATTATCCCAGGCTACACAAAGCAGGTATTGAGTAGGCCTTGTTGCTGTCCCTAGACACAGTAGACAGAGGCCACTCCGAGTGGCTCCTAGTGGCGGGGGGCAGCTCCCGGGCCCTCTGTCCCCCTTCCCGGCACTGGGATTGGGTTACCCCATCTAATCCCTGCTCCTCCATCCACCCTCTTTGTGGCCATTGTAATTTATAATCGAGAGGCATGATGCAACCTGCTAATTACATTGCTTGATTTTGAACACATCCCGGCTTCTCTGACTCAGGCGGCAGAGGGAGGAGGGAGCAGCAGGCGCTGCTTTGTGGCTTATCAGGCTTGGGTTATTCCACTCACACCCTCTCATGCCTCCCCCCAACCCTCAGCCTTTGTTAACCAGGGCTTGCATCACCTCCTGCTTTCCATTTCCCCGGAATTTTTTTAACGGCTTTTTTTTTATGAGCTGCTCTGTCTTGTTAGCTAATGAATGATTGTGGAGCAGTGATGGGGATCGCTTTGTGCCTCTATTAAATGTTACATGATTGCAATTATGAGTTAACAAGGGACAGCTAATAAAAAAAATAATCTATTTTGAGGCCTGGGGCAGACATGAGACTCGCTGCCTGGTTCCCAAGCTGAATAAATCAGAGCCCCAAGGACCACAGGCTGGACGAGGAATCGACCGAGGAAAGGATGGACGTTTGCAGGTCCCCGGGAAGCGCGGCAGGCTGGAGGGCAACAGCTTCATCCCCAGGCCTCTTTTGAAGCCTTCCCACCTATGTGGAGTGTTTTAGGCTCCCAGAGGCAGGTGTCTGGACTATCACAGTTGCTTCTTATCAGCCCTTCCTGTGTCCACCATTGCCCTGCAACCCCTTCTCCACATCACAGTGGAGTGATCTTTTAAAGATAGAGCTGGTCAGGCCGGGCACGGTGGCTCACGCCTGTAATCCCAGCACTTTGGGAGACCGAGGCAGGTGGATCACCTGAGGTCGGGAGTCGAGACCAGCCTGACCAACATGGAGAAACCCCATCTGTACTAAAAATACAAAATGAGCCGGGTGTGGTGGCGCACGCCTTTAATCCCAGCTACTCAGGAAGCTGAGGCAGAAGAATCACTTGAACCCAGGAGGTGGAGGTTGTGGTGAGCCGAGATCGTGCCACTGCACTCTAGCCTGGGCAACAGAGTGAGACTCCATCTCAAAAAAAAAAAAAAAGAAGATAGAGCTGGTCATGCCACTATCCTGCTCAAACTCCCTCAGTGGCAGCCCAAGATCTCCCTTCAGCACTGGCTCCTCATTTCAACTTCATGCTTTCAATTAGCCTATTCCCACATCCTCACTGTCCTCACCAAAACTAGTTCAGAATGGGGTTAGGCCCTGGAAAACAAGTGACCCCAAGAATCAGGCAGATGAGGGCCTGAGCAGTAGAATGGTGATGAGCTGAGTGTGGAGGGCCTGCAGCTGTTGTCCCTTTCCTCAGACTTACTCAGCAGTGCCCAGGACCATCACACCCAGAAATGGAGTGACGCTGACCTCTTCGTCACTGATCCAAGGAGGCAAAAGACAGGCACCTGGCTTGGGATCTTCCCTGAAGGGTTGCTGTTGTGTGTCCCAAGGCTTTGCAGGTGCTGGGTATACAGGAGGTGCTTAATAGATACACAGGCCGGACGCAGTGGCTCACGCCTATAATCCCAGCACTTTGGGAGGCTGAGGCAGGCAGATCTCTTGAGCCCAGGAGTTCGAGACCAGCCTGGGCAGCACGGCAAAACCTCATCTCTACAAAAAATTAGCCAGGCATGGTGGTGCGAGCCTGTAGTCCCAGCTACTCGAGACGCTGAGGTGGGAGGATCACTTGGGCTACGGGAGGCAGAGGTTGCAGTAAGTCGAGATGGTGCCACTGCACTCCAGCCTGGGCGACAGAGCAAGACCCTGGATCAAGAAACAAATAAACAAATAAATAAATACACAATAATAAGAAGAAGCATGCATGATGTCCAAACAGTGGGTGCCACAACCCATCAAGAAGACCCCAACTCGTGCCCTGAAGACTGAGCCTGGACCTGTTAACACAGCACACGGTGTTAACCACAATCCCGGGACATGGCAGAGTTTGTGTATGGGGCGTCCGGTGGGCAGAGAAACAAGACTCCTGGGTCCTGGTGTAGGCAAGTCACATCCCCTCCCTGGGCCTTGGTTTCCCCACTTGGGCTTGCACTCCATTCCAGTTGAG
This sequence comes from Homo sapiens, assembly GCF_000001405.40. NCBI lineage: Eukaryota > Metazoa > Chordata > Mammalia > Primates > Hominidae > Homo > Homo sapiens. Next base: position 43,924,946 of record NC_000006.12, on the reverse strand, counting down.
CTTCTTACGCTTCTGCTTACAGCCACCCCCACTGACCCCCTGCCCCGCCGAGACTGTGAGCTCCTTCAGTAAAAGCTATCTTTTCTGGCTCGGCTTCTAGTAGGCACTCAGTAAATGGTGAATTAACGAGCAGCTAAAACTAAATGCTCTCCAGGCACCCACTCTGTGCCAGGCTTGTTACCAGGTGCTTCCTATATGTTACCAGGAATCCTCCCACCAACACTGCTGGGAGGACTTCTGAATCCCCATGTTACAGCTGAGGCAACTGAGGTTCAGAGAGCTTAGCAATGATGTGCCTTAGGATGGGGCTGGGATGAGCAGTCTATATGTGGGCTCTAAGCCAGAAGCTGAGTATAAGCTGAAGTCCTCCTTCCCGGGCTTCTCATGCTCTGGCAACAGCAGGCAGGTGACCACGGGGTGGGAGCCGGCCAGGGCGACCACAGGCTGGGCGACAGAAGGAACACCGTCTGAAGACACCACTGAAGAGCATCTTCAAACACTGCGGCTGCACTGCGGGCTCTGGGAAACCACAGCCGCCCACATCTCAGCAGTCTGGGCCAGCCCAGGGCAGGAGGCCGAGCTGGCAGAGGCAGGGCTGCGGAGGGGCATGCAGGCGGCAGGAAGTGGGGTGGGGGCAGGGCTGTGCCAATCACCCACAGAAAGCCTCAGCCAGTGGCAGAACCAGCTACATAATTTGTGGGGCCCTTGTTCAAAAACTGTTAAGAATTTCAAGACGGCAACAGCAGAGTGTTAAGCCAAGCACAGGGTCTTTCTAAGTGTGGGCCGTTCAGGTTTCGTGTCCATGAAGCCATTCTTGGCCAGGGTCATTTACCCAGCTCCCAGTTTAAGGGTTTGTGGCATGGCATTTGGGTAGTAGAAGGCGCCATACAAAAGGTCTGGCCCCCTCCCCGCCTGGGCAAGGCCCATGTAACCCATTGTGTGGAGCATGGCAGGGCTGGCAGAGGGGCTGCGCAGCAAGAAGGCTTGGGCTGTTCCCCTCTGTGTGGGAGTGTGGACAAGCCAGGCCTGGACACTGCTATGTTGGCAGGTGCTGGGTATACAGGGAGTGCTTAATAAATACACAATGATCCAAAGGGATGGCAGGCATTTGGGGTTTGGCCTGCCCGGTGACTCACACCCACCCGGCTGCCCAGGGACACTACGTGGTTGCTTCCATGGTGAGTATGTCGGGGAAGGGACCGGAGCCCTCCCAAAGGCATCCAGAGTCCCTGGCTGGGCCACTCCCAGACCTCAAACCTGCAAGAGAGCCCACGTCTGCAGGTACCCAGAACTAGGCAGGGAGCTGGGCCTCCAGAGGCGGGTACACCATCAGCAGAGAGGAGCTTGGAGCCTGCTGGGAGCCTGCATCCCCAGGCCAACTTTTGGCAGTGGGGATGACTGTACTCACTGACTCATGGCCCTCTCTGCCCCACACATGGCACTCTTAAGGGGCTGGGCCGAGCCTCAATTTAAGTCTTTCACTACAGTACCCAGCATAAGGCCCTGCATACAGTGGGCACTCGGGAAATACTGGTTGAGTGAATACATGTAATCATGAGAGAGCACCCACTCTGCTTTGCTTGTCCTAGGACTGACCCCGAGTTTGGGGGTCAAGGAAAGGAAGTGCAGTATGCTCCTGGTAAGCAAGGTAGCAAGACATGCTCCATCCACACAAGGGTTTGGGTGTGTGCAGTGTGGGACGTTTGTGTGTCTGAGTGTGGGAAGGTGCCTGGGGAATGTACATGTATAGGGTGACCTCATGGATAGGCGTACATGCGTATGTATCCACGTGCTCATGTATGTGTGCAGGCGCTTAGATAGATAGGACGTGCACGCATGTGGGTGGGGCAGGTACAGGAGATGTACACACACATGCATATTTGTGTGAGAGGTGCCCATTCCCACCAGGTATGTGCCATGTGCCTGCATGCACAGGGGCACATGTATGTGGGAGTGTGCCACAGATGCCCGGACATCCTCTGCTTCCTGGACTCCATCTCCCAGCTGGTTGCCCTGCCCCCTCCATGGGCCAGCCCTGCGCAGGCAGCGCTCGTGGCCTGGCCAGGGAGAGAGGAGAGTCGTGATGCTGGGAGTGCAGGCTGCCTTGTGAAGTCTGGACCTGCGCCTCACTCATAGTGTGTCCTTAGATGACTTATGCAGACTCACCACGCCTCAGTTTTGTTGTCTGTAAAAGGGGCTCATGACAGCACTCCTTTTATAAGGTATACAAAACAGTGCCTGGTACCTAGTAAGGACTCCAAAAGGTTGTTTGTTATTTTCTCTTGGCTGGGGGCTGCTGCTGCAACAGACACCAGGACGAGTACTGGAAGCAGTGCTGGAGCCTATGTCCATCCATCACCATAAACATGATGGACAAGTTCCAAACACCGGCTGCCCTAGCCAGGGAGGCAAGAAGGGGTGGGGAGGGGACACTGTGGCCCCAGTAGTTCCCCTCAGACTCCTCAGAGGGCACTGAGGAGCCTGCTGAGGAATCCCCAGATTTGGAACATACCTGTGGTGGGGCATGGCAAGGTGGGGGTATAAAGTCTCTCATGCCAGGCAGCTCTTTAAAAACAGTCCTCTTGGGACAGCGAAGCTGGGCCCCAGAGGCCACCCACTCACTGCAGGGACTGGCGGCCGCGCATGGCAAGGTAAATCACCCAAGACTGCCGTCTGGAATGTGATCACTGTGAAAGGTAACACGCATGTTACTGCTACATAAACACAGTTAAACTATTTACGATGGCCACAGCCTGGTGACCCCAGGAAGACCCTGCCATGTGGGAGTGGGTCGACCTGCCCCACCTCTGCTGTCTGCAAAGGTTAGGAGATCGATTTATTTTGGCAAGAGCCCGATCCTTGGCACCGTCCCACTGCCACCCAACCCAGGGGCCCAGTATTGGCCCAGGAGAAGCATCTTCTCACAGGCCAGAAAAATGTGTTTTGAACTTACGGTAAGGAGAAGAACAACGAAATCCCCTCTTTGTTTTATTTTGGCCCTTGTTCTTCGGCACAGTTTGCAGAGGACCCTTTTTTAAGTAAGCAGGAGTTTCTGTCACTACATCCCAAGGGTGCACTGGGGCAGATCTCCGTGTGGGATCCTGAGGGAGAAGCTGAGGTGGAAGACCCAACCCTACTCCCGGGACCCCCCGGGTCCATGGGGAGAACCAGCCTCTGCCCTCGGGAGCCTCAGGTCTGAAGACGGAGGCCCATTCCTGCCCAGTCCAAGAGTGGAGGCCAGTCTCTGGGCCCCAGGAGCCCCTCCTTGCTTCCAAGGGTGAACTAGACCCACCGAAGGCTCAGGGCCTCAGGTAACCTCTGGGAACAGGCTGCACTGGAGGGCAAAGACCCTAAGGGAGGCCATGGCTAGTCAGGCCTCCCAAAAGGCTGAGTACCCTCCCGGCCTCATTTCAGGGCAGGGCCCTTCTCTGTCCTGGTACACATCCTAGCTTTGGTCTATTTTCTTCCCCCAGAAGTCCCATCACCTGCTGTTTATTTTTTTAAAGGTACCAGGGTCACCAAAGAGCTCACCAAGGCTAATAAATGCTAGAGGGATTTACTCTCAGGGCATGGAAGCCCTGCCCGCCTCTGTGCCTTCTCCCTGGCCCTTCCAGGCTTCCTTTCTGCCCCTCTCCCCGGGCTCCCTCCCCTCCAGCCTCGACATGTTGCTCAGCCCAGCGTCCTGTGTTTGCTCTTACAATTCCCATACCTGGAGTGGCCCCTTGCCTTTTCCTGCCCATTCACACACTGAGCACCTGCAGGATGGGCCTTCCTGTGCCACTCAGTCAGCGACGCCTCATCTCTCCTGTCGCCTACACAGCCCAACTCAGGTCATCCTGATTGATCTGTTCGTGTCCCTCAGATCTTCAGCTAATAGTCACCACCATTAATTGAAGGCTTCACCACGCCTGACCCTAGGCTTCTTTGCTCACGTACATTCTCTCCAATTCCCCACCACCACCCAGTATGGGGGAATTTTGGCCCGTTACAGCAAAGAGGAAACCAAGGCTGAGACAGATTGGGTTACTTTCTGGGGCCACTCAGCTGTGAGTGGGACAGGGATTCTGGCATCCAGGTTCTGTCCCCTGCACCACCTTGCCCACTTGACTGCATCCCCCAGGAACAAGGAGGAACACATCCTCTATTAGGTAAGATCAGAAACGGGCCTGGTGGATTTTTTTTTAATAAATAATATTGGAAATTAGGCACATGAGTGAGGTTTTCATTCAGAGAGGTCGCCTGAGAAGGGAGGAGCTGCTAATCAATCTGCTTTGTTCAGTGAATTTTGTTGTTGTTGTTGTTGTTTTGAAACAGAGTCTCACTCTGTCACCCAGGCTGGACTGCAGTGGCGCGATCTCAGCTCACTGCAACCTCTGCCTCCTGGGTTCAAGTGATTCTCCCCTCTCAGCCTCCTGAGTAGCTGGGATTACAGGCATGTGCCACCACCCCCAGCTAATTTTTGTATTTTTAGTAGAGACGGGGTTTCGCCATGTTGGTCAGGCTGGTCTCAAACTCCTGACCTCGTGATGCACCCGTCTCAGCCTCCCAAAGTGCTGGGATTACAGGCGTGAGCCACTGTGCCCGACCTTGTTTTTGTTTTGTAATTTACTTATTTATATCAACAGCTGAAAAAATGGAAAAGGCCAAAGAGCAAATCTTTGTCCCTGCCCTTTCCCAGTCCCACTGTTCCCTCCCTTCCAGCAGCTTCTGCAGTGGTGGATCCAGCCTGAACTATCCTGTCTCCCACGAACTATCCCGTCTCCAGAAACATTCATTTGTCAGAGCATTCTTGCCTGCTCTTCTGGAATTCTAGTTACAAGCACTTTTAAAATCAGTCAAATTCATACCTCATCAAATCAGAATAAAACATTTTTTTACCCAATTTCATTCATCGCATTATTTATTCAACTTGATTTCAAATACTGTTTTTTAAAACACGGGAAAAAACTTTATTGACTAGAGTACAGTGCTTATGCACAGTTCTTTTTGCCTTTAGTCTTACAGACTCTTCTCATTTCCCAAACTACTTACATTAGCTTCTTTTCCCCCTTGTCCCTTCAGTGAGGCTGTTTTATCCTTTTGTAATACACTTAGATTAGATTCTTTTGTCACATTCTGCATTCCCTCTTGCAATCTCCCAACATCCTAAATGACTTTTTAAAATTTGCATACACTAAGGTCCCCTTCGCCCTGTAACACTGGGGGGTTTTGACAGTTGCGGCATTATATATTCACCATTGCAATATCATACAGAATAGTTTCGCCATCCAAAGAAATTCTTTTGCACGTCACTTATTCAACCTTCCACCAACCCTGAATCCTTAGCAATCACTGATCTTTTTACCGTCTCCATAGTTTTACCTTTTCCAGAATGTGATATAAATGGAATCATATAGTATGTAACTTTTTCAGACTGGCTTCTTCCACCTAGCAATATGCATTTAAGATTCACTCGTGTCTTTATGTGGCTAGATAGCACATTCTTTTTTATTGCTAAATAGTATAACATTATGTGGATGTACTACAGTTTGTTTATCTATTCACCTATTAAAGTACATCTTGGTTACTTTTGGTAATTACATCTTTGGCCATTCTTTTTTCTTTTCTTTTTCTTTTTTTTTTTTTTTTGAGACAAGTTCTTGCTCTGTTGCCCAGGCTGGAGTGTAGTGGCGTGAACATGGCTCACTGCAGCCTTGACCTCTTGTGCTCAAGCAATCCTCCCACCTCAGCCTCTCAAGTAGCTGGGACCACAGGCACATGCCACTCTGCCTGGTTGATTTTTTTTTTTTTTTTTATCTTTTGTAGAGACTGAGTCTCGCCATGTTGCCCAGGCTGGTCTCAAACTCCTGGACTCAAGTGATCCTCCTACCTTGGCCTCCCAAAGTGCTGGGATTACAGACATGAGCCACCATGCCCAGCCCATCTTTGGCAACTCTGAATAAATTGTTGTTATAAATATACACATGCTGGTTTTAGTAAGGACATGAGTTTTAAAATCAATTGAGTAAATACGTAGGAGCACAATTGTTAGATCCTATGGGAAGACTATACTTAGTTTTCTGAGAAACTATCAAACTGTCTTCCAAAGTGGCTGTATTGTTTTGCAATGAATGAGAGTTCATTCCCAAGAGTTCTGTTGCTCTGCATCCTCATCAGCAATTGATACTGTCAATTTTTTGGATTTTAACCATTCTAATAGTCTTTTTACAGGAGAAGGAAATGGAATTTTGAGAGGGGAAGTGGTAGAGTGGCAAAGACATTTAGTGCTCACCAAATACCCACATGCGCCCCACACTCCTCAGGCCCCTCACCATGAGGTAGGACCCTAGACCAGTCATGGTCAATAGGCTGTGAGTGAAAATGCTATCTGGCACTTCAGGGTCAAAGCATTTAAGATCTTTGCATAGCCCTCCTGCATAGCCCTCCTGCTCTTTTTTGCCTCTGCAGCAGCAACCAGAAAGCTCCGTGTTGAAATTTGGTACATCCAACATCCAGGGTCCCTAAGCAGCTATATGGAACAGAGCCCCTGCCAGTCTGCTTTAGCCAAATAGCATGAGCAAGAAAAAACCTCCGTGGTGTTAGCCCACAGATTTCCAGGATACTTCGTCACTGCAGCACAGCACGGCCTATCCTGACTCACACAGCCAGCCACTGGCTCATGCCTTTGGCATTATGCTGACATCATCAGAACCCCCGAACCTGGTGGTATACTGGCCCAGAAAAAAAGCTGCTTAAAGGAGGGAGATAGTTTAATAAACTAATGTTTACCAAGACCTACCACGTGCCTGGCCCCACTCAGGCTCTGTACCTACATTGTCTCATGTACTCCTCAGGCCTGTCTGGAGGAGACCTGCTACTGCCAAACAGCCTGCTCTAGCCTCTCCCCAGGCCTTATCTCCCCAGAGGCCATGTGGGATTGACATGCAACTGGGCTAACTTTCCGCCAAATAGTGCAATCCTTACAGGATACTAAAGGCAGATCTCCCCACCCAAGCCAAGCCCTCAAAAATTCCTGTATGTCCCCATGTTGCCCAAAAGGCTTTACCCAACTAAGAGGAAGCAAGTCTCAGAAGTTCTGTTCTATCTTCTGCTGCATCTTTTCTTCACACTCAGGCTTTGCTTTCTGCTAACCCCATCCTTTCTAGATTCCCAGTTGTCCAGAAGACACATCCCCATAGCGTTTAATAGGATTCTTCTTGGCCGGACGCCCGACCCTCTACTACGCTAAGCCTCAGAGCAGGCCACAGGCTGTGCTGCAACATCCACACTCTCCCTATTTCCCAATCACAGTGTGGGGGGCTGCCCTCAGGGCAGGGAGCCAGCCTTTCTCCCATGAAGTGAAGTGATGTGATGTTCACAGGGCTCAACATCAAGACCTTGACCTCATTAGCACAATGTTCTGGTCAGCGGGCTTGGGGAAATGTGATGATGTTAATTACGTGCTGATTTATTTAATCCCTGGTCTTGTGAAATACAGCGCACTTGCCTTCCCCTCCTTCCCCCAGGGACTATAAACTGCTGGGGACCGGGCAGGGGGTGGGGCAGGAGGGCGAGGGCCAGTGGACTGGACTCTGAGGCCACACAAACCTGGATTCAATTCCTAGCTACTGTGACCCTGGGTTACCTTCCTGAACCTAGGATTGGGTAAGGATTATGGGCTTGGCACTGTGCCTGGCGCAGAGGAAGCTCTTGGTAAATTGTAGCCATTGGTATCATTATTGTTAATTATTATTTTAGTCTACTAACTGAAGGATGATTTTCCATTGCCCCATCTCTATTCTTGAGAGGCAGTAGGCTGTAGACCAGTGTTGACTAATAGAACATTCTGCAATGATAGAGACATTTAATATCTGTATTGTCCAATGTGACAGTCTCTAGCCACATGTGGCTGCTGAGCACTTGAAAGGTGGCTAGTGCAGTGAGGAACTGAACTGTAACTGCATTGAACTTTAATGAATTCAAAGTTAAATAGTCACATGCTTTTAGCGGCCACTGTATTGAATGGCACAGGTGAAGAAGGTAAGAGTACAGGCTCTGGGATAGATCCTGCTCCTGCTACTTCCTTGCTGTAAGACCTTGGGCCTGTTACTGGCTGCTCTGAGCCACAGCTTCCTTATCTGTAAAATGCAGATATGATAGCACCAATTTCCCAGGGTGGTTTCGAGGATTAAACATGTTAATGGATATAAAGTGCCCATTTTGGAAGTGTTCAAGGAAACTTAGCTATTATGATTACTCTCTTTGGCACTAATGCTGGCCTGGAATCCATGGGCATGACTGTGTCTGCATTCTGACGGCAGGATCTTGAGTTCAGGGCCTCTGTTGGCTCCTATTCTGAATCTCTCCTGGGCCCAGCCCAGGGAGAAAACCCATGTCCATTGGACAGGGAGTGCAGGAGACTCAGAAAGCTTTGAGGATACAGATAGGAGACGCCCCAGTTGATAGCCCAGCCCACGCTGCCCCTCTTCCCACAGCGGTGGTGGGACGGTTGGCCTTCTCGAGAAGAGGAGGGCTGTGAGGGGCAGGAAAAGGCAAACCTGAGAGAGGAGCTTTGATGGGCTCAGGGTCAAGAGGCTTTCTCTGTTCCAATCTCCTGAGTCAGGGAGCTGTAGGAGCCAAACTGTGTCCCTTCAACCCCCTCTCCAAACACTGGGGTTTAATTGATCCACCTGCCAAACTCAGCCAGAAGCCAGAGGTCAGAAGGCTCTACCAGAAAACAGCAGGCTTCTAAGAAATGGAAGATCTGGGTTCAACACCAGGGCACTGGAGCCGAGTCTTTGGAATTCCCCTTTCCTCTTCACCCAGATGAGGAACTGAACTCCTTGATTTCAGGGAATGGATGCAAGCTTGTGTCCTTTCCACTCAGTTTCTTCCACAACTAAAGGTCTGAGGGCAACAAGGGTGTGAGGGCCATGTGGGGATTTCCAAACCCCAGGACTTCTTGGTGTCCAAGAGGCATGACCTCAACTTGTCCCAAAGAACAAAACAGCATCAGAAGCTAAGGACCCTCTGAAGGTCTCCAAAGTCCCCACCTTCTTTCTGTCTCTCTCCTCACCTGTCCTGGACTCAGTAGGAAATGGTAGGGTCTGAAGGCAAGGCCCAAGTCTCCTCTGTGAGGCGGCCCAAGAGAACACCTGTCTCTCCCAGCAAAACCTCAGAGCCCCCTCCTTCCCAAGTGTTTGAGACTCTGGCTTCGCAGCCAGGAGCAACCCACCCTGCAGAGCCACAGAGAAATGCCACAGTCCCATGGGACACAGAAACAGGACGTGGGGCAGGGTGGGGGAACCATCTTTGCTCCACTCTTTCCCTGATATCAGGGTAAAAGACAGCAGGAGGTGTGAGCTCGGATGCCAGGAGGGCATCCTGATGGTGGGACATATGAACCGGTGGGTTGTAGGAGCCAGTTATATTAGACTTTCTGGTCTGGCTGATGGTCAGGGTTCTGGGAGAGGGGGAAGTGTGGGATTTAAAAGACACAGGATACATGGCTGATATGATCTCTCAGCTGGACTTGGAGTCAGACCGATTTAGGTTTAATCCCAGCCAGGCCGCTGACTGGCTGGGTGACCTTGGGTTAATTATTTAATGATACTTCTATTCAGCTTCCTCATCTGTAAAATGAGGGTGAAGAGATTCACCACCAAGGTTTGGAGGAGTGGGGGAGGCAAATGGCCCTAGCCCAGTGCCTGGCATGTACTGGGGAATAGAGAGGTGGCTGGGGGTTTAGGGTGCACAGGAAAGGGAAGACCCGCAGGAAGGCAGGCTGAGAGTGGGGAGCTAAGTCCCCTAGTGGGAAAGACTGATCTCCACATCAGGAGATGATCTGTGGTCCTGCTCCAGACCAAGAAGTGGGCCCTCCTCCATGTGCCCAGGCTGACAGTCTCCCGCTCGCCTGCCCTGCTCCTGCACCCCACTTTAGGGCAATCCTGGGGGCACTGCCAGAGAACTGGGAGGCCTCCCTGGAGATCTAGGCTCTTCTGGCAGATGCCCATCCCCCTTTGTCCTGGGGCCTCTCGTTTGCCAATCCCAGGAAGCCCCTTGCTCAGAGGGAACTGATTTCCCCTAGACAGCCTTGCTCCTCCCGCTGCAGGACTCTCAGGGAGCCCTAAGAAATACCATGGGCTGTGGGCAGCCGCCGAGCCTGCTTCAGATCCAGCTCTGGTGAGTGTTGGGGCTGGGAAGCCACTGGTGATCTGGTGGTGTCAGCTCGTAGGCAGGTTTGCTCAGAGACCCACTTACTACTGGACTCAAGTGTAACTTCAAAGACCATCTGGACCTTGTGGGGGTGCAGGAAGGAAGCTGGCTTTGCTCGACTGGCACCATGGCATCAGCTGGCCCTGTTAAGTGGCCTTCGAGGACCTCCCTCCCCTGTCCCCCCATGATGAGTGAGAAGGACTCTGCCCACTGGGCTGTAAAGAGCCTCACAAAGTCAGCTCAGGCAAGACTCCCTACTTGCCGAGGAGGAAAACAGAGAGATGGGGAGGGCTTGGGATTCCGGAGCTTATGGACCCAGTGGGTGTTTCAATTCAATTCCAGGCCTCTTGGATGCAAAGGGGCAAAGCTCTTGTTGTGAGTTGAGACACAGCCCCTACCCTCTTAGACTGGGGATTTTCTGGGAGCAGGGCTGTGTTCCCTCATCAGATTGGCCCTGGGGGTGCAGGTAGGGGTAGAGGGTACCTCAGTTAGCTGTGACTTACTCCCACAATCAGAGTAAGACTGCAGTGTCTGCAGAAGGAGGAAATCTCTAACTCGTGATGCACAGGATCTGAGAGTGATTCATTACCAATGAGATAATATGGGGAGAGGAGGGGACATTTTTAACTTTCCTGAGAAGCTGTGGACCCCTGAGAAGATCTCTTGGTTTTCCTCCCTATCTTCTTCATCTCCTCACCACTGCTAGTCCTAACAGAGAGAGGAGAGCCAGGGATGGGGTGGCATCAGAGTAGGGCTGGGAGTGTAGCTGAGGTGTGGGGAGTCGGCCTGCTCCAGGGACTCCCTCCTGTTCTTTCAATCCCCTGTTCTGCATCCCTCAGCTGGCCCCTCTGGCCTCTCTGCAGCCTTGTCTTGCCCAGTGAGACACTAGCTGGGTACCTCCCTCCCTCCAGCTGCCCACTGCCAGGTACAGAGGATAAAAATACCCAGTGGAAAAACACGTGGCTCCAGGTCAAACATTAACCTGCAGGGCCTGGTGTGCCAGCCACGGTGTCCCTTCCCAGGCCACCTGGCCACCAACATGTGGCTGGTAGCAGTGTCCTCTCCCTCTGACCATCACTGAAATTCTCAGACACTTACCCACATGCTTCCTGCAGGAATTCTTCAGAAAGCAAACAGGCACCCACCTGAGGACCCCAGCCCCAAGGACCTAGGCCAGCCAGCCCTTCCAGACTGCCAGCTGCAGGGATGCTCCTCTCTCCTGCTCAGCCTGGGGTCTTCCCTGAAGCTCTCTGGGGTTCCAAGTCACCCCAGCTCCCAGCTGAAAACAGCCCCTCTGACCCTCTGGGGGAGGAGCCCAGCTCAGAAATCCTTAGTTCCTCAGGTTTCCCTTCTACTGCAAAGCTGAGCTCACTTAGAGCCAGAAGGACGGAAGACAGAGGGAAGGGAGCGGGGAGAGGAGGGGGTCTGGCCAATGCTGGCATCCACCTCTTAGCACGCTGGGAGGACACCTGGAGGAGGTACTGGGGAGAGGCGGGCTGGTGAGAAGTTCCAGCCCTGCCCCTAACTTGCCCTACATGCCCAGCTCTGTTGTTCTCTGGGCTGTGAGTCCAGACAGGTGGATGTTCCTCCCGTGGGCCTGGATGGCTCTACGCACACACCTCAGGCCCACCAGGTACTACCAGGCAGGGCCTGCTGGAGGCCACCCCCACAGCTGCCTGAGGCACAGAGCTGGGACAGCCTGACCCTTGGCCCCGACTCATCACACACTTCTGGGGTCCAATGCCCAGTGGTTCTAGGAAATGCCTACACTGCAGCTTTGAGCCTGGGCCAAATGCCCCATTTTCTGTCAAGGAAGCTTGACGGTGCGCGGTGAAGAGAGTACAGTCCATCTGGCCACAGCATGCTGCCCATCATTCTGGCCGCCTGAGGGTCGATGGGCCCTGCATGGAGCATGGAGCCTAGGAGGGGTTTTGGGGGCCCTGGGGTGTCTCTGGGGTCAGGAAGCACTTTGATATCTATGGCAGCATCACAGAGGCATGGCAGAGAGTATGTAAATATTAACTTTGAAGGGGAAGCAGAGGGTTTGAGCAGAGGTCAGCAAGGGCCTCGCAAGAGCGAGTCCTGCCCTGGGTCAAGAGTCCAGCACTGGACAGAGAGTTAAGAGGCCTGGAGCCTGACCTCTGAGAAACAGTGAGGTTCCCCCAGGCACAGGGATTCTCACCCAGGACTGTTCCCCAGGTTCCTTGAGACATTTCCCATCAGGGCGATGGTCACCATGTCAGGATAGGGCTCTGGGGACAGCTCCTGAAGGTCTGGCCCTGATGCTGAGCAAATCGGGGCACACAAGAAGCGCCATGGGCCTTGGAAGCCTTTGGTTTGGAGCCAAGTTCTGCCATTTAAGAAGCCACAGAGTCTTGCATGAGTTACTAAGCCTCTCTGAACCTCAGTTAACTTATCTATAAAATGGGGACAAGAGTGTCCAGCTCTCAAGGTGTTCCAAAGAACGCCTTGTTAAGTTAGCTGATCTTTATGTCGTGCCTGGAACAGAGAATTTATTATACAGGTGCTTGCTCTGGTCGTTTTTTTCTCTCCATTCTGGGCCTCAGTTTCCTCATCTGTAAAATGGGAATAAGGAGGCCCAGCTCACAGGACTAAATGAACTGGTCTTTACGTTGTTATTGCACATGGACCTTGTTCTGTAACTATTAGCATGGTTATCATCTGCTCTCCTCAGTTCCCTCACCTGGATTTGGTCATCTCTTAGGACCTCAGCTGGAGATCAGGGCCCTCAGCACCTGCTCCCTCAACACAAGCACACACCCTGCTCTTCCCCCTCCCTGCCTAGGCCAGAACTGCATCATATCTCCCTCATTATCATCCTGACATTTGCTTTGGCTGTGAAGCAATTACCTGCTGAATTGAACAAAGGCGGAGGAGGGAGGCAGATCATAGGATGGCCAGAAGTCGGGCTTTGGAGAGAGCCACAGGCAGAGGTGTTAGTCCATGCCCTGACCTCAGATCCCAGAAACAAAGCTGATGATGCAGGGAGGTGGGTGTGAGGTGGGGGTCAAGATTCAATTCCCCTAGCTGAGGAGCCGGAGCTGGGGGAGGGGGGATGTTTGCATCTGGATGCCATCTGGATGAGGGCAAACACCGAGGGGCCACTCAAGGAAATGCCTGAGCGGCAAATCAAATCCTGCAAAGAAATCACCAAGCCCTTGAAACGAAAGTCTGAAGGAGAGGAATGTGTCTGGGGAGTGTTGGGGGTGGTGGGGAGACCAAGCTGGGAGGAAGGCCAAGGAGGGAAAAGAAGGGACAATCCAGGGGGCCTCTGCAGGGGGCTCCCTAAACTGGTGGTCCCTCACCCCCAGCAGATGACGAAGCTAAGAACCTCTGGGCTGGAAGTGATGCAGGCAGGGTCCTCAAACGTGAAGAGGGTCTGCATTACCTCTGAATTCTGGGGCTGGCTCCCTGTACCCCCCACCACTTGTCAGACCCCATTCCCTAGAGTGCTGCCGATGTAGCTCCTACTGTGTGCACAGCCCCGGGCTGAGATTCCCAGATGCTCAGAGGTGTGGAGCAGCAGGCTGCGGAGGCTTTGAAATCCCTTCTCTCCTTAAACTGGTGTTTACAAACATTAACTTTTTTGGTCAAGCCATTTTCTCATCTCTTAAAGGGCATAATCTGGCAGCTTTTGGGGCCTCCCTGGGAGTGTAGCCAGTGGTTAACCCTAGGTGGGACTCCAGAGAAAGGGAGGGGTTTGGGGGTCTCTCAAGCCTCCATGGGCTGGGGACTACTTACTTGAATTTTTAGGCAACCTCCCTTGGCTCACCCTGCTGATGTAATGAGGACAGGCTGACCTGGTCCTGTACCGGCCCTGTTCAAGGAAGGCACTTTATGATGCAACTCCAAGGAAACAGTAAAGAAACACACTCACTCCAAGTCACCAGACACATACAGAACCTGGAGAGGCCAATGGCCTTCTTCCATCACTCCCCATATAAACCAGGCCAGGCAGGCATACGTGATTGTGTGCACACACATGCAGATGTGGGCATGTTTCTTCGTGCACATAATGTGGATGTGTTTGTGCAAGTTTTTGCATCTGTGGATGTGCACATATGCTTGCATATGTTTGCACTGTAGGTTTTTGTATATTTGTGCATTCATTTGTATGTTTTGTGCAAATGTGTTTGCATGCTTTCATATGTGAAAAATATGTGCATGTGCTTTGTGCAGCAGTGTTTGTGTATGTTATGCAAATAGGATGTGTATATTTATGTGTATATAGGTATATATTTACATATTTGTGTGTGTTTTCATCTGTACAATATGTGTATGTCTCTGTGTGAATATATAGTATACACATGTTTGTGTTTGTAATAAGGTGTTTGTATAATATGCTTCTGTGTTAATATATGTTTGTGGGTTTAATACATCTGTGTATAACTGGTATGTGTGTATATTATGTGAGTATGTATGTGTACCTGCGTTATGTGTATATGAAATGCAATTGTGTCTATATGTATGTGTATATAATGTGTCCATGTGAAAATGCATGCACATAATTAGCATATGTAAATAATGTGTATATATGTTTGTATATTTGTGTATGTAATGTGCATGGTGTGTATATGCCTGTGCCTGTAGGAAGAAGTTCAATGCATTAGGAACATCCCTGGACTTGCAGGTGAAGGAGGGAGTTCAAACCCCAGTTCCCCAGTCATGAGGCCTTACGGCACTGATTTGGCTTTCCTGAGCCTCTGCAGGCCCAGCTGTACCTGAACCAGTACTGTTCCCTGTCCTGCCTCCTACCCACAAGGCCCCGGGGTGGAGAGCATGAGGACAAGTAGACAGTCCAGGGCAGGAACGTCCTGGCAAGCACAAGAGGGCCTGCTGGATCCAGTCCTGCTTCCAGGGCTGCAGAGGAGAAGGACACAGGGCTAGCTTACAGCCTAGGCGCAGAGAAAAGACTGAACCCGGAAAATAGTGAGAGGGTGAGAAAGGGCCCAGAGGAGACTGATATGAAGATGTGCTCCCAGAGGCCACGTGAGGCCAGGCAGGCACAATCCCTACAGTGGGAAGAGCCTGGGTTCAAATCTCAGCTCTGCCAAATACTTGCTCTGGGATTGCGAGCAAGTCACTTAACCTCTCTGTGCCTCAGTTTATTCATCTATAAAGTGAGATCATAATAGTGTACACCTCAGAGGGTATTATAAGGACTAAAATGTGTTACTACAATGAAAGGACTTAGAATAGTGCCTGGCACCCAGGAAGTGCTCAAAAGGCATTAGTGGTTATTATCAGAAACTGAGAAGCCATTGAATTCGCTCTAAGTGCATGACAATTAAATGAATAATAAAAAAGACCATCAGCAACTTCAGGGAGGAAAACAAGTTGTTCAAAGGAAAAACACAACAATCATAGATTACTAAATGGCTCAACCCTGGATGTCAATGCTTTTACGAGGTCGTGTTCCATCCCCATCTAACCAGTATGACATAGGTGTTATGGGTGGGGGCTGGGATGCATAACAGTTGTGGGCAGGGGCAGCATGGGATAGAGCCATTCCAGAAGAATCTGTCAGTGAAAGAGAATGTGGTCCCTCTGCTCAGTGAGGATGCTTTGTTTGTAAGGAACTTCATAGATCTATGTGACTCTTTATGTGCATGAACAACTATGATAAAGGCTGAAAAAAAACAAAACTAAATCCAGTTATCTCTTTTGAGATGGAGTTTCACTCTGTCACCCAGGCTGGAGTGCAGTGCTCGATGTCGGCTCACTGCAACCTCTGCCTCCCAGGTTCAAGGGATTTTCTTGCCTCAGCCTCCTGAGTAGCTGGGATTACAGGAGCGCACAACCATGCCTGGCTAATTTTTGTATTTTTAGTAGAAACGAGGTTTCACCATGTTGGCCAGGCTCGTCTCAAACTCCTGACCTCAGGTGATCCGCTCGCCTCGGCCTTCCAAAGTGCTGGGATTACAGGTTTGAGCCACCGCGCCCGGCCCTAAATCCATTTAAATACATCAAGTAGAAAACTGTGCCTTGTGGTCAAAGTGTAGCTGAGCTTTAAGTATTGAACAGGGCGATGTTGGGTATCTGTCTCAGCAGAAGGTGAGACACACCAGCGTAGGGCCTCCCGGAATGAGGGTGCCTGGGGAGTGGTACTTCTCCCACCCCGCCCCAACCCAGGAAAGACTGTAAGCTAGAGCAAGGGAGTGTCCCTGTCACTCAGCTCTGGTTTTTCAAAGAAGATGGACTAGGGATGCTAGTACTTTAACTGCCCTGACCACCTCTCCTCTCACTCTGCACTGGCTACACTGTCATCAATTTAAATGAATGAGTAAGACATAATAATATTAACAAAAACATATATGCAGTTTGAGATGTACTGTTAGAGCCTTTTAAATGTTTTAGCTCATTTAATCCTCATACCAATCTTTACAATAGTCTGTTCTGATTTCCATATTAAAGATGGGGAAATGAGGCTCAGAGAGGTTAAGTAACACTCCCAAGGCCACACAGCAGAGCCAGGGCTGGGACTCAGGCAGTCTGACCCTAGACCACTGACAATTAACCACTAATTATTAAAGAAGGTCCAAAGAAGCAGCTCAGAGAGGGGGTATAAGGAAGGAAAGGGTAGATGGGCAGCACCTCGGAAGCAGCTAGTAGCCAGGCCACACTAGATGACCTTGATGGACATGGCCGGGGAGAGGCTGGGTTCCCATGGGAGGCAGGGATTATCAGGTCAGGCATCCCTGCCAGGGCCCTAGCAACGGAGTCCTGTTTGGACAGCCTGTGCAGAGCCAGATGGTTGGCAGAGCAAGGCAGGGCCACAGCCTAGAGACCTTCAGAATCTGGGCTGCTGACTTCAGCCCCCAAATCAGTCCAGAAACCCAGGCCTAGTCCCCACTGCCCAGTCAGGCCCTCGGCCATCCCCTCTGTGTACCTGCCTGTCTGCACTTCTTTCAGTCACTCAGCTACTCTACAAATGCTCACTGAGGGCTCAAGGTGTGGAAAGTGGGTTCTAGATCCAGAAAGCCGGAGTTTGAATCCTGTCACCTCCTAGTTGTGTGACTCTGCATGAGTTAGCCAGCTGCCCTCTGCCTCAGTTTCCTCTCTACAAATGTTCGTAATAGCATATGGCTCCCATAGAGTTGTGAGAATTAAATGAGTTAATAACACTAACATGCTTAGTATAGTGCCTTGCCCAACACATGTGCCCAATTAATCTAGCTACTGTTATGTCCCTCTGTTAATATCTTTGCAGATACTAAGAATAGCAGTGTTGCACTTGAGCCTCACAGACCTAATCTCTAGTAATGATAATAAGAGGAGTAAGAGCTTGTCTCTCAGCCCTTACGGGATTTTCAGTCTATTAAGGGGAACTTGGACAGATAAATACCAACTAAACTAAGACACAGCTGAGTTAATTGTGCCTGACAGTGTGGCACCTAACCATGGTCCATGGAAAACTAGCCCATTTGTAATGAGCTGGGGAGAGCCAGAGGGATTGCTCTCGCTCCTCCAGCTTCCATCAGGGAGAGCAAAGCATGACTCCCCTAAAGACGGGGTGGGGTGTCAGAAGGGGGCTCTGAGGGAGGCTGTGGGAGGAGGCACCGAGAAGCAGGGGTGGTAGCTCTTCCAGCTGGCAAGCCCTGCTGGAGCCGAGGCCTGCAGACACACCATGCATGCTGTTCTTCCACCTGTCCTGTATCATTCAGGCTGGGTCTAGACATTCTCAAATCCACCTGCAGTGAGAACCCTTGCCCACCAACTGGCCAAGGAGACTTTCTAGCCCTTAAAGTGATGTTCTCTCCTGGATATGAATGACGTGCCTTCTGATTGCAATTGGCTTCCTTCCTATGGTCCCACTTCTCGGCAGGGAGGGGCATGTTGACAGTATCGATGGGCACAGGCCTGGCCTGGCTGGCAGGCTGGCCGCTCCTTCATAATGAATACCTAGGCAGTCTAGGGTCTTCCTCAGGCCATGATCCCTCAGGCAGTGTGAAGAAGGAGGGCCTGCCCCCCGCCTCCCACACACTGCCAAATGCACCAGTAGATCCTCACCAGCAGCCTGAGGCAAAAAGATGTGGCTCACACTCTGTCTGCCAGGCTTCCTTCTGCCCCATCCCCATGCTGTGATCCATTCTATGAAGATTTATTGAGCATCTGTTTTGCACCAGGCACCATCCTCAACCATCCTGTGAGGTAAGAGTCACCCCCATCTTATAGATGAGGAAACTGGGGCTTTGAGAGGTTAGAAAGATTAGAGCTAGAAAGATGCAGAGTAGGGGCCGGGCGCAGTGGTTCTCGCCTGTAATCCCAGCACTTTGGGAGGCCGAGGCGGGCAGATCACCTGAGGTCAAGGAGATCGAGACCAGCCTGGCCAATATGGTGAATCCCCATCTCTACTAAAAATACAAAAATTAGCCAGGCAGGGTGGCATGCACCTGCAATCCCAGCTACTCAGGAGGCTGTGCAGGAGAATTGCTTGAACCCAGGAGGTGGAGGTTGCAGTAAGCTGAGATAGCACCACTGCACTCCAGCCTGGGCAACAAAGTGAGACTCAGTCTCAAAGGAAAAAAAAAAAGAAAGAAAGATGCAGAATAAGGATTGGAAGCCAAGTTGTCTAACTCCAGAGCCTAGAACATTGATTATGACCCCTTATTAGTCTCCCCACTGAGATTCTAATGACAGTCATGATCATCATGAATATTCACCGTGCACATCCTAAGTGCCAGGCATTACTCAAAGAGCTTCACATGTCTCAACTCCTTCCATCCTCACATCACAGAGATTAAAAACTTGCCCTAGGTCAAGCAGTTAAGTGTAGCAAGCTGGGCTTTGAACCCAGGGAGTCGCTCCAGAATTTCTCATGCTCACCACCACTCTACTGACTCCCTGATAGACACTAACATCTCAACACAGAGAAATGCTGTGGAGACATATTATGATGTAAAAAAAGCCAAGGAGCAGAACAATGTGGTTAGGAGGTCACCATTGATATGAGAGAAAAATAATCACACAGACCTGGCTGACCTTGGGGGCTGAGGGCTCTGGGGCTTGAGGGTAGGGGCTGAGGAGTGGCAGATCCAGGCATGTGGTGGCAAGGCCTGAGCATGGGGATGGCCTCTAAGCTGTTGCAGGTCCACAGGACACAGAGGCTGAGTCCTTGGGTAGTGCTGGCTCATTGGCAGGTATGGGGCTCAAGAAATCTGGCTGGAAAAAGTCCCTGCGGAAACATTGAAGAGATGGCCCCATAGCCACCTAAGGCAGCCGTCAGTCCCTCCCAGAGCTGGCAGCACAGAGCTCTGGACCAGCCAGGGGCTAGGGGCAGAGGGGAAATGACAGGTGAGATGAGGCTGGGTCCTGGCCACTAGCAGCAGGGGACAGAGGGCACCAGTGCCCACCTAGGATGTTTATTGGGTCCCAAAACCCAACTCTGGTGATTTGGATTTATAAGGAGATCTGGCAGTGGAGTCCTGGAGCTATATTCTTTTTTGATTTTTAAATTATTTTCTAATAATTTTGAAAAGGTGAAAAGAAAGAGAGAGAGAAGGAAGGAAGAGAGAGAAAGAAGGAAGGAGGAAGGGAAGGAGGGGAGGAAAAAAGGAAGGAAGGAAAAAGAAAGAAAGAAAGAAAGAAAGAAAGAAAGAAAGAAAGAAAGAAAGAAAGAAAGAAAGAAAAGAAAGAAAGAAAGAAGAGAAAGAAAGAAAAGAAAGAAAGAAGAGAAAGAAGAGAAAGAAAGAAAGAAGAAAGAAAAAGGAAGAAAGAAAAAGAAAGAAAGAAAGAGAAAGAGACGGAAAGAAAGAAAGAGAGGGAGGGAGGAAGGAAGGAAGGAAGGAAGGAAGGAAGGAAGGAAGGAAGGAAAGGAAGGAATCCAAT
Organism: Homo sapiens; assembly: GCF_000001405.40. Taxonomy (NCBI): domain Eukaryota; kingdom Metazoa; phylum Chordata; class Mammalia; order Primates; family Hominidae; genus Homo; species Homo sapiens. The sequence goes on along the minus strand of NC_000006.12, from coordinate 43,904,903 downwards.
AAGTACTGGAGAATATAGTAAAAAGCAAGTCTCCCTCCCACTCCTGTGTCCCCTCCCGTAGACCATCCCCTGAGGCCAGCGGTGGCCAGTGACTCACCTTCTTCCTGGAGATGTTCTAGGCATATACGAGCACCATATTGTTGTGCAGAGAGCTGCCTTATTCTTTCTCTGGCTTTGTTGTAAAGAAGATGTATTTTTAAAAAGCTTCTCAGCAAATTTGGATAAAAAGCTAATTTGGGGAAGAACTGACTGAGCAAACTTCTTTGGAGCTGACAACTCTATCTAGATTCAAATTTTGACTGTGACATTTATGAGTTTAGTGACCTTGGACAAGATCCATGACCTCTTCAACCTCCAAGCCTTAGTTTTCCTATCCATAGAGGGAGGATAACCGTGGTAGAGTTTTAATGATGATTAGAAATAATTTATGGCCAGTGCCTGGTGCATACTAGGAGATAATAATAATGGGTGGGGGGGGGGTGTGATACATTTACATGCTATGCAGTGACATAAGAATAATCACAAAGAAAGTTTCAGCAAACACAAAGGGTTCCAAGGTGGGCCGTGCTGCAAGATGAATCCTTTCAGCTGAGGTGGAGGAAGAATCTGTAGAAGAACAAGAAAGAAGGAGATGTCCTTCTGGGCAGCGAGCCCCCATCCCCAAAGTCTGTAAGTGACACCAGAGGACACTCTGTCAGGGATTCTGCACAAGAGATGTGGCGGGCCAGATGAGATGCCTTCCAGGCACTTCCCAGCTCTGGGAGACTGTGCATAGCCATACACTCAGAATGCTGAGAGGTAACTTTCCGGGTAGAACTGACAAGCCTGAGGTGTACCTGTTTGTAGGATAATCTACTGTTGGTCTGGATGGCAGATGTCACTAAGTCAAGGGCTGGCAGGGCCAGTGTTGCCAGGAAACCGCAGCCCCAGGCTGACCGGGGCCACTGCCATGAGTGCTTCAATCAGGCCCAGTGCTCTGCCTTCAATCAGGCCCAGGCTCCCTGTTTGTTCGCAGGAGCCTGGTGGCTCCTGACTGATAGGGACTTGGGCTTCCCGTGCATGCTGTCTGGTCTTGGGCACACAGGAGCTAAAGAACTCTTTGTAGAATTACCTTCTGAATCACAAAACCTAGTTGGAAAAAAAATAATTCCATGAAATTCAGGAAAAGAGTTGGGAGAGGGGTTGAGTAAGAAGTGAGTTCAAATCCCAGCTCTGCAATTTCCTAGAGGTACAACTTCAGGGGCACTATGTAATTTTCCCTCCTTAGAGCCTTAGTTGCTTTTTTTCTTTCCCTTTTGAGACAGGGTCTTGCTCTGTCATCCAGGCTGGAATGCAGTGGCATGATCAGAGAGCTCACTGCAGCCTGGACCTTCTGGGCTCAAGTGATTCTCCCGTCTCAGCCTCCCAAGTAGCTGGGACTACAGGCATGCGGCACTGTGCCCAGCTAATTATTTTAATTTTATTTTTTGTAGAGACAAGGTCTCACTATGTTGCCCACACTGGTCTCAAACTTCTGGGCCCAAACGATCCCCCTGCCTCGGCCTCCCAAAGTGCTGGGATTACAGGTGTGAGCCACCACACCGGACACCTTCATTTCCTTGTTTGTGAAATAGGGCCTTCCTTCAAGAATTAAGTCATATAATGTCTGTTAAGAAACTAGCATAGGGCCTGCTACACAACAATAATAATCTAAATTTGTCATTTTTTTCCCTTCAAAATAGACAGCTGTTGGGATTCAATTGATTATATTTGCAAATGAATTTTATATGTACTGCTTTTGAGTAGTCACTGAAGTAGAAAAGCTTTATCAAGGAGATTTTTTGGTAGGAAGTGAGTTCTGAATGGGGGTTGAAAAGGACTCTAATTAATTCAGTAATTTTTTTATTGAACAACTACCATATGCCAGGCATGATCTTAGGCTCTGGAAATGAAGCAGTGTACAAAGTGGACCAGAATTCCTGCCCTCATGGAGTGTACCTTTTAGTGAACTGTCTTAGAACCAAAGCTGCCACTTTGGGAGGGGGACTTATCCAGACTCGAACAGCCCCTTTCCTACTCCTTCTCTGTTGATAGGATCAGACCAGGCTGCTTCCCCACCCCAGGAAAGAATAGCCTGGCTAGTACCATAGGTCACACTTCACTGATCCTAGGGCACCCAATCTGGGTCTGACCTGCAAGACTCACATGGAGTGAGGGGCTGGCAAGGGGCTCCAGGTCCTGCAGAACACTCATCCCACTCTGGTATCTGTCCACACCCAGAAAGTCTCCCTCCAGATGCTAGCCAGGGGCCCTTGGCCTTCTCTGGGTAAGTAATGGGGTAGGTGGAAAGGGTGAACCCTATTTCCCACAGTTCTGGCCTGTTTGGTAGCCCGGTCTCCAGAGTCCATAAGCTGTGTCTATGTTACAGCCTGATAGGTTCTTCTTGCCCACTGCCCTGAAAATACCAATGCACTGAGAACAGCAGGTGCTGCAGCAAAGAAGAATTGGATGATCCCATGGCCAGCCAAGCAGGACGGAAGAAATTTCTCAAATCCACTTCCCTGAGATTCAGAGGGTAGGGTCTTTAAGGGTTCTTTGGTGGGCAGGGGGCTGGGAAACTGAAACAATTCATTGGCTGGGGATGAAATCACAGTGTCTAAACTGTCTTCACACAGCTCAGTCAGTTCCCGGGAGGCAGTCTCAGGACCAGCTGACTTCTCTCGGTCTGTGGAAATGCTACATCTGAAAACCATATCAAAGACCCAGCGACTTCTGGCTGATAGGGGCTGGGACTCCCTGCCTGGCCTTGGGCACACACAGGAGCTAAACAACTCTTTGTGGAATTACCTTTTAGTTTCTTTATTCTTTAGGTTTCACAATAGCGATGTTATCTATAGAAGTAGTTGGGGAAGTTATAAATCTTGAAACCTCTAGTTATGTGACTCTGGGGCAGTCAACAAGCTAAGTGATATTAGCTTAGCTAACTTAGCTTAGCTTAAGTGACTAAGCTAAGTTATGGAAAAACAAGCTAAGTGATGGTTCAAGCCCCTACCATAATTCTAACTTCTTGACCTTTCATTAGCCTTTACAAATGTGGTTTCAATTTTTGAACAGGTAGGGGATCAGTTCACGGAAAGGACTATTATGGCCTCCACACAAGAATGAGCTAAAGCTGGTAGAAAACCTGGTAGAAACAAGATGGAGTCGGTTACATCAGATTTCCCTTACTAAAATTTTTGCAAAGGCAGTTTCATCTATTCCTCCCTCAGACTGGGGCTCCCTCGGGGCAGGGCCATGTCTCCTCCCTCAGACGGTCTCCCCTTCCTCTCGGCTCCTCTTGCAGGCCCTGGCCTCTGGGGAGAAGGGATGTTCTTACCAATTTCTGGAGTAACGGCCAGCCAATTAAGGTCTGAGCTGGCTGGAACCCAGCTCTCCTGATGCTTGGCCAGGAGTCTGTCCCCTACCCGGAACATCCTTAAACTCCTAATTATTGCCCTTGATCTATGAGCTCCGTGGTCAGCTCTGCCCCCTGTTTGTTCTCTGCTCCCTGTTTGTTCGCAAAAGTTTTGGGAGGCCTGGCCACCAAGCCACTGTCTCCCTAACTGAGGAAGAGGGCAGTCCGAGGGCTGATACTCCATATCTCACCCCTCCCTGGGAGCTATTAGGCAAGTGAGGTGTTTCCTTTTCTAAAGCCCTCGCTGTTTAGCTACAGGATTAGTTCTAGTCCATTTACTCACCAAGTTTGCTGGCCAAACACTGAGACCAGAAAAGCACATCTCCCTTGCATAATAAATGTTTAATAATGACAGTTGGATTTGGACAGAAAATGCCCTGGCTGGCAGGCCCGAAGCAACATTAGCTCCAGAGAGCGTTTAAAGTTCAGCTCCATTGCCCCCATCTACCTACACACCTGCTTCCAGGCACTGGAACATGCAGGCAGCCTTCCTACCTGCCTCCTTCCCACCTACCCACCCTGTGATGGCAGAGTCAGCGGGAGTTACCCCTTCCCCACCTGTCCCAGGGTCTACTGGGTTTCCGTGTGTGGCCTGTTTCCTTCCTCAACATCGGAGCTCCCCCAGGGCAGGGCTGTGTGTCCCCCTCAGACTGGGGCTCCCTGAGGACAGGGCTGTGTCTCCCCCAACACCCACTCCAGCCTGGGATCTCCCTTCTTCAGGCCTCCCTGCTCAGCTCAGCACAGAGCTTGTTCCATCAGAGGTTGTGGTGTGCCCAGGCTCCAGGATCATTTGTAAACAAAGGCCAGATTCTGTGTCGGTGCTGGCAGATGTTAAAGATAACCCCTCTCAGCCCTTTAGGAATTAGTCTAAAATACATGATTGTATTTCAGGAGCCTTAAGGGTGTTTCTGAAACCTTGGGGCCCAAGACAGTTATAACATATGTCCATTTTAGACTTTGGAAAATAGGGCGCTATAATTGGAAAAGCTAGTGCAGTGCTAAGTACAGGGAGCCGGTCTCTTTACATCTCAAATACCAGGTATTTAGGTGGCTTTCTTGGAACCTGGCATTAGGGACACGTGTGAACGGGCCAGGCTCATTTCTGAGGAGTGAGTGGGAGCGGCCAGTGAGGGTGCTCAGGTGGGGTGGGCAGCACCATCTCTGAGCCCTGAAGCTAATGCTCCTGCTCCTGGGACATGGACCCCAGACTCGCCCCCTTCGCCCTCTTCTCTTCTAATCTGGGCTTTCTCGGTCCCCAGGAGCACTTGGTAGACTCAAGGTTGGAAATTGTGCCCTAAACCGTGCCAGACCCTGGCTTTCTCCAAAGGTGGAAAATGGGAGCCCTACTATTTGCCGGAGTGTGGTTGCTATGCCTTGGGTACTGGCGCCAGACTGTCTGAGTTCCAATCTTACCATCCCCATTCAGGCAAGTTACCTAACCTTTCTGGGCCTCTATTTCCTCATCTATAAAATGGGATGAAAGTTATAATACCTACCTGCCAGGATTGTTGAGATGATTAATGCAATAATTTACATGAAGCATTTTGCACAGTGGCTGGCACATAGTAAGAACTCAATAAATGTTCACTACTATAATTATAATTTAAAGGAGTTAAAAATATTTACAAAGCCATCTTTCATTAAACCTAGGACTGTCTACTGGCCTTACCCTCCCTGGAGACCCCCTGCTCCCCTCTCACCTTGATCTCCTGCTCTGAACCAGATGAGTTACTTTTCACTCACCATTCAATCATTCATTCATTTGTTCATTCCCCCAACACATATTGCACACTTATTCGTGTGGGCACTGGGGATCCATCATTGACACAGTCAGACCGTGCCTCCAAACACTGCCCTCAACCCTTCTCTAAGGGACACGGGACCCCAGCGGCCTTATTATGAGAGAGAAGGTGTGGTCTACAGAACCCACAGCCATTCCGGGAGCTGAAAGTCAGAGTAATAAGCCAAGCTACCAACACCTGACAAGGGCTGAGAGAGGAAGAACATGTTTTGGAGGGAAAGGTGGCCAATCTGTAAGTATTTCCAGAGCATCAGTAATTACCCATGTGTTCTAGTGTCAAGGCACAAGTAAGACATGTTTGCTATTTTGGTGTGAAAAAGGTACAATGGACTTGAGTTTTTCAGACGGTGCAAAGGGCCCTGGACCATCCACATATGTTCTGGTTATCTAGCGCACAACAATTATTGATTTGATCACAATCCTGTAGTTTGGACAGGGTGTGACAAGAACAGCTTGTCTCCGTTTCCCAAGGCCTCAGATGGGAGGATCCACTTCCAAAATGGTTTCATTCACGTTCTGGCTATTGGCTGGAGCTGAAGCCAGGGCCTCAGTTCTCCTCCACATGGCCTCTCCTTGTGCCTAGGTTGGGCTTCTCAAGATTGACACTTGAGTTTAGAGTAGGAACATCCCGAAAGTGAGTATTCCATGCGGTAAAGCCCCACTGTGCAAGTGCTTACCAAATCCCTGCTGGTATCATGCTTGCTCATGTCCCATTGGCCCAAGAAAGTCACATGGCCAAGTCCAGAGTTACTGTGGGAGGGAAGTACACAAGGGTGTGAATATTGGGAGGGATGATCTATTGGGAACCACCAAAGTCTACCAAAATAGGGGTGTCCCCAGCCCCCCCACCAATAACCAGACATATCCATATAGGCCCAGGTATGGCCATTCCATCGAGAGACATACCGTGATGGGTATGTAGAGTCAAGCTGCTGGGACAAATCAACCCTAAAATACAGAAGCTTAAACAGGATAGAAGTCACTCTCTCACACACATAAAGATTCAAGTAGGTAGTCCAGGGATGATACAGTGACTTAATGGTGTTGGGGATCCAGGTTCCTTCAATCTTGTTGCCCTGCCTTCCTCAATGTGCAGTTTTCATCATGTAGTCCAAAATGACTGCTACAGCTCCTGCCATCACATTTGCATTCCAGCCAGAGGGAAGAGGGAAAGATGAAAGGGAATGCTCCCTCCTTGCCATCCCATTGGCCAGGATCTAGTCACAAGCTAGATCTAAATACAAGGGAAGCAGGAAAATATAGTCCTTAGTGGACAGCTTTGTGTCCAACTAAAACTTTCATTCATATATTAATAGAAGAGGAGAAGAACAGATACAAAGCAACAAATGATGGTCTCAGCCACAGGAAACAAATGTCCAACCCCAGGATATTTTGTCTGCTAATCTTGAGAGTTAGGAGGGACCATATTTCTCACATCAAGAGTAAAGATTTTTAAAGCAGTGTGAAACTGTGGCTCATGATATGAGGAGATGGGGCCCTGGTGAGTGATAATTGGCCCGTGCTTTGCACAGTCAGGAGCTAGGGAGCCAGCTTCCTTCCTAGGGAGCCAGCAGAGAGGAGCACTATTTCCCACCTCTTCTATCAGTCTCATTGGCAGCTCCCATGGGCAGCTCCTGATTATCTCTAGGGCCTGGCAGAGAAGGGTCCCCTGAGAAGCCACCCACAGTTCCAAAGAAGAGTCCATGAACTAACCACCATGACCCAAAACACTAGTCATTTCCTGGCTCCCAGGGGCTGTGATGGAGCTCTGGATTTCAGAGGCCAAGGTCATGGATGGGATCCCACAAGTCAACCTGAATCCCTGGCTTCAGAGAGCACCACTCACTACCCCTCTCTCCCCAGCCCCCACAACTGGGAACAGCTGGCCCCTGAGCGGGTAGCTCAGTGCAAAGCTATCTGGCTGCTGAATGAAGGCTGACCTCATAGCTGCCTGCCATCCCTGCCCATAGGAGCTTTTCCTGCCTCAGTTCTGGCTGCCCTAAACACCTGTCTCTCCCTGGGCCCAGAGCCTTCACTGTCTCTGTCAGCTGCATAGGACTTTGTAGCATGTCACCTCCTGGACTTCACATTCCTTCATGGAAGGCTCCAAACTTCAGTGCTAAAGTAATGGGCACTTTGTTACTTATGGGGTCTAGGGATAGAAGATGGGAGAGGATCTTTAGCCTTCTATAAGTAAGGGGACGACACATTTTCACAAAGAGAGATGTAGGTATAGAAGTTTTGTTTCTGGGGACTTGGAAGCAAAGGTGTGCACACAGTCAGCCCAGAATTGGGACAACAAAAAAGCCTCAGACCAACAAAGACATGGGATGCAGCTCAAGAATGAGTCCCACAATATGAGCAGCAAATCAGGGTCCCTGAAAACTCTTCTAGGTTGATTCATTCATTCAGAAGGGGCCAGGCAGGAGAGGGCAAACTCAGAGATTCTCTGGCTGGAGAAGTCGCTGCTAATGACTGTCTAGTTCAAGCAACATGCCAGGTTGTGATGGAGAAGAAGCAGGCTCTTAGAAACACTGATTAGGAAGCCCGTCAAAGCCTGCTAGGCATTAGGGACAAAGAAAAAGCCATTTAGTGAGACATCATCCTCACTCCGCCTGCAGCCCCTCTCCGCATACTGTTGTTCTGTCTGGCATTAATATCTGTAAGATATACAGCATGACCAAGATGGGCAAAGAGGCAGACAATGCACACATAAAGAAAGGAACACAGAAACACATTCAGCCTCACAAATAATCAAAGAAAGGCAAATGCAAATAGGCGGCGCTTGATCTTAGCCAAAAGGCTGAGACACAATGAAATGCTAAGAAGTTAGATTTATACCAGTTACATTACTTTTTAATATTTTCCAGCAAAGTCCAATGCTGGCACATCAAAACAGTTCCTCCACCGGCCCTCTTGGCCCAGCATCCTCTTCTGGCATTCCTTGCCCGACCTCATCCCCTATCACAGCTGATTGGGCCTGGACTTCTAGGGTTCCAAGACATAGGAGGGGCTGAGCCAATCAGATTCTCCCTCTTCAAAATTTGAACTCAGAGACCCAGAAATGATGGGCTGGCCTGTTGTGGGTGGATGTGGCATCTCCATATTCCCGGGGAGACTGGTATAGGTCGTGAGCACATGTTTAAAGAGAGAGAGAGGTCAGTCACGTGGGACTTGTTCCCATCAGTTACTGACTGTGCATCTTTGAACAAGTGACTTAGTTTTTCCATATTTTAGTTTCTTCATCAGTAAAATGGTGATAATTATAATTCCTACCCCAGAGGCTAGTTGTGAAAATTAAGATAATCAATGTGAGCAATTGGCATGGTGCCTAGGACAAAGCAAGCCCTCAGAAAATGTGAGCAGTTATATGCTCCGAACTGATAGCTCTGCTAGGTCAAAAATAAATAAAGATAGAGAAAGAGAGATGGAGCAGAGAAAGCAGAGAAGCTGAAACAAAGCAGACCCCTGGGAGCTTGAGGCAGCTGTTTGAGCTCTGGTTGGCTCTCAGTTCCGATTTCCCTGAAGCCTGACTGTACTTGGCTCCCAGTGTGGATGTATCCTCACATTAAACCCTCCTTCATTTACTTTTGGAAAGCAACTTGGCAAACCACATCAAACAGCATAAAAACAGCCTTACCCCCCGACCTGGCCACTTATCTTACAGAAATAATTAATAAGAAGGAAAAAGCCACATGCACAAAGATGTCCATGACCGCCTTATTTATAATAATGACAAACTGGAAGTCATCAAAAGCCCAACAACCAGGGAATAGAAAAGTCTTGGATGGAATACTATGCAGCCATTAAGAATGACAAACATGAAGACCACATAGCAACATAAAAATGTTTATAAAATAAGTTTAAAAGAACAGAACACAAAATTGTGACAGATTTAGATTACGTTTGGTTAAAAAAACAAAACAAAAAAAAAACCAGTGTGTGTTGGCAGGGGGTGGGGTGCTGGCTAGGATTGCTGAAAATGACTAAAACAAGCTTATTCTTGGGCTGTCTTCCCTACCAGGCTCTCTAGAGGAAGGGGATCCCCTTCCCAGGCACCCCAGTCCCAGAAAGGAGAAGGATAAATGCTCTTCAGACTCCCTGTCCCCACACCCCCCTCCTTGACAGCCCCAACTCACCCTCTCTGGGGAGAGGATGCTCAGGCTTGGGCTGCTGGTATTTTTAGCCAGACCTCTTGCAATCCAGTGTTCTTGGGTAAAAATAGCTGGGGTGGAGGGCACAGCACTAACTTTGCTGCTTTCTGCCCCCGCCCTCTGGACCCAGGCGCCTCCTGGTCTTGGAGCCACAGCTTTCCGCTATTTGACTCTGGCTCTATCCCATCTCCAAGGCCTCGGTGGCCAGCAAGGAATGTTCTGGTCTGGTTCATCTTGGAGCCTTGGAGCTCATGGGGACCAAGCATTCCATTTTATAGATAAGGAAACTGAGGCTCTGGCAGAAGAAACACATCAAGAAGTGGCCAGGCACAGTGGCTCACACCTGTAATCCCAGCACTTTGGGAGGCCGAGACGGGCGGATCACAAGGTCAGGAGATCAAGACCATCCTGGCTAACATGGTGAAACCCCATCTCTACTAAAAATACAAAAAAATTAGCCGGGCGTGGTGGCGGGCGCCTGTAGTCCCAGCTACTCAGGAGGCTGAGGCAGGAGAATGGCGTGAACCCAGGAGGCGGAGCTTGCAGTGAGCTGAGATCTCGCCACTGCACTCCAGCCTGGGTGACAGAGCAAGACTCTGTCTCAAAAAAAAAAAAAAAAAAGAAGTAGGTGGCCAAAGTAGGCTCCTCCTCACCCACACCCCTCCTTCTAGCCCCACTCTTCCCTGGCCTGACCCCTCTCCCTCCTCTCACTCACAGGAGGGAAGAAGGTCCAAGCGGTAGCTTCAGCACATCAGCAGGGGGCGGGATGGGGAGCACTGGACTGGAGATGTGCATTCGACTCTTAGCCCTATCATTTGTCAGCTGTGGGGTTTGGGGCAGGTCACTTTCCACCCTGAACTGCAATTTCTACATCCGTGAAATGAAGGAGCTGGACAAGACCAGCTCCAGTGACTTTTTGAATCAATGAGCTATATCCTCCAACCCAGGCTGGAGGCCAGACTTGCCAGCTTTTCTCACCTTTACCATATCAGTCCCACCATCCTCCCGGGAACCTGCCAGAAGCTGTGAATTCTGCTACCCAAGTACATAGTCCACCTCAAGGATTATCTGTGGCTGACACTGCCTCTCAGTCAAGCTTCCCTCAGCTCCAGGCATGCATCTGAGCACCCTCCATCGGTTGGGGTACAACCTTAAGGCATGCATACTAATTTTAACACTAGCTGAAGCCAATCTAATTAGGGAGGTAACTATGCGGGCAAAAATAAATCCTATAAGTGTAGTTTAAGGCAAAATACATAAGACTTGAAGCCCATTGCCTGCTAGAAGCCTGGTGCTCCCTGCCACTCCTGCAGAGCATAAACAGTTATCCTGACAAGAAAGAACCTGAATGCACCCACTACTCCAGAGACTATTCCAATTTTATGTGCCTTCCCTGTGGCCCAATTCTGTTCCCCTCCTGGACATAGTGTATACACCTGCCCATAGCATATATGGATGTCATGTATGGCCTTGGACCAGTGATTTCAGTTCACAGGCCTCATCTCCTGATTCAGCTGGAAGCCCTGTCTCCTCCCCAGCTCACAACCCATATAGGAGGGCAAAAAGTTAATCTCAGGTGAGAAATCACAATTCCTGGAACTGAGAGAGAAGCTGAGCCTATGGGACTGGATTGGCAAACAAGCCACTTCCCCCTGGGCCCAGCATTCTGGTTCTTCTGGGACACGTATGTGAATGTGTGTGTCTGGAGCCCACATGTGCCACAGAAGAGTCCCATGACTCCTCTGTGTTCTCGGTGTGGGGACCCAAACCCTCGGAGGTCTGTGATGATAGTAAGGACAGCCCTTGAACTCTTTCCCATATTTCAAACATTTACCCGGAAAACCTACCTGTTCCCTCATTTAGTTGCAGCCTCTAACTCAAATGTCAAACCTCTGGCCTTAGCTGGTATTTTCTCAGTGCAATACACTGGAAACACTGATTATCTCAGGAACAGTCATCCCTCATTAATAAAATGGGGAAATAGATCAGTGCTTAATAAACGTGGGGTATTTGGTAGACAAAACACAGAACTCAGGCAAGGACACTAATCCTGGAAGTCCTGGGGCTGAGTGGGGTGGAAGCCCCAGACCAAGGACTCTGGAGGATTCTGACTCAGAACTCAGTCTTGGAAGCTGAGGTGCCTGAACAGAGGTCCGCACCTTGCCGTCAGTCTGGAGACCACATGAGACACTCTTTGTTGTCTAAAACAAAGGCGACGCTGGGCCTGGGTGGCCTATGGGGAGCTCCCATGGAACCAGCTGCTGTCCTTGCCTTTTGCTGCTCTCCATTCCTGGAAGCCAAAGGCAGAGCCATGCACTCAGCCCGGTATGAAAATCAGGGAGAGAAATAGATAGCAGTGTCCTGATCCAGCCCCTCTCTCTGCCTCACGTCACCTGCGAGCAGGACCAATCGCCTGTCCCCTGGTCAGGGCCATGAGGGTACATCTGGAATTCCTATAGCATGAGTTCTAACCCAGAAAATTGACTGGAAGCCCCCACGCCCACCCCAGCATAGCCCTGGATCTTCTGAACGTTCTCTGAGAGCCAGCTGTCCCCCAGATATGCGTCTACCACGTGGAGGCTGGGAGGGTAGTCCAGTCACTACGGTTTGGAAGAAAAAGTCTAGAATCTTAGGCTTTAATCTGGACCTGGTCTCTAATAACCTGTGTTTCTGTTACGCTCTGCCTCAATTTCCCCATCTGTAAAATGAAAATGACAGACTGACTCCTGGGCTTCTTACCAGTCTCACTTGCTAACTGATCTTGGACAAGTTACTTGACCTCTTTGAAACTCAAGTTTCTTTGACTATAAAATGGGGATGTGAATCTATGCCCTGCCTTCCTCACTGGGCAGGGTGAGGAGCAAATGCTAGGGTGTCTGCTAAAGTGGTTTGAAATCAGCGGCTCCTCATGACTACAGGAGAGTATTATTATGATCAAGGACATCTGGTTCACCCCACCTGGGCCAGGCCCTGGGGCCAAAAGAGAAAACAAAGATGTGATCTTTCCCTTAGCCACCTTCTGGTCTGCTGGGGCCATGGAAATGACCAGCACCCCATTCCGACAAGGCGGGAGAGCTGAACCCATAGGAGCCGAAAAGATTCAGTAATGGGAGAGAAACCTGACTACTGTAGGAGGCTTCCTGGAGGGATGAATCAACACAGGGAAATGAGGCTTTTTTTCTTTTCTTCTTTTTTTTTTTTTTTTTGAGACAAGAGTTTCACAATTGTCACCCAGGCTGGAGTGCAATGGCACGATCTCGGCTTACTGCAACCTCCACCTCCCATGTTCAAGTGATTCTCCTGCCTCAGCCTCCCGAGTAGCTGGAATTACAGGCGCCTGCCACCACGCCCGGCTAATTTTTTTGTATTTTTAGTAGAGACAGGGTTTCACTATGTTGGCCAGGCTGGTCTCGAACTCCTGACCTCGTGGTCTGCCCGCCTCAGCCTCCCAGTGTTGGGATTACAGGCGTGAGCCACCGCGCCTAGCCCAGAAGGCTTTTTAAAGCAAGCCCCATGGGGTCACTTAGAGAGGGCACCAGCTGCTCCTGACCCACACCAAACCCCCTGTCTCTTTACAGGGCTTTTTCATTAGAACACGTCCTCTCATTTGATATTGAAGATAGCCCAGTTAGTCATTTAGTCGGCAGAGGAGTCCCCCAGCCAAGAAGGCGCAGCAGTGGGTTCCGGACAGGGGCTTTTCCCTGAAATGCAGGTTCAAGAGGCCAGGCGCGGCCCCTCTCAGCACCCCCTCCGCCATGCCTGCCACCCTCCCCTTTTCTCTCCTCGCCCCTCCCCTGCTCCTCTACCTGGAGGAAACACAAATGCAGATGGCTCTTTTGATGTCTCTGGGGATCAAAGGTTTGGCTTTGGAAGAAAGATGTGCTGCTTGAAAGCCACCCAGAGCCTGGTCTGCACAAAAGCCCTTTCCCGTGAGCCCCTCCCGCCCGGCCCTGGGCGCCCGCACCTGACTGGCCTCCTGCCGCCCCCCCCACCCCAGCCTCCCCCCACCATGCGCACACAGCACACAGCAGGGCCGGCGCTCACGCTCACCTGAAGCACGTTCCTCCTCTCTTTTGTTGGATGATTTGTCTGTGAAACATGTTGTCCCCGCTGGGCCAGGCACTGCTATGTCTCAGAACAATGAGAGAGAGAGAAAGACGAAGAAAGAGAGAAAATGACAGAGGCAGCGCGTGAGATGGAGAAACGCTGGAAGAAAGAGAAACAGGTGGACAGAGGGAGAGAGGATGAGCAGACAGGGGACACTCACAGGCGCACAGAGGAGACGCAGGAGGAAAACCCAGCCTTAAGAGGAGCAGAGAAGCAGAAAAGGGAACAGGCAAAGACAAGACGGTGAAGAGGAGATGGATGAGGCATCAAAGGGATGGAGATGTTAAAAGATAGGCCAGAAATGAAGAGGGAAGAATGAGATGGGAAAAGAGGGAAACAGCTGTAGAGACTAGAAAGGAAGGCTTCCTGAGCTAGGTGCACGCAGGGAAGCTGAGCCTCTAGTCGGGGGCGGGCAGGGGGTGGTTCCTGCCATGGCTCTGGGTACCCCTACCCTGCCACTGACAGAGTCCCGGGGGTGGGACCCAGACTCCCCACAGCCCACTCCCTCACTGCTAGCTCCCCCCACCACGAGGTTCTCTCCTCCCGCTCTGAGACCCCACGCCTCCCAACCCAGATGAGACTGCCAGGTGGCCTCCAGACAACGTGGCTGGACAGGGAGGGCCTGGAGTTAGCAGACCTGGAGGAGGGAAGGATCCATGGCAGCTTGGTCAGGAATCCCTGTGTCTCTCTCCACAGAGGAGTGAAGTCTGTGCCCTTCCCCTCCATTAGCCCTGAAAACCCTCCGGGCTGGAAACCAGGGGAATGGGGGCAGGGCAGGAAGGCCCGTTCCTTCCATGCAAGCTCTCTAAGGCACCTTCCTGCTACTGTGTCCTGAGACATCACAACCAATTTCTTCCACCGACCCCCACCTACCTCTTGCCTGGCCCTTCACTGTCTCTAGGGTGGAAAGACCTAGACTTCCTGAAGCCGGGGCCCCTGTGTCCTCTGTCTCCACCCTCTCACCGACTGGCTAGGTGGCCTTCAGCCCATCATTTCTTCCCTCTGAGCCTCGATTTCCTTATCTGTGAAATGGGAAATAAGCACAGTGCCTGCCCCAGAGGCTGGTGTGAGGGTTCAATAAGATTAAGGTGGCCATGTGCCTAACACAGCGCCTGATATGGGCAAAGGAGCAGCTGAGGAGGTCCCCGTCCCAGCCATGGCCATGGCCATATCCACAGCAGTGGTAGTGTCAATGGCTGGCGTGGGATGAGAATTCTGGCCTTGCCCAACTCACGGGGACAGTATGAGGCTTATAAAAGCTAAAGGATGGTAATCCCAGCACTTTGGGAGCCTGAGGCGGGTGGATCGCCTGAGGTCAGGAGTTCGAGACCAGCCTGGCCAACATGGTGAAAACCCGTCTCTACTAAAAATACAAAAAATTACCCGGGCATGGTGGTGCACGCCTGTAATCCTAGCTACTCAGGAGGCTGAGGCAGGAGAATCGCTTGAACCCAGGGGGCAGAGGTTGCAGCGAGCCTCCTGAGATCACTCCACTGCACTCCAGCCTGGACGACAGAGTGAGACTCTGTCTCAAAACAAAACAAAACAAAACAACAACAAAGCTAAAGGATGGGAAAGGCATCCCCGCCAGCAATGCTGAGGCTCAATGCGGACTCCTGCAGCCAGGCCCAGCTGGAGCCCTAGCCATCAGGGCGGCTTCTCCACCAGACACACCAGGCTCAGCCCCAGCCCATGGTACTCCTAGGAGCCCACAAAGTATTCTGAGTTGTTTTAAAATCAGAGGGAAGAAATGATCTTCTAAGTCAACAGAAATGTTTTCATATATAATGTGAATATATTTACCTTTATCCCAACACAACTGTAAAATGTAACTTTTTACTTTTTTAATGGAAAAAGGGGTCCATGACAACAAAAAATGCTTATGGCCCACCAAGTCCTAATGTGGTCCTGTCAGCCACTTCTGCTGGCCAGGGAGGAGCAGGACAAAATGCACTCTTGGTGGCTTTAATAGACACAGCCCTGACCAGAGGGGTGTAAAGCCATCCTGGGATGTGGGGCTGGGGGGTGGCAGGAAGGAGAGACATGGGTGATGGCAGCAGAGACACAACAAATAAGAGATTTTGAGGCCCTGCCCTTGGGTAGGCCTGAGGCCAAAGGGCACATAGTGCCATACCTTAGAGACCCCTAATTTGAGAGAGAAACATATTCTCTCCTTTGGGGAGCCCCTAATCTGAGGCGGGGGGTGCAGCCTGTCCTGAGGGAACCCCAGTCTGAGAGTGGAACACAGCCCTGCTTTCAGGGACTCCCAGTCTGAGAGAGAGAGACATAGCCCTGCTTCTGTGAGCCCACATCTCCAAGAAAAGACAAAATATAAAACTAAAACAAAGCAAGCTACTAGTGGTGGGAGGGTGGAAGACATCAACGCTGTAGTGTAAATAGCTGTATGTCCAACAGAGAAACCTAGAGAGAGTTCCTTCATCGCTGGCGGTGAGAGGGAGGCATCTCAGCAGAGATGGAGCCCCTGGCCATGGGCAGGAAGAGACGTGGGGACAAGCAGCAGGCAGGGACATGTGGCAGAAGGGGATCCTTGCTCTGCCATCAGGGCAAGGGTTTGAATGAAGAAGAGAGGATGGTGGATCTGGGCATGGTGGGGTCTTGATGCCCATTCCTGCCCCTGTATGCCATGCCCATACCTGTGAACTCCAAAGACCACCACTGTCCCTGCGGCTTCTCTGTCAGAGCCGCACAGGGACACAAGAGTCACTCCTGGTGCGGTCAGGTAACCGCACGCCTCAGGTGCCCCCCAGTCAGGCACCCTGCAGAATTAAATTACCGTATTGGAAATAGCAAAGTAAACACCAATAGGTAAAGTGCAAATTAAAGCCGTTCCTCCCAGATACCTTATTTTTAGACCTAAGCTCAGCAGCCGCGCCCTCCTGGGCAAGAGCCACAGGAGCAGAGCAGGGCACCTGCCCTGTGCCTGCCTGTGCCAAGGACACTGGGCTTCTTTCTGGCAGGAGTAGGGGCAAGGACCCGCCTGCAGCGTGGCCACCCCCAGCATCTGGCCTCTCAGTAGGGCAAGGCGGGGACCATCCGTGCAACCCAGGCTTCAACTGCACAAGAGCCTTGGGGCCAGTGAAGGTTTGGCTTGGTATGAGGGAAGGTGTCTATAAGGAGTGGGGATAGTGGGAGGGGACCAGGTAGAGCTAGAAATTGGTACAATGCAACTGGTGTTGGGATTGAGATACTGCAATGGGGCCGGGCGCGGTGGCTCATGCCTGTAATCCCAGCACTGTGGGAGGCGGAAGTGGGCAGATCACTTGAGGTCAGGAGTTGGAGACACTACAGTGATAACAAGAGCTTACCATTGTCTAGCAACTCCTCTTCCACGTGCTCCCAGGCTTAGCTTACTTCAGCTTCACAAGGGGCCCTAGAATCATCTCCGTTTTACAGATAGGGACACTGAGGCACAGAGTAGTTTTGAAACTACACTGCTACTAAGTATCCTGTCAGGGATTTGAACCCCACAGTCTCTCCTCTTCACCATCACACTCTGCCCCTCCAGAGGCTTCTCCTGGCGGCGTAGAAGTCTGACTGAGTGGCCCTGTGCCTGCTCGTCTGGCACTTTCTCACCTCCAGTGGTTTCCCACCCACACGCGGGGGAAGCCAGCCTTCACGTAGGGAAGGACCCAGCAGCAGGCCGGTGGACCAGAGAGAGAACCCCCTCAGGGGACGGAGTCCACACTCCACAGGCTCACAGCCTTCCCCAGGCCTGACCACTGCCACCCCCAGCCCAGGCTGCACAGCCCACAGCTGCAGGCTGAGGCCATGGGACAGAGCACACCTCTGAGTAAAGCCGGCCTGGCTGGGGCGGATCCTGACCTTGGCCTCGTTGGCATGGTGCTCTAACCACGGAGCACAAGGCCACGGATGGTTAGCCACAGGTTTATTAGCAGAGGGAAGATGCCGGGCCAGGGCCAGGAAACCACACTTTGCCCAATTTGCTCATCCCACCAGACCTGGGAAGGCTGTCACCATCTTGGTGGCAAGGAGCCAGGAACAGAAGCTGTGGGCTTGGCAAGAGGGCAGATGGGAAGGAGAAATGGCCACATCTTGTAAGGAAGAAAAAAGGCTCTCCAAAGCCTCATGCTCTCGGCCAATCTGTGGCATGTCCGAGAGAAGTTTCCAATTGGAAGCCAAGGGACACCAATGGCCTTACCCTTCACAAATATCCCCTGCCACAGGGCAAACACCACACACTAAAAATAGCCTCTGTCCCGAATGGGTTGACTGGAAGTGCTGACCAGAGGGCAGGGAGGCCCAGGGTCTGGGCTCAGCCTGGCTCCTGCTGGGCAAACACCTGTAAGGGTCCTCACCTCCATTGCTGGGAGGGCCAGGGGTGTCCCTTACCTACTTGGTGAGGGGTGTGGGGAGGAGACTCAAGCAGTTAATGATCAGAGGGCCTGAGTTCTATCATCCCCAGCTGTGCAACCTCAGAGAGGCCACTTACTCCCATTAGGGCTCAACTTCTCCCTCTGCACAGTGGGGACAGCAGTCCTGCCTGGTCAGAGAACAGGAACCGTGTAAAGAATGCCACAGTCGCCACCTTGCATCAGAGCCTGCAGAGAGAAGAATGTCCTGTGGAGTCTGCGTGTTTTCTATGGCTCAGCTTGGTGCTAAGCGCTCACCTGTATCTATTCTTTTAACCTCATGATGACCCTATGAGGCAGGTACTAGTACGAGCTCTGTCTTAAGTTGACTGAGGAAACTGAGGCACAAAGAGGTTTGGGTCCCCACTCAAGGACACACCTAATGAGCAGCTGAAGTGGAACTTGAACCCAGGCAGTCTGGCTCCATGGTTTTAACCACACTAGACGCCACATGACAAATGTGTCATCGTAAGAGTGAAAATGGAAAGGGGTGGCATGTGTCATCCCTGCTGCCCCCAGGAACCCAACCATCCTGAAAGATACTCTGTTAGAAGACAGAGTGCAGGATGAAGAGGCAGGCAACCCCTCCTGTCCCCCCATCTCTGCTCCTCCCTGGGGTGGCCAGGCAGAGCTGGGAAAGCCACTGCTGAGACGGCGGGATAACCAACGTGTGAAACGTGCCCAGGTCACAGCACCCACGTGGGGTGGGGGTAGTGGGCTGCCAGCCATGTGGTCCCCAGCCCACACACTGTCTGGCCGCCCAGGGGGTGGGATGGGGGGCCCATAAATAGCAGGTCTCTCACCGGTGTTGGGAATAGAAACCCAATCCAAACAGTGTGGTGAGTCGGGGCTTTCCAGACTGGCCACAACCCCCAGGGGCCTGGAGGCAACTCGAGGGCCCCCTTCTCCTCCCATGTCTCCTAAAGGATCAGGCCATCTTCGGGAGGAAGCCCAGCTGGCCCCAAGCCCCAATCCCAATCCCCAATCCCAGAATCCTTCATAGCTCAGGAAGGAATGCTGAGAGGTGACAGGAATACAACAGGTGATATTTATTGAGCACGTATTAGGTGCCTGGCACTGTTATAAGTGTCTTACATGCATCTTCCCAGTTAAATTCACCACAGTTCTATGAAATAGGCCTACAGTTCTGCCCATTTTACAGAGAAGGAAATCGAGGCTCAGAAGGGCAAAGTCACATGACTGAGGTCACACAGACAGTGGTGGAGGTAGGACTTGAACCCAGGCCCTGGCTGCTGAGTGTGCCTCCCTCTCCTGGGCCTGGGGGACACAGGTCAGTCTCACTAGGTCCTGCCCTTGAGCTTATCTTGGTGTGGGGGAGCCCCAACATCCAAGGAAAATACAATGGCAGCTCGAAGCACATATGCTGAAGGCCCACCAGATGGGGCTGGGGCTTTGAAAATTCTTTGGCGAGTCTGCCACGTGGAACTTGGATCTTATCCCCCAACAGGAGAGTCCAGAGGAGCAAGGGGTCCCAGGAGTCCCCCCTCAAGGCTCACCTGCTGCATGGCCAGCTCAGACCCTCCAAAGCAAGACCTCTGTTCTGGGCCCCATCGGTTCTGCAATAAGGAGTGAAGGGAGTGGGGGCAGGAGTCCCCAGAGCCGACAAGGGGGATGCACTGAATCCGAAGGAGATGAGACCTGCGTGTCCCACCTGCTGCCACCCACTCAGGGGCCCTTCTAGGATTTGGGTCAGAGAGGAAGCTCATGGTCAACTACTGATGCCTTTTTGAGATATGAGCAGGGTCAGATGCCACCTCCTGCTGTACAGACCCCACCAGACTTGCGACTCTGTGTGTTTACCTGTTCCTGGTAGCTGCCCCTCCCTCAGATCCCTCCTCAGGACACTTGTGAGCGCTGATTTGCTGGCCTGGTAAAAGCCTTCATTTCTCTTCTCCTTCCAGGATGTGTTGCCAATGGCCAACAAAGACATGGAGAAACCTGGACAACTGTCTAATGTCTCTGGGTTCTTGGAACGAGGAAGCCTGTATATACAGGGGATGGGGGCAGGTGACAGCGTGTGGTTCTGAGAGCACAAGTACAGGTGGCCCATCGCAGCCCTGGGGAGACATGGGTTGGATGGGGAGAACCAGAGCCCTGCCACAGACCCCAGGCATTTCCAGAGGAGGGGCCCTGGGCAGGCACCAGGCATGGCAGGGAAGAAGGGAGGTCAGCAGCTGGGGCAGGCACCAGGCATGGCAGGGAAGAAGGGAGGTCAGCAGCAGGGGCAGGCAGGGGAGGGAGGCTTTCTCAGAACTGCGTTTGAGGAAGAAGATGAGGCCTGGCAGATCTCCCTCAAACTAAACGCCCAACTCAGCTCCCTCCACCCCGAGGCTGGCTCTCCATTCTGTTGGCCCCAGAAATTGTCTCTCTTCCCCAAGAGGCAATTTAGGGGAGAGAGGAAATTTCTCCCTTTCCCAATCCCACATTCTCAGAAGGAGGGTGAGCAAGGGGAAGGGAGGCAGAGGCCCTGCCTCAGGCTCCAAGTGCCTCTGGCTTTAGTTGTCTGTTGTATGGCCTCCCGGGCCAGGTTGGACCGGTGGTGACATGGAGAGCTGGAAATCACATCCCTCTTCCTGTTCTCTGTGTGCCTGGCACATAGAAGATGCTCAATAAGTATGATCTGAGTGAACAAGTGTTCAGAGGATCCAGTAGGCTGTTTGGAGAAACAGCCAGAGTCTGCCAAGTTCCTCTGGAGTTGAAACTCAGGCCAAGAGAAAAAGGACGTTGCTTCCCCCAGGCTTCAAAGTCAAGAAGAAGGAAGTGAGAGTGAGCCAGCCAAGGATGAAACCCCCCAAAGAAAGAGGCTGCACAGAGAGCCTGAGGCGGCCTTCTCATGGCCAGGCTGAGCTGAACTGGGGCACATGAGGCAGGTGCCTGGGGCCAAACTCTCCTGAAGGTGGCTGTGCTTCTCAGTTCCCTCAGGCTGTGAGAAAAAGCAAGTGTGCACAGAGCCGCAGATCCCAGGGCTCCAGAGGGCCTTGCCAGTCACCCTCCCCCAGCCCCAGGATGCCTGCTGATTAGAGCTTTGGAGCTCAAGTCTTGGCACTGCTCAATCATTCAGCGCATATTTATTGAGCAGCCTGTCACACTGATCTGGGACCTGATCTAGCAACGCACAAGAGGCAAAGTAGCTGCCCTGGTGGGGCTTACCTTTTAATGAAGGGATACAGGTAATACATGCACACACATGCACGCATGCACACACACGCACACACACACACGCTATACAGAGTGAAGAGAACAGAGAGTGAAGAACCAGCTGGGTGGCTCAGGAGGTGACACTCGGCCAGAGACCTGAAGCAAGTAAGGCCAGAGCCACACAGGCATCTGGGGAAGAGCCTTTCAGGCAGACAGCAGCCAACACAAGGGCCTGGAGGCAGGAGCGAGTGTGGGATTTTTTTTTTATATATATACTTTAAGTTCTAGGGTACATGTGCACAACATGCAGGTTTGTTATATATGTATATATGTGCCATGTTGGTGTGCTGCGCCCATTAACTGGTCATTTACATTAGGTATTTCTCCTAATGCTATCCCTCCCCACTCCCCCAACCCCTCGACAGGCCCCGGTGTGTGATGTTCCCCATCCTGTGTCCAAGTGTTCTCATTGTTCAGTACCCACCTATGAATGAGAGCATGTGGTGTTTGGTTTTCTGTCCTTGCAATAGTTTGCTCAGAATGATGGTTTCCAGCTCCATCGATGTCCCTACAAAGGACATGAATTCATCCTTTTTTATGGCTGCATAGTATTCCACATTGTATATGTGCCACATTTTCTTAATCCAGTCTATCATTGATGGACATTTGGATTGGCTCCAAGTCTTTGCTATTGTGAATAGTGCTGCAATAAACATACGTGTGCATGTGTCTTTATGGTAGCATGATTTATAATCCTTTGGGTATATACCCAGTAATAGGATCACTGGGTCAAATGGTATTTCTGTTCTAGATCCTTGAGGAATTGCCACACTGTCTTCCACAATGGTTGAACTTGTTTACAGTCCCACCAACAGTTTAAAAGTGTTCCTATTTCTCCACACCACAATGAGATACCATCTCACACCAGTTAGAATGGCGATCATTAAAAAGTCAGGAAACAATAGGTGCTGGAGAGGATGTGGAGAAAGTGTGGGATGTTTTACAGACAGCAGAGAGGCAGCCTCGGAGCCAGAGTGGGGCTGAGTGAGGAGAGGGTGGCAGGAGACAAGATCAGGGCATGGGAAACCAGATTGGCAAAGGCACGGGGGACTTTGAGAGGCCTTGGGCTTTTACCCGGAGCGAACAGCAGCCACTACAGAGCCTGGAAGGAGGGCAGACCATGTCCCACCAGGCTCACTCTACTGTGCTGGGAGTAGACTGAGGAGGCAAAGATGGAGCAGGAAAACCAGATGGGAA
This sequence comes from Homo sapiens, assembly GCF_000001405.40. NCBI lineage: Eukaryota > Metazoa > Chordata > Mammalia > Primates > Hominidae > Homo > Homo sapiens. Next base: position 43,882,601 of record NC_000006.12, on the reverse strand, counting down.
CTGTGGGACTTAGGGCCTGAAACTTGGCCTCTCTGAGCTTGAGTCCTCACATGTGAAAAGAAGACCCCTGAGCAGCAGCCTCACAGACTTGTTGAGAGCTTTCAATAAGATGGTTCCTATTAAGGGACCACCTGAAACATGGTGATGACTCAATGCATGGTAGGGGATAACATGTTATTTTTGTTATCCTTAGCACAGTGTCCCCTCCAGAATCACCTCCAAGGGGTGACCTTTCTGCCTCTGCTTGAATTCCCTGGACCATGGGAAGCTCTCCAGGGAGGTCTATGCTTTTTGCAGAAGCCAGTTGTGTGGGGCCTGCAATTTTCTCCAATGTTTTCTCTTATGCCCAGGCAGGAAGTCCCCAAGGGGAACACTAAGGGGCCATAACTAGGGCTTGCTACTTACTCAGGCAGCTGCCGCCAGGCCATGGGTCTCTACTTATGGCCCTGGTCAGAGGCTGACACTGGATCATGGTGACCCAGGGCTCACCTAGAGCAGTACTTCCTCTGCACAGCAGGGTGGATGGCAGAGCCACTCATGGGGGCAGGGAAGAGATGGCAGGTGCAGGGTATCTAGGAAGGGTGAGCTGGGGTGTATGTAGGTGTCATATTTTCACAGCTTCTCTCTCTTTCCTGATGCTAGCATCCTTGGGCAGATCCAGGGAAGTCTGTGCTGGCTGGAGCTGACACTTATTTACCTCTGTGCTTCAGGCAGCCTGAGAAAGCTGGCTCTTCTCACTGGTCCCTTAAATCACAGATAGAGTCACTGTCTGTCTTAGTCAGTTTGTGCTGCTATAACAGATTCCTGAGACTGGGTAATTTATAAAGAAGAATAATTTATTAGCTCACGGTTCTGGAGGCTGGAAGTCCAAGAGTATGGCACTGGCATCTGGCGAGGGCCTTCTTACTACATCATCCCATGGCAAAAGGAAGAAGGGCAAGAGAGGGCAAAAGCAAGAGAAAGCAAAAGGGAGCTGAACTTGCTTTTATAATAAGCCCACTCCCACAATAAGGGACCCACTCCCACAGTAACAACATTAACCCTTTCATGAGGTGGAGCCCTCATGACCTAAGCATCTTCCATTAGCCCCCGCCTCCCAGCACTGTTGCATTAGGGATTAGGTTTGCCATACATGAACCTTGGGGGAACACATTCAAGCCACAGCACTGTCCTATGCAAATATACAAGGCTTTGGGCCTGGCTGGGCCTTCCAGACCCCACAGTGATCCTGGCCGTGGACTGGGAGACGCCTGTGGCTAGAGGAGGAGAGCCTATGACTACCAAGTACCTGCCATGTACCAGGCACGGGGCAGGGGCTTTGCTCATTCATTCCTCTCAGTAGCTTTCTATGGGGAATACTATTGGTATTGCCCCCAGATCTCTCTATCATCCTGGGTACACTCTCTCACCTTCTGTGGCTTCCCCTTCTATTCATTCTTCCTTGGGTAATTGCCCTCAGGCTATAGGAGTTGCTTTGCCTGCAGATCTGGAAGTACTTGGAAGTTATATCCTCCAAAGTGACCCTTAGCCAATGACAGGAGTGCAGGAGCGTAAGGTCTCAGCTCCCTTGCTTGGGATGGAGACATCCCTGAGGTATTATAACTAATACTCTGGAGTCCTCCCCCAGAACCAGGCTGGAGCTATCAACTTCACTTGAAATCAGACCCTTTTTGTTGTTTTCCTTTCCCATCTTGCTTCCCCCAATCCCTCTCCAGTTTCCCTGGGAAACTCACAAATCACTTAGCTATGAGTCCTCATCTGACAGTCTGCCTCTGGAGAACTCAACCTAAGGCACCTTCTGAAGTGATAGTACTAGAAGCAGTGGTAGCAGTAGTAATAATAATAATAGTGAGTATTTATTGGGTACCTACTACGTGCAAAATAATGTCAAGTGTTTTACGGTATTAGCTTACTTAATCCTCACAACAACCCAATGAAGTAGTTACTCCCTTTATCCCCACTTCATGGATGAAGAAACTGAGGTACAGGGAGTATAAGTCAGTTGCCATAGAGATACTATTGTTATCCTCAGATAAGAGGCAGAGTCAGGATTCTCACTTGATATCCCCTCTGAAAAGGCAAGAGTAACACACACACACACACACACGTATACACCCATACATGTATACATACATGTGTATACACCCATACATGTATACACACATGTGCACACACACATACATGTATACATACATGTGTATACACACATGTGTACACATACATATTTTGATGATGTGGTTCGCAGGGTTCATGGGCTAAGCCACAGCAGACACCGTGCCTGGCATCAGGAAGGCATTTCAAGAGTGTCCCATGAAATGGCCTGGCTGCAGACTCAAGGCAGGCCACCCCACCAACCCATGGTTTGTTTGTCCTTATGAGTTCATCAAGTTAAGGTCAATCTCAGGGATGTTTCTTGTCCAATCTCAAATGTCTTACTCTCTCAAATTCAAGGGTACTGGGCACAGGGTGGCCCAGTAGGGCAGCCCTTGGGTTTCCAGGTCCTCAGCCATTACTTGGCACATTCCTCACTCGTAAAAAGTCTGCTGAATAAATACATGAATTAGTTCAGGCCTAAAGGTGGGGCTACAAACTAATCCGACTCCACCAAACCAGATTTTTTGGTGGAGAAAGCCAAATGTGCACATCCATATGCACATCACATTGAATCAACAAAAAATACTGTTGCCAGTAACTTCTGAACAAACAAAACCATAATCAAACCCAGAACCGTGATTGAGCGCTAGGGCTCCCACCCCAGGCCACTCACTTTGCCAGATGCCACAGGGACCTCCAGACATACAGGATAGAAACCCTGACCTCTAGCAATGTAGTCTACCTGTGCCAGGGTCTGGAGGAGGCCAGGGGAGCATCCTGGCCATCAGGACCCCAGGAGAAGAAGTGTCCGGCGAAGGTAGGCTACATTTTAAGTTCTCAGCTGAACAGCCCAGTGCTCTGCGTGAGCCAGCTCTGCTCCACTCCCGACCCCCTTCCACCTCTCCCTGGTCCCTGCCCCAACTCAGCTGGTCACTGTGGGTCACAGAGGCTCCCAAGGAGATCTTCTGTCACTTCAGACACCCTAGTCCTGAGGCCTTTCAGTGCCAGAATCAGGAAGGAGGCAGACCCAGCCAAGCCCATCAGGCAGAGTCAGTGGCAGCACGTCAGGATCCCCGCAGCTGCCTCCCGCCGTCTCCCAAAGGGCCTTCCCCTGTGCATGCCTGCGGCCCTCCTTGTCTAGTGGAGGATGTCAATGTCCCCTTTGTCACAAGCCCCTTTCAGAAGGGAAGCTATTCAGCCAGAGCAGCAAACTTTGGGACGATTCATTACCAGGCCAGGCAGCAGCCGGCTGGCTGACTCCCTCCCCTCCCTTGCCCCATCCTCCCCTGGGGCTGGGGTGTGTGTAGGGGTGGCAAGTGAGGAGCCAGCCTGGGTGGGAGCCAGGAGCTACATCCCAAAAGGAGCCAAGAGAAGCCTCCACACCTCCTCTCAGAGCTTCCTACAGGGATGAGAAGCAAGCAGGGCAGGACTGACGGGGCTTCGCAGCTTCCAGTGGTGTTCCTGCCATGCAACGTCCCCTGGGAAGTGTGCCAGCCAAGGCCATGGGCAGAGATCCTGGGTGAGGCCTGCTGTTCAGAGATGGGCAGATCATTTCCTCAGAGCTGCAGATGCCTGGAAGGATCTTGCTCCCCATCACTCTGATCCCGGCTGCCAGAGCAGCTGGTGGAGACCAGCAGCCCTGTGCCCAGCACAGTGCCAGGCACAAAACAGACCATCTACAGATGCCACTGAATAACAGGCCAGATGGCCTCTCCCCACTTAGGACACTGGCCCCAAGGAGAGTAACTGGGGCCAGGGCCTCCAGGACTGGAGGAATCTGTGCTCCCAGTTCCAGCCTGAAGCAGCCCCTCGCACGCCTCATAGTATGGCCCTCACTGAGCCCCTGCACCCCACTGGCCCCAGCCTGCACTTCTCTCTCTCCTTCTCCTCACTCTTTTCTCCCTCTTATTCCCTATTTCTTTTGCCTCTTCTCCCTTCTATTCAGTCAACACATATTTTCTGTACTGTACACTGTGCTGGGTCCTGGGAGCACAGAAGCAATAAGACACAGCCTCTGCCCCCAGGCAGGCGAGTGGCATGCAGTCACCGCAGGCCGAATAGTCCCAGTGGAGGTGTGTGCCGGGAGTCCGGAGTCCCCGTCCTGCCTGGGGAGGGAAGAAGGCTCCCTGGAGGAGGGGCTGTTGAGATGAGTTTTGAAAAATGTATGGGGGTTACCAAATGAGAAGGGGAGGGTGTGGGGGGCATTGTCACTAGAGGGAGCAGCACGTACAAAGGCCCAAGACAAGTCAGAGCAGGACACAAGGCAGGGTGGGGGTGAGGGAGGCTCCAGCCTGGGGTCCAGTATAGCTGAAGTAGGGTTACACTGGGGTCCTTTTCACCTCCACTCACCCTCCACACCCCCCCACCCCCCGCACCCATGACCCACTTTTCTCTCCCTTTGCCCTGAATTGCAGCAGAATAGCCACTGGTCAGGCACGATAAGAGAAGACGGGATCGATCGGGTGGCTGGAGTCGGTGCCTGGCTCCACCCCCTGCAGGGGGTGCTGCAAGTTCCTCTGCCCAGCATCTCCCCCTCCCCAGCAGCATCTGGTGGAACAGCCCAGTCCCCTATGTCTGTGGTTCTGGCAGGACTGTCAACTGCTGTGTCCCAGCTCCTGGCCATGGGGGTAGGCCTGGGATCAGAGATGGCCAGTCACAGCCTCCCGTCCCCTTGGTCAGAAAGATGGCCCCAGGATGGGCTCGTGATCCCAGACCTGCTGATCACAGTCCTTCTCTGGGTTTTCTATATGACCACTAGGGAAGAAAGTGGCTCTGTGAACATCAGTAAAGGATAGTAATAGGGTTATAGTGAAAATAAGTGAGATATGACACATGCGATGTAAAGTGTTTCATTTAATACCTCCTCCCAATAGTAAGTGCTCAATTAACATTACCTTTTGTTTCTATTTTCTTTCCCTTCCTGACCACAGAGAAAAGTGCTGCAGAAGTGGTTCTGTACGCTCAGGCACACCCCGCACACCCCAGAGAGCCCAGGCTAGTCCAGGCCTCTTCTGGTACATGGGGGACACAAAGCCTGAAAAGGGGCGGCGACTTGTTCCCTAAGTCTCCTGACTCCTGGGCTGGTACTCACAGTGATAGGTGCTGCACAGTGGTAGGTGGTATTCCATACCCTGGGACTTTTTCCGGTGTCAACTTCAATGCGGAGGACGCTTGAGCCCTCAGCCAACTGAGGCTTTGTCGTGGCCAAGCTAGGACAGCTTGGCCTGAAAAACACAGTAAAGCCTTGGCTCCCAGCCATTCCACCTGCATGGACAGTGGCTGAGCAAGGACCCCCTCGGCGCCTCCACCACTCAGCCCTCCTCCGCAGGCCTCTCCCTACCCCTCTCCCCCCACGTGGCTTCTCAGGCTCCTCCTGTGTTCCTGCTCTGCCACAGCTGGGCACAGGAGCCACCACAGACTGCCACGGGCCACACCAGGCCTCTGGGGTCAATCTGCCCAAACCACCGCATGTTTCAGAGTAACCTCTGCTGTTCCCGTGGGAGTGGGACAACCAGGAAAAGGCCTCAAAAACCAACCTGGAAGGTTTTTCAAACAAAAGAGTGTGATTTCCTTCAAGGGAGGGGAGGAAAAAGGGAAAAAAAAGTATCCCCCACAGCCCTCCTTGGCTCCAACGGCCTCAGTCGCTGTCTTGGGTGCATTTAGTGGTTTGGCAACTGTGGGCGTATTTTAAAATCTGCTGTCCAGGCAGAGAGACAAAGGAGGCTGGGATGGGGCCAGGGGAGACCTCAGAGGACAGGGGTATTCATCTTGTTAAAAATAACCCACCCTGGTGCTATTTCTATTGAGCTTGGCAAACAGAGCTGTGTGATTTTCCCTTTTTTCGGCCATGCTTTGCTTGAACCATCTGATAAAAATAGTAGATAACAAGCTCAAAAAAAACCTGGGCTATTTTTACATGTAAGCCCCACTTGGAGTGAGCCCGGAGTGGGGTGGCCGGGGAACAGGGAGGTGGCCAAGAAGTGGGGAAGCCTTGGGTAGTTGGGTGGGGGCAGGCCTGGGACCACAGAGGACCAGGGAAGGGAGGAGACCAGGAAAGGGAGGTGATGCCTTCGCCTGTGTCCACAGCTCAGGGTCAACAAACAGGAGCCAGTCTCTCCTGACCCATCGTGGATCTCCCGGTTTCCCAGGCCCTGCTGGCCCCTGCCCCGACCTTCAGTGCTGTTCCCACCACCCTCCCCAGCGCCTGCTTACCCGAAGGCTCCATGGGAGGCTGGGCCTCATAGGAAGCAAGCACTGGGCATACTTCAGGGCTGGGTTAGCAGCGCCAGATGCTACAGACAGGGAGAAGAATCTTCAGGGGGATACCTGGGACCCCAGGAATGCAGGGGGGCAGGCACTGGAAAGATGGGGGGGGATCGGCTGCCCCAGCCAGACAACTGGCCATCCAGGTGGCATCAGCCAGTACATGGTTTCCTGCAGCTGGACCATAACTCTGAGTGTGGAGGCCACACACTCAGCCCTTGAAGGAGACCCACTTCGCTGTGTGGGTGAGCGGTGGCTGTGCACGCACCTGTCCAGTAGTGCACCCCCTGAAGGTAGCAGCCTTGGGCAACTCATGGCTGGTTCCCACCATGCCTGTCATCGATCCATGACAGAATCACTGCTTAGGGCAGGGGGACCTACTGAATGAACACATAGCAGCATGGGGGGCAGAGGTGGGAGCCGTAGGCAGGGGCTGCTCATACCAGGAGAGGTGCCTGGACAGAGGGGGTGGCTGGCCCTCAGAAGTGGGGCTGGGAGACCAAAATCGGGGCAGCCTTCATGGCCAGAAGGCACAGGCCTCCTTCCCTTTGAGCTAGAGATCAGGCCGGCACCCAGCTCACACACCAACCTCTGCTGGAGCTCTGTGAGGTCTGGCCGGGGCCTACAGGACTACTGCGTGAAATTTTCACAACTTAAGCCCTTGGGCTCATGAGTCTGGGGATTTCCTATGGGCAGAAATTGAGCTTTCCCCATCAGACTCCCTAAGGGCAGGGTGGGTCTCCCCACAGCCATCCCCTTCCCCATACCCACAGGTACAGCCAGTCTGGAAGTGGAAGCCCAGCACAGACACCCTGGGAACATCTGGGACTCACCTCACTCTCCCATCTTGGCTTGTGCCACCACGTGACCTCATCCTGCTCAAGGCAGATTCCACGGTGGGGAACTTAGAAAGGCATGTTCTCATTCCCCACAGCAACCTTGACAGGTTGGTAGGGCAACCCATTACCAGGTAAAAGATGGTGAAACTGATCCAGGGATGGAAGCCACACAGCATGCAAGAGGCACCTCCCCCAGGCTGGCCACGGGCTCCCTGCAGCCTAGCCAGCCTAGAGACATGCCCAGCTCCTCTCTAACTCCTGTGGCCCTCAGCTGGTCACAGCCCTCAGGCCTCTCCTAGGCAACCAAGCAGACATAAATGCACTAAGGAATGAGCTCCCCAAGGCCACCAAGAGGTGTCTGGAGCATTTGGAGCACTTGCTTGTCAGAGCACTGGACAGGGAGTCAAGACTCCTAGGCAGGCTTTGCAGCAACTCATTGTGCGACCTATGGAAAGTCATTTCCTCTCTCTCTCTCTCTCTCTGGCTCTCACTTTCCCTAGCAAATGCTCCTTGTGGGAGAAACATTTTTAACCCCAGGACCTGGCTCACAACAGGCCTCAGTATTTCAACTAAATAGATGGAAGAGTGAGTCAATGCGGGGATGCAGCAGGGCTGGACCAAGCCCCTTCTGGGCCTATCACTTAAAAGCTTCTAGGCTGATGTCCCCCAGGAAAGGCACATGTTCCCAGTTGCCCCAGAGCCATCCCTTGTCTCTAGAATAGCCATGGCCTGTCCACAGCCAGGAGGGCCAGTCCTGCAGGCACTGCAGCCACCAGCACCTGCCTGAGACTAGGGTTTCTTTCTCAGCCCTCCACCCTCCCTGGGGCTTGTTTCCCATCATTACCTCTGCCAGTCATTCCTGAGGGTCACATGCTTGCGAGGGAGCACAGTGGGCTATGGGCCTCCCTGCTGTCCCCTCCTTCTTCATTGTTCCTGGGCACTGTTGACTTTACAGGAGCAGCTGGAAACCCATGATGAGGGCGGGCTGATGTTGGGCCCAGGACTGGTGGGGCCAGTTTCTCAGATGAAACTTCAATGCAGGTAAAAGGCAAACAGATAAACAGGAGGCCAAAGGGCACCTCTGCCCAGGGGCATGGGCATGGAATGTGGGCAGTGGGGACAGTGCCCAACTGAGCCCCAAGACATCAGGGGGCTTAAACACATTTTAAACCTCTAGTCCCCCTGAACCAGCTTAGATCTCCTCAGTCTTTGTGGGTTCAGTTTATTCCACTTTGAATATGTGGTCCCAGTGCAATAGGCTCCTATGGGTCAGAAATTACTGAGAGCTGTCATTGAGTGAGCATCAAGAGTGCCAGGGACTGTGCTTATGTCTCATGTAAGCATGGTAAAAATACCACCAGGTAAGGATTATTACTAACCTTGTTTTCCAGATGAGAAAACAGAGACTCAGAGAGGTTAAGTAACTTGCCCAAGGCACACAGCCAGAGAGTGGCAGGGTGGGAGCTGAAGACTTTCCATCTAGTCCTTCTCTCCTGGCCCCTGCTACAACCCTATCCAAGCCCCCACCATCTCTCACCTGGGCTGCTGCAGGGTATCCTTGCTGGCCTCCTGTGTTCACCCTCACCTCGTTCCCTACAGTGAATTCACACAGCAACCAGAGAGAGCCTGTTAAAGTGTAAGTCAGATCAGGTCCTTCCTCCACTCACTTCATTTGTGGATGTACTATGACCACACGATCTGCTCCCCTGTTACCTCCCTGACCTCAGCTCCTCCACTCGCCCCTTCATTCTGCTCCAAACATACTGGCTTCGCTCCTTGTTCCTTTAACACGAGCATCGACTTACCTGCCTCAGAGCCTTTGCGCTTACTGCTCCTGCCGCCTGAAAACTCTTCCCCATATATCCACTCTGTTGGCTCTATCAGGGCTCTGCTCAAATGTCACCTTTTCAGAAAGGCCTGCCCTGCCCTTCTTGGGTAAAGTAGCCTGCTATCTCCTGTCTACGCTCCATCCCCTTCCCCTGCTTTATATTTCTTCAGAAGCAAATATGGCCACTGACTAGTGTATTTGAATGTTACCTGATCTACCAGAATGCAATCTCCACGAAGGCAAGGTTTTTCACCTGTTTTATTCATTGCTGTAACCACAGACCCTAAAGTGGTGCCTGGTACATGGTAGGTACTCAGTAAATAGTTGTCGAACACATGAATTAAAGAATGAACGACACTAGAACTGCCCCTCTTATGCACTCTACTCTTTCCAGCCTCTGTGCTCTCTGTCCCCAAATTTTCCTCGTGGGTGCAGACAAGTCTGCCTCCTTCTGCAGATTAGGGACCCCTCAGGGTGAGGGCTGACTTTAGCTCCTGTTTATTCCACTACCCACCGTGTCCCCACCCAGCATCCCTTTGCCTAGCAGCTCCAAGCATTGCCCTAAGCACATAGAGGGTGATCCAGAAAAGTCTATGGAAGCATAAGGCTTTCCATTCCTGACTTATTTCCCCTCTGTGAGTCTGCCACCCACTGAGGAGGGGAATTGATCCTAGAACTGCTGGGTGATCATCCAGCGATGACTGGGTAAGCCTCATCTCTATGCCAGGCACTGCACTGGGCACTGGCAGACCCTGGTATGAAATGGGTGCTTGACAAAACTGTGCTGCCTTATCCAAGTGAATGAGGTCCACTGACCCAAGATGGACTGTTGGATACCTAGACTCCTGGCTGGCCCTCCACTAGGCAGCCCACCCTGCCAGCTCTCCCACATGGCAGCGCAAGCCTCTACTTCCATTCTCTGCTCTGGCCTGCCATGGCACGCTGAGTCTGCCCCCTCCCCAGCTCCTCTTGGGGGGTGGGGCCTGCCTGCTCTCTGCTCAGATTCTATCCCAGCCTGGGTCCTGAGAGAAGCACATGGACCCTCTGAACCTTGGTTTCCTGATCTGTAAAATGGGAGCCCAGGATAAGTCTTGCTTCCCTTTAAACAAACTCAGATTTCTACAAAGACGCCCTCAGGGAACTCTCTCTCCCCACTTTACAAAGGGATTCATCACAGATCTTTTTAAATAGCCAGTAATTTGACCTCATGACTTAGAATATAGGATGCAATTTACAAAATAAATTTCTGATAGAGAGCTGGTTCCCAGATCTGGGTATTTGCCGCACCGCTCCTGCTCTCCTGGGCAAGTCTCTGGGAAACTGGGGAGAGGGCTGGTGTATTAATAGAAGAGCATTGGCAGGTTCTTTATGAGAAATTGAAGTAACCTGAAGTAAGACAGGTCACCTGTCTGTGCCCTGGAGGCAGATATGAGAACCTGGTACAGGAGTGGCCCTTAGTAACGCCACGAGAGGCACTTAGGAAAGCTGGCTCAAGGGCTTTTATAGACCTCACTCCAATGCCAGGACCCTGGAACTGACATGCTCATTTACAAATGGACAGAACTGAAGCCTGGAGAGGCTGGTTTACAAATGGCAGAACCAAAACCCAAACCTAGCTCTCCTGGCTCCTGGCTGATTCTCCCACCACTCCTTAAAGTTGGTCCTCTGGAGACTTCCTTCGGCCTTGCCTCCATGCTTAAAGTTGGACTCGTATTTTCAGGAGAGGCTGTAGATTTTCTCTAGGACTCCCATTTTTTTCTTCTAGATCCTTTGTTCCAACAGAAGCCGTCTACAAGAAGATGAGTAGGAGTCAGAAGTTCAGACTTTAGTGAGAAAAACAGAGCCACTCTGGAAAGGCAATATGGTAGGGTAATGGTTCAGACCAAGGACTCTCAGAGCCAGGCTACATGAGTTTAGATCCCAGCTCTCCTACCTGTCAGCTGTGTGACAGTTTTAGCTTTCTATGCCTCCGTTTTCTCTTTTGTAAATTGGAGTAATGCTAGCACCAGTCTCCTAGGATTATGAGATAACCTTTGAGTGAATTGACATATGCAAGATGTCTAGAACAGTACAGGGCAGAGACAGAGTGCTAGACAAGCACTGACATTATTGATAAGTAGAACTGCCAGCACCATGTCTGGACCCTGGTGATATGGACACAGAACTTTTATAATTTAAAAAAGAGAGAAATGATTGCAAATTCCTACTCATCCTTCAGAACCCATTCAAACATAACCCTCTCCTTGCTGGTAGTGTTTGTTCTCTCTCTTTAGGGCTCTCATAGGAGTTTGCATCCCTCAAGTATGCAATGCAGAGAAGGAAAAGTGAGTTCACATGTATAAACACGTAATATATACCAGGCACTGCTAGATAAACTTTCTAGAGTTTATCTCATTCATTCTCCACAATAACACTGGGAGGTGATATAATTATCACCCTTTTAAAGGTAAAGAAACTGGGGTTCAGAGAAGTAAGAGACTTGGTAAGAGACTAAGTCTGGCAGGAGACTAAGCCAGAAATTAAATCCACTTAGCATTTCTCATCCCGTGTTTAGTTCCTGGTTTCATGTTTGCCTCCCCCGCTAGGCTGACAGCATCCCAGAATTTTTTACCCGGGTTAGTAACAGGCAGATTTCTGGGAGAGGGGGTGTATGTTGTTCATTACTCATCAAGATTTTTGCTCCAAAAAGATTAAGAACTCCCATCTCCCACTTCTTTAGATTCCCAGGTTTTAGCAGAAGGCCAAGTATCTATCAGGTACTTAGATGAGTGAAAGGAAAGAAGGAAGGAAGGAAGGAAGGAAGGAAGGAAGGAAGGAAGGAAGGAAGGAAAGAAAGGAGGGAAAGATGAAAAGGAAGGAGAAGGAGAGGGGAAGGGAAAGGAAGGGAAGGGAAGGGAAAGGGAGGGGAGGGGAAGGGAGGGAAGGAAAGGAAGGAAAGGGAAGGAAAGGGGAGGGGAGGGGAGAAGGAAGGAAGGAAGGAAGGAAGGAAGGAAGGAGAGAGGGAGGGAGGGAGGGAGGGAAGGGACAAGATGAGCAGGTGAGCACCAAGGGAGGGAGGGATGGAAGGATTGAATCAACAAGTGAATCTGAAGGAAATGGGAACCTCATCTTGATTCTTTTTATTACTCTGAGAGGAAACCAACAGCTGGGGAAGTCAACCCTGCAGGGAGGCTTCGTGTAGGGTAAGAGTGATCCCTGGGCTTTATTTGCCCTCCTCCACTGGGGAGCAAGCCCTGTTCACGCTGCTCGCCCACTAATTCAGCCTCACCCCCTGGGGCCCACTCCTCCATGCCTGGCCCCTCTCAGAGGAGGCCTCTCTGCATCACTGGAGCAGGGCTTGAGCACCCCCTCTTCCATGGCTGCCTTTGCCCTTCAGGCCTGGGAGGGCTGGGGGAGGGGCTGGAGAGGAGGTCAAGAGAATCTGTGGGAGCGTTTCTGGCTTCAGACATCTTCTGAGGGCCAGTGGGCACCAGGCACACAGTAGGAGCTTGGTAGATGGCTGAGGAATGGCAGGAGCTCAGCCCAGTGTTCAGCCCCAGTGGGGCCTGAGAGGGCCCAAGCACGGTAACCACAGGAGGAGCTCCTTCCCTGTACCCCACCACAGGGAGCCGGCTGGGGAACACAAACTTGGTTTTCCAGTTTTTCCCAGAGCCAGCTGCTCTGTACCTGAGAAGTCAGTGCTTCCCGGATCCCAGTCAGCATGGGCTTTTCTCCTAGGCCCTGAGCTTACGTCCAGAAACATTCTCCTGGGGTTTATCTGCCCCCACAACCAGCCCAGTACTGGAAGCTCTGACTTCCTCATCAAGGATCACAAGGGGAAAATGACCTGTGGGGTAGGGGGAAGAGGCCAGAGCCTTCATCACTCTGCCTGCCGCTGGCATCCTGTGGGGGCCTAGCTAGCTGGGGTCACCTCCCTCTTCCCCACACAGAGCTGGCAGGACAGCTGGTTTATCCTTCTTCAGCCACAGCCTGCAGAAAGCACGTTCCCCTCGGAGCCCCGGGCCACTAGCCAGTCCACTGGGGACATCCCTCAGAGAGGGGAGGGGAGGGAGAGACAGGGCGGACACCCAGGCTGGCACACTGTGGCCAGCCACCCGGCTCCACTGACTGGCGGTTTCGTGTCTGGCTCCCTGAGGTCCAGATGGTCCCAACACGTCCCTGGGGGGTAAGCAGACTCCTGCCCAAACTTGAACTCACAGCTCCAGCCCCCAGAGGCTCCGAGCCAGGACCCCAAAGGAGGGAGGTAAGAGAGAAGAGGCTTCTGGAGCCTATGCAGGGCTCCTGGGTGTGGCTCACAGGCTCTGTGGTGCGAAGCCGGAGCAGCAGGAATGCAGAGCAGGGTAGATAGATGTGTAGAACTCCAGGAGGAGGTGGGACAGAAATGGGTCTGGACAGAAGGAGAAGAAAGGCTGGAGGAAGAAAGCAGGAAAGACTTCACATAGAGGAAAGGCTTTTCCTAGCCTGGAGGCTGACAAGATGACTTCCACCTCTCCTCCACTTATTTCCTGACCCTTTCCTACCCGCATCTGCTCGCCGGCCTCTGGGCCTTTGTTCACGCCATTTCCCCCACCAGAAGTGTTCTTCTCCACCCATCCATCCTTCAAGGTGGCCTCCCGAGTTAGCCCCTCTGTAACATCTTCCCTGGTTCTTCCTAGCTAGAAGCAATGTCTCCTGACCTCTCAGAGGACACGGTTTATATGCTCCACGTTTTTCCGTCGGCTTTGCCTCCGTCATACTCACTTATTCATGCCAGTAATCAACAGGCGTGATTTAAATGGCCTCTGTATCAGGTGCTAGAGGAATCCTCAGCAGAGTTAGACATGGTTTCTGCTTCCAAGTTGATAGAAAATAACCCTTCTACAGTGGCATGGTACTAGAATTCAATTCAAGAAACATTTAAATGAACACCTACTGTGTGCTGGGCATTCTCCTAGACCCTCAGAATAAGAAACCAGGACATGAGGAGAGCTAAGTGCTGGCTAGAGATGGGCCTAGGGGGCTTTGAAAGCTCAGACTCGGGGCCTGGGGACAGGGGCAATACCTCAGCTAAGAGTCCCAAGCGAGAGCAGGCCTCAGCCAAGACAGGAAGTTAGGAGAAGGCTTTCCAGGCCCAGGAAACAGCATTGTAAAGGTACAGACTTGGCAGGTTGGAGCAGTGCAAGCTCAGGGGCATGTTTAGCTGGAGACATAGAGGGTACATGGGGCATGTTTGCTGGGGAGAAGGGCTGAGGCCAGAGCGCCAAGACAGTCATTCTCAGAGCTGGGGCTTGTGCTGGCATTCTCCCCGACTTCATTTTATACCCTTCTATGTTCTGGAGAGCTGGCCCCATGGACTGCCTCACCCTGGCTCTCCTGCCCTGTGGCTTCTGGTTGAATTCAGCCAATGGGAGGCACCAGCAGATAATCTGAAGATGGGAGGAGAGAGAGGCACCTCCAGCAACCTTGCTAGACCACAGTGCGGTGGGTATGTCCCTCTATCTATGGCTGCACAGCTCCTAGCAAATGACCCCTCTCCTGCAGCAACGGCCTTCACCAGGCTCCAGTAGCAGCTGCCTCCCGGTCCCTTCAGACCCAGAGGTGTCTCTGGCCATCGCTCTTGCCTGGACTGCTCCATCTCACGCTGATTCCCTTGACCCTGCTCACACTCCTGTAAATAACCCTGCATTCAACTCTGTGATGGCTGTCGGCTAAGAGGGCTCTGGAGTCATGGCTGGGCTGACTTCATGGAGGAGCAGGTCTCATTGGGAGAAAAGGAGGGAGGGGTCTTGGAGACAGGTGAGGGCTTCAGACAGGAGATGCAGGGTGTGCTTGAGGCAAAGGTGGTGGCAGGAGCCAGAGCAGTGGATGAGATCCTGGTATCTCTTTTCCCCAGAGTAGATAAAAGAGAAGGTCAAAAAAATGGAGGAAAACAAGAAAGCACCAGGTGTCCTGGGAGCCCAGGATCTAGCTAGTATGTAAAGAAGTCAGGCCAATATGCAGGGCAAACTTCCTACCATGCCCCAGGGTGAAGATATCCCACCATGCCCTGGGGCCAACATCCCACTATGGCATCCCATTATGTGACATGCCCTGGGGGAAACACCCCGCTATCCCCTGGGGTGGAACACCCCAGGGCAAACCTGCTCTAGGGTGAATGCCCCACTATGCCCTCGGGCAAACTATGCTTCGGCCCTGAGGCAAACATCCCACCATGCCCTGGGGCAGGCCAGTCCACTGGGAAAATCTTGTTTCTTTGGAGTAGAGAATTAAAGAGATATTTTTGGGCCAGGTGCTCACACCTGTAACCCCAGCACTTTGGGAGACCGGATCACTTGAGGTCAAGAGTTTGAGACCAGCCTGGCCAACATGGGGAAACCCCACCTCTACTAAAAATACCAAAAAAAAAAAAAAAAAATAGCTGGACCTGGTGGCAGGCGCCTGTAGTCCAGGCTACTTGGGAGGCTGGGGCAGGAGAATCGTTTGAACCAGGGAGACAGAGGTTGCAGTGAGATGAGATTGTGCCACTGCACTCCAGCCTGGGTGACAGAGTGAGATTCTGTCTCAAAAAAATAAAACATTAAATTAAGAGACTTTTTGGGGAAATGGGAAAACAGTTATTGAATTACTACTTTATTTAATCCTCATATCAAATGCCTCAGAGAGACAAAGTACCCAAACTTTGAACTCACAGCTGGCCTATGTAGCTGGTAACTGGTGAGGCTGGGATTTGAACCAGGGCGGTCTGACCATGTAGCTGTGTCAGCTGCCCTTTCGGTAGTGCTGGGTCTTCTCTGTAGCAGCTGGAAGGTGCTCTTTCCTCACTTGCTGTCTTTCCATACTAGGGGAGCTCACTTCCTTACTTCCCAGGCCAGCCCTCTTATTGCTGCAAAGCTTGGGGTTCAAGGTAGCCGTGTCTTAGTTGTTCTCCCGCATTCATATTAATCCTGCCCATTGGGGTGGCCCACACACAACCCCATTCTGTGCTCCACAGGACAGCCTTTCCTGGGCTTGAAGACTGCCCCTGCCGCTCCCACCTCCTCTCATCCTTGAACTTGAGCTGGGGTTTCAGGATTCCTCTCCATCCTTATTCCGCAACCCTCAGGTTCTGAAAAACTGACACGTACATCCTCATGGGAATTTGGAAACAGGCCCTACTTCAAATAAATTCAATATGTGAAAACTGAGACCAACACGATGGCTTCCCCTCCTCCCCCTTTCCAAAGTTTCCCACTGTGGCCCAGGGCCTGGCTGCATGATGGGGCCTAAGGTCCCTTCCAGCCCTGAGACTCTGTGGTTCCAGCAATTCCTCTGCAAGGCCCTAAGCACTCCCCAAGGCCATGAGGTCTCCCTTTGAAAAAGGTGCCAGGCCTCCTTCCTTCCTAGCTTCACGGACTCAACCCCAGCCCCTTCCCTGCTCCTGCATGGCAGGCAGCGTGCTCAGCCCCCCCACTGGGCCGGAAGCACTCTTTGCACACACGTGGACTCCCCCTGCATCCCACAGCTGCAGCCCTAATCCTAGACTTGTTTAAAACTGAATTATGAGCCTGTCGTGTGGTAGCTCAGAAGCGGAGGCGGAAAAGGATTTACTGGCCGCATTAAATCATGTGCTTATTGTTAAGTGAGCTGGGCAAAGGAGGTGCTTAGAAGCTCTACATCCCTCCCCCTCCTCCCGACGTCCCACCAAAGTGCCCCCCACCCACCCACAAAGACCACCTCTGGGGTCCTATCAGTTTATTTCAGAGCCTCACACTGGTTCCCTTGGCCCCACATCCCTTGCAGTGGTGGACAGAGGTTATTTTGTCCCCATTGTACAGATAAGTAGACCCAACGTCTCAGAGAGGTGAGGCAATTTGCCTTCAATCGTACAGCGAGGATGAAATGGAAAGAAGAGGCTTCTTGGCCTAGTGCCCCTGTACCCCTGATTTTCCAAGCACAGTTGCACATAAAAGCACTCCAGGCACTTTTTTGGAAAGAACTCTTGAGCTTTAGGTATAAAGTTCATGTGACCCACAGCAGGCAGAGTTCAGCTCTCCCCGTGAAGGTCTCAGGCTATTCTGGTGAGACTCTTGAGAAAGCACAGAGGCCTGGCTTGGGGGTCAGGGAGAAATTCCAGGGTCCTGTGCCCCCTCCCAAACCCACTCCACACCAGTGCCGGTCAAATGCTGGAGGACAGGTTCACAGTCCAGTGTGAAATTCTCTTATAGGAAGCAATCAGGCAGCCCCTGTCCTCATCTCCATTCACTCTCAGCCAGTGCCCACCCCCTTCCCATCTCCGCACCCACAGTCTGGCTCCCCATGGCAGGCCACTGTTTGCTCCCACACTCTGCTCTCCCTCCTCACATTCCTGGCTGGTCCCCTCCCAACCCACTGTCTCTAGGCATCCCCCACTCACCCACCCCCGCAAGGTACCCCTGGCCAGACCCTGCCCTGAAGCTGGGACACTGTGAGATCCCCACCAGACCACCTTCCCGAGGGAACAGCTGAGCCCAGGGGGCTTGACCAGGGTACTCAGGCAGCCGGCAGGCAGCTCTTCGTATTGGCAGCATTGGTAGGACTCACTGCCCCTGAAAAGAATTCTGAGGCATCTTTGACTCTGTTTAGTGGGCATTTTTACAGCTTTTACAGCTGGAAAAGGGGCACAGCCAGTGAAGTGTGGCCCCTCGGCATTAGCAGCCCTTCTGCCTACCAGGAACACACTGTGACCTAGACCGAACCCCACAGCCCCATCTAAGTCCTCACGGGGACCCAGTTCCACCTGAGTTACCATTACCATACTGCAGGCACTTAAAGGCATTTCACATTCATAGTCTCACAGAAAGCCCATAACATTCCAGTTTGAGCAGGCTGGGGGTGGGGGGTATTATCCATTTTACAGGGCACGAGACTGAGGTCCACAGAGCAGAGCTGAGGTCAGCTGGAGGCAGTGACCCAGCAAGGGCAGGGACCCAGAAGTCCTCATCCCCATCTGGGTGCTCTCTGCCTAGGCAGAGAGGAGAAGTCTGCCCAGGTTCTGCAGAGTCTGACAGACAGATCATGACCCCACCGACCTCATCAGGGGTCATTTTCTGTTCAGCCAGAAAAAGACTCCTTGTCACAGTTGCCCACCCCCATCCTCACCTAGCAGGACTGAGCTGCAGAGTTAAGAGGAGAGCAAATATTCCCTGAAGGGTGGGCTTTCAAGTTACCCCCTTACAGGTGGGGCTGTGGACCTGTAGATTTAGGTCTACCGGCTTTCTCTGGAGTCGGCTCCTCAAGGACATTAAGGAAGGGCTTCAGTTCCCCACCAGCTGTTAAGAGCCCCTAGCTGGGTGAAGTGAGTCTCTCCCTGGAAAAGCAATGTCTTTGGCTGAGGAAGCCAGATTCACAGGGAGGGAGGGAGGGGAGTGTTCTGGGTCTCCTGGCTTCTGGGGGGTGGGGAGGGGTGAAGGGTGAGGCTGCAGGGGAGGGCTGTTGACCCCAGGCCCCAAAGTGCTGCTCAGCACCCCTCCTAAGAGGGTTCTCACTCCCACTCAAGCTAGGATAGGGCTGGGGAAGGTGGGGCAGTTGACAGAGTTGGGCCAAGAATTCAGGTGTTTCCAAAACAGGTGGTCAATAATGAGGAAATGGCCAGAAGGGAGGGAGGGAGAAGGGAGGTAGTAAAGAGTCTGGCAGGAAACCGAGAGGAAAGGGACAGGTAAATTGAGCGTGATGTCTGAGAGGGGTATTGGGACAGGCGTTTTACGTATCTAATTGTAACAACAGCCTTGAAGGAAGGTAGGAGCACCATTCTGTGGATTAGACTACCAAGACTTAGCAAGATTAACGTGACTTTCCATCAAGGTCATACGAAATGAATGACCCTCTAAGTCACAGAACTCAGGCTTAGGCTCTGTGACACCAAGCCTGGGACTCTTTCTTCCCCCACCAGACTCCCAGTCCTTGAGAGCTATATCCATTGATTCCCCCACCATATCTAGTACCAAGCTCAGGATTTCATAATATAGTAATAGGTGTTCAATAAATATTGTCGTCCTGATGACTTTCAAGCCTACAGTTTCCCTTGTTTAGAAAACAGCTAACAAATCCTAAGGCACACCTGCCTGGAGACAGTGTCTATACCTGGGCTCTGTGGAGGCTCCATTCCAGCCCTTCTATCCTTAATCTGCTCCCCAACCCCATAGTCATCCTGTACCATCGAGGCTCAGAAAGACTTCAATGTCTCCACCCATGAAATAACATGGGGTACAGAGTAGCCACCTAGCTTTCTCCCAGAGCTCCTGATCTGTGACTGAGGACCACAGCCTCCACCTTCCACCCTAGCACTGCTGTGCCAGGCATCTCAGATCAAAATATTCCCCAGAAGCACAGAAAGTCTAATTCATTTCATGTTTCAGGAGGAAGTCCCATGAAGAAATAAAGAACATGTGGTGAATCACAGAGAAGTGGCTGAAAAGATTCAAGCCTCAACCTTGGTCCTCCCTAGTCACATGACCACAGGCAAACCTCTTCTCTCTCAGCCTCAGTTTTTGCATCAGTGCAATAGGAATGGTATCTGCCATGCTAACCTCACAGGACTGCTGTGTGTTCAGATGAATCAGGTATGTGAAAGACACTTCTGCAAGCGGGAAAGAGGTGTGCAAAGGCAATTTGCTTTTACAGAACTTATATTACTGTCATTTCCCATCGTTATTTTAATGCTCAAAAGGTTTGGGAGACATTTCTGTAACTGAGGTGTTCATGGTAAGCCCACACTCACTCCTGCTTGGAAAAGGTTTTACATAGACTGAGGAGACCTGAGGCAGTTGCTGAGCTGCTTAGAACAGAGTCTCTGGGTCACAGCCATCCCATTACTGGGCATATCCCCAAAGGATTGTAAATCATGCTGCTATAAAGACACATGCACACGTATGTTTATTGCAGCACTATTCACAACAGCAAAGACTTGGAACCAACCCAAATGTCCATCAATGATAGACTGGATTAAGAAAATGTGGCACATATACACCATGGAATACTATGCAGCCATAAAAAAGGATGAATTCATGTCCTTTGTAGGGACATGGATGAAGCTGGAAACCATCATTCTGAGCAAACTATCGCAAGGACAGAAAACCAAACACTGCATGCTCTCACTCATGGGTGGGAATTGAACAATGAGAACACATGGACACAGTGTGGGGAATATCACACACTGGGGCCTGTCGTGGGGTGGGGGAAGCGGGGAGGGAGAGCATTAGGAGATATACCTAATGCAAATGATGAGTTAATGGGTGCAGCACACCAACATGGCACATGTATACATATGTAACAAACCTGCACGTTGTGCACATGTGCCCTAGAACTTAAAGTATAATAATAAAAATAAAAAATAAATCAAAAAATAAAAGAACAGTGTCTCCAGGTCAATAAATATTGGCTAAGAGAATGAATGAAGGAAAGAAGGAATGGCCTTTTTGTACTGTGCTAGATATTGAGGTGGTAGCGTGGGATCAGGACTCCTTTTATGGCCCCTGGGTCAGCAAATGAAAGCTCCTGAAACGCAGATGTCAAATTTGACTCTGATATAAGGTTCTTGCCAAGGATTGTGGGGAGAAAAGGGCCACAGAGACACAACCCTTTAGGAATTTTGAACCATTTCAGGAAACAATTCAGATAGCTCCAGGCAAAAAGGATGAGGGAGAAGAAGACACTGAAATTTGGGTCATTTACCGCCTGCCCCCATCATTTGCTCCTGTCCCCCTTTTCCCCTCCCCTGCCCTATCCCTGCTCCCTCCCCCCAACACCCTCTGGTACAGCCAGAACCTGGCCTTGGGTTGGGGACACTGGAGAGAGGCGTGGGAAAAACAATCAAACCTTGGTCAGCCGGATAATTAGCTGTTCCTCTGTGACCATGGCCTCCCTCTCCTCTCCGCTTCGCCGCCACCCTCTACCCCCGCCCCTGCAGGACAAGTGTTTCCAAATACCCTGGCGACATCACTTCATTAATGCTAATGGGAAGTCCGGACATGAGCTTGGACGGTCATAAATTGCCCTGTGTGAGAAAGGGTGAGAGTATTTGTGTGTACTGCCTATGTGTGTGCATGCTTCTGCAAGTGTTCACCACCTGTGTGTTGCATATATGAACATGTGTGTACTACACAAATGAGAAAGTATACATAATGCATGTGAGCTGTGTGTGCATGTTACTGCGTGTGTACACGTGGACTCAAGTGTTCTGCATGTGTGTGTGCCAGTGTGCAAGTATGTCTACTGCATGCATTCTGCATCTGTGTGGAGTGCGCATGCATATGTGTGCATGAGTGCAAACTGCCTTGCGTGCATGTGTTATTGCATATGTGCTTGCATATGCATACATACGCATACATATGTGCATGTGTGAGCTGAATATGTATACTGCATGTAGATGAATGTACATATGTGTGCACCCATAATAGCTCTGCAGTCATTTTTGCCTTTATCATAAGTGTATGTATATGATATACAGTATGCACTCTATGATATTTAGGCACCCACGTGTACATGCCTGGGAGTACACACATGATATACACATTATCAGTACATTCTATTGATATTGGTGCATTTCTGTGGGATTGTGTACCAGACGGCAGCTGAGCATCAGTGGTAAATACACTAAATGGTGTGGTAACAAGGAGCTTAGGCTCTGTAGCCAGACTGCATGAGTTCAAATCCCACTTCTGCCCCTTACTTGCTGTGCACATGACCTTGGGCAAGATATGTGACTTCTTTGGGCCTTAGTGTCTTCATCTCTAAAACAGAGATAATGATTCGTATGTCCCATATGGTTGTTGTGAGGACTAAATAGCAATTCATATGAAGTGTTTAAAATAATACCTGGCACATATCAAGCACCCAATAAATGTTGGTTATTATTACAACATCATTAATAGATCTGTGTATACATGGAAACCTGTGCATGTCTGGGGCATGCGCTATGGAAATCTGGGTGTCTGGTATGTGCACATGGCCCATGTTTATATCTAAGCCAGTGTGTGAATAGAGCTGTGAGTCTGGGAGCATGTGTAATATCCATGCCACGTGGATTTCTGGGTCCTCCCACACATACCTACAGGTGTCCTGGCACTCTGACAGTGGCGGACAGCAGGGCAGCTGCAGCCTTGCCTCACTCCCACCCCCTGGAGCTCAGTGAAGAGGGCTGCTCTGAGGAGGGAGGCTGGCTGTAGCCACACCTACCCATGCCACGTCTCGCGTGGTCCACAGTGCATAATACACACACATTGGTCTGACCAGCACCACCTGCTGCCCCTTGTGAGGGACGAGCTGGTGAGTGGAGAGCCCCACTTCCTTCTCCCTCTCCCTACAAATCCGGTCAGTCTCCAAGTTCTGTCAGCTCCGACCCTGAATCTCTCAATTTGTCCATTCCCCTCTCTGTCTCCTCTCATGACAGCAATAGCCTCTTGTCCCTCCTAATCCACTCTCCACGCTGCAGAGAAAGTGATCTCTTAGAAATGCAAATCTCATCACCTTGCTCACTCCCCTGCCTAAACCCCTTTAATAGCTAGCTTTGCATTGCTCTTGGAATAAGGTCTAAAATCCCTTCCAAAGCATAGGAGGGGCTGGCCTGCCCACCCCAGCCACAGCTTCCACCCTCTCAGCCACTCCCAGCTCCTGCTCCCCCTCTCCTCACCCCCACTTTGGTCTTTGGTTCCCTCTGCCTGGAATGCTCTTCACCACCTTCACATCAAAACTCTCTGGGACATCTTTACTTACAGACTGCCCCCCAATTCATATTTTCATGTTGCCCTGTAATAATTCTCACCTCTGCCATCAACACACAGGCAGTTCAATAACTGCTGCCGTGTCATCCTCATCTCCCCTAAGCATGATGAGCACTGAAGGTGTCGGGCCATCCCTGTGTTTCTGGGCCCATGTCCCATGTTGGCCAGGCACCTGCGGTGCACCAGCAGTTGTGCTGAGCCTGAGGATTCAAGGCCCCAGCTGTCAAGAAGTTTGTAGTCTCTTGGAAGAGACAGACAGACACAAAGCATACTGTGAAATTGGTCAATGCACCCATAGAGTGAGGAGGGGCCTGAGGGAGGATTCCAGGGGCCTTGCCAGAGGGGACCTTGAGAAATGAAGCGTAAGCCTGGAAAGGGAATTCCAGACCTGGGAAGAGCAGGAACAAAAGTTCAAAGGGAGGAGATCGCAGTGCGCGTGCAGCTTGCTATTGCTGCGGCGAAAACTGTAACACGGGAAGCACTAAGAGACAGAACCGGGAAGGTCCGTAGGGACTAGACTGTGGGAACTTGAAGAATTTCTCCTTTGCTTGGACTGATCACACATCCATCCACTTAAGATTTCAAAGTCCCAGCTGTGATAGGGTCACTCCTGTCCATCAGGCTTCATGTGACTGAGAGGAGGCTTCCCTGATGCCTGATGGAACCAGTTCAAGGACTCCTTGGGATGGCCATTGAGTCCATGGCCCCAGATTCCCACTTTATTAGCAGGAAGGAGAGGCCCAGAGAGGAGCAGTGGTTTCTCTCAAACTCACAGCTCAGCCAAGTGTGGAGTCGAGAGGCGGGACTCAGCTCTGAGTCCAAATTGGGCCACCCAGCCTGCTCGGAGCCTGTGCCCAAAGGTCAGGGGTCAGGGGTCAGGCAGCTCCTTCCCCAGGAAGGCTCCAGTTGCCTCTGGGTGGAAGGAACAGCCCCTCACACAGCCCCCAGGCAAGAACTCAGGCAGGGCAGCAGGTTAGCTCTCTGAGGAGGCCCAGGCAGAGACTAAAAGGGGTGGGGGGCCTCTGCTCGAAGGCCAGGAGCTTTAATTCCCCGCTTTCAGTTGCTATTGCTAATTCAGGTCCCAAGGGGCTTGCTGAGTTTGTCCTGGACTCAGCCACTTAATCTTCTAATACCTCCCAGCAAAGCCCCTTTGTTCTCCCTCTTGCATAAGGTGGTAGGAACTGTGCAGCCTCCTCCCCTCTGCACCTCCCTCATCACTCAGCCTGAAGCCCCTGCTGGTGGTGGCGGCTGCACCTCCAATCCCTCCTGGGCCCCCAAGAACTTTCCAGCAGGGGATGTTTAAGGCAGTTAGCCACTCTAAAGACACACTTCTGAGTCTGTCTTGCCCCTATCTTTTGGAGGCCTGGCATTGCACTGCAGTGACTCTGTGCCGGAGGGCTCCCTAAACTGTGGCTTTTACCCATCTTGGCAATAGGAAGGCCTTGGCTGGCTCAGGGAACCTTCCAGTGGTGAGGCACGTGCCCTCTGACCGCCCAGGAGCGATCTGGCAGGGGGTCTCCCTCTCCTCCTTCCCCACCCCTAGGGTAATAAGGGCCAGCTTCTCAGACTGCAGCTTGGGCTCAGTCAAGAGCCCCACACTTGGTTTAATGTTCTACTGTCACCATCTTGAAATTGTTTGTTTTTGAACAAATGGTCTGCCATTTTCATTTTGTAGTGGGCACCACGAGTTTTGCAGC
The DNA here is from genome assembly GCF_000001405.40 of Homo sapiens. Classification (NCBI taxonomy): domain Eukaryota; kingdom Metazoa; phylum Chordata; class Mammalia; order Primates; family Hominidae; genus Homo; species Homo sapiens. The sequence goes on along the minus strand of NC_000006.12, from coordinate 43,858,165 downwards.
TGATCCTGCCTAGAGTTTTGTGGGAAGCCCAGGAGGCAGCCAGCCTGGGGACCTGAGGAAAGCTGGGTTCTGGTCCCAGCTCAGCCCTGGCTGGATGAGTGAACTTTGGCAAGCCCTTGTCTTCCCTCTGGAACTCAGTTTCCCCAAGTTACATCAGTTTAGCTAACATTGACACAATACTAAATATGCTGTCTAAAACTGCCCCAAAAGCCGAGCTCAGCAGGGGCCTAAGTAAGATGGGGATTATTGAAAGATAAGTGATGGGGAGGGGACAAAAAAAGAGAAGGGGGCCTTCAGTGCTTGCCCATCTGGACTCTTACAGGAGTCTGGTGGAAGGAGTTTGGGGAAAGCAGAAGCAAGATGCCTGTCCTGGGCCTCGGCATCCCTTACCTGGGAGCTTGGAAGGCCAGGCAGGGAGAGCAGATAGCCAAACTGGCCATGAGCATAGAGGGAGGGCGCTTGATCCAGATCCCCATTACCCCTATTCAAGGCACCCCCTCATGGGCCAAGCCCCCTGGGGCAGGACAGCCCTCTGCTAACATCCTTGCCTCTACTAGGTGTTGGGGTAGGGTTCTGCTTGTGGGAACATCAAGGGGTCAATGGCTCACATGGGCCAGGGCAGACCCGCTCCACCTTTCCAGGTTCTGGAAAGACCCAGAGCCTACCCAGGGCATGATCACACCCACCAACAGTTCCCCCAGACCCAAAGGGTTATGGTTCCATGTCCAGCTGCCATTCTCCCAACCCCTGATCTATACCCCCTTCTCACTGAATACTGAATTAGCCCAAAAGCCAGGAAAGAGGCCCTGGAGGAAATGGTGGCTCCTCCTTGGGAACTGCAGGCTGCCCTCACCCAGAGCCCTTTGAGTCAGGGCCTGGCTTATGCTTGCTGACACATGGCTTCTATGGGTCCCTGAGGAATCAGCTGGCTTTCCTACCTGCTGCAAAGGAGCAGGGCGGGGAACTGCACAGCATGGGAGCATCCTGGGGGCCAGGATGCATTTGCTGTCTCCTCCACTTCCCCTTCAGTAGTTAGGACAGGGCTCTCTACACAGTTGGGATGGACAGAGGTCCCAGTGGGTCTTGGGCTTATTATCAATACTGCTCATGGGCCAGCTGTATCCCAGCTTCCCAGGAAAAAGAGACCAGGCCTGCCTGTAAGCTCTGCTAAGGACCAGAACCCTGCTTACCTGGTTCACCATCAAATCCCAGGTCCTAGCACAGTGCCTGGCTTGCAGTAGCTGCCCCATAAGATTTGTTAAACAAATGAATGAACTGAATTTAGTCTTCAATTTCATTAAATGAATAAATGAAGTAGCAACTGGAAGCTTCCAAGTCAGAGCCAAAAAGATCTTCCTCACTTTTACACAGTCATGTTTAACCAAACATAGTTGTTCTCTTGCCTGTGGTTTGCTCTCTGAAGTTGGAGCTGATACTGAATGAATGAAGAGGGGTTGGCGTGCCCCTTGTCCCAAGGCTAGGGAAAGGCTGCACAACCTCTCCAGGGCCTCCAGGTGACAGCAACTCATACTCCCAGAACACCAAGACAGAAGGCACCCTGGACAACCATAACCAAACTCCTCAGACTCAGCTGAGGTGACTAAGGCCCAAAGAAGGGAAGGGACCTGCCCTAAGTCCCACAGTGAGTTGGTAGGGGAAGTAGGACTAGAACTCAGGATTCCTGACTCTCTGCCTGGAGCTCTTTCCATCCTGTCAGGCCCAGACATGAGTCTAGTTTCCCTCCTGGTCAGGCAGGCCTTTTCTAGGACCTGGGCCCTGGCTGTCCCTAGCAGTGACAGCCTGGCCACCTGCTGGCCAGAATGCTTGCAATTGCCAGGGAAGCGGTAGGTTTGCGGTTTGTTTGGACTCAGGCGGCCTTGCACAACTGTGAGGTCTGTAGGAAGCTGGGCAGGCCCCTCTCATCTCCATCCCTGCTCTGCAGACAGAGGACTGGCCGGCTGCAGGGCACACAGGGCCAAGGCACCAGGTTGGCAGGAGAAACTCAGGGCCTGACTGTTTATAGTGGGGATAGCTCCCCAGGCTCTGTCATCAGACCTCACGCAAGGTAGGATGTCACAGACAGCAGCCCAGGCAGCAAAGGGAATGGTGGCTAAGGCCCTGGGCAGGGAGACCAGGCTCTGACCCCCCAGTTACATCCTTGGAATGAGCTCTGGCTTCCGCCCTCTCCTGGACTGCACAATCTGACAGCTTCTATTATAGGCTCTCTCATTCTCGCCACAACTCGGCCATAAATATTAGATTGCTCCCATTCTACAGATAGGCCAATGAGTCCTAAGTAGGTTCAGTGCCTTGCCGGAACTCCAACAGCAAGAAATCCAAGTCCAGGTCTGTCTTGGAAGCCTTCTCCCTTCCCCAAATTTTACAATTTTACATTCGAGTAGCTTGTGACACTGTCCAGTTCTTCTGGCAGCCTTCCCAGAGCTCCCTGTTAGGAAAAGTGCATGGAACCCACTGCCATGGGAAAGATGCATCAGACACTGATGCTACTGGATGGTGTCAGGCTGACAGATCTGACTAGGTCATTCCCTTCCAGCAGACATCTGCTATGGCTCCCCATTACCCCAGTTCCCCACCACACTGCTGCGATGTCACCCCTGCAGGCCTCTCCAGCCTGAGCCCACACTCTCCCTGCTTTGAACCTCAGGATCTAGCCCCTAGCAGGTGGTTTCTAAAGCAGCCCTCGCCATGTGGTTTCTAGCCTCCAGGCTTACGTGCAGGCTGTATTCTCTACCCGGACATCCCCAGCACACTCCCCACTTCTCTAATTTAAAACTCAGATAAAGTATGACCACTTTCATGTAGACTTCCCTGCCTTCTATAGACCCGCTAAGACTGAAGCAGGTCCCCCTCCTATCCCCTATAATCCCTTGGCATACTCGTACCATACTAGAGAAAAATGATCTGCTTCTTTGCCATCCACTTGTCTATACCATGAACCATCCTTCCACCTCTGGGTCCCTGTGCCTAGCACTGTACTGGGTGCCCAATGGGTGTTCAGTGAACGTTTGTTGAATTAATGAATGAATGAAATGAAGAGATGCCCTGGGGAGGGAGCCTCTGGAGGCATGGGAGTGTCCAGGGGAGCTGTGGATGTCCCCTCCCAGCTGGAGAACCCCAGAAAATCCCTACCTCTCTGGAAACTCTGGGCTGAAACCAACAAGGTAGAATTGAACTGGGATAAACATAAGAACTTCCTGGCAGTATCCACTTCCTGTGGGGTCTGTGACCCAGGTGCCTCACAGCCCAGCTTAGAGAAATGGAAGGTCACCTCCAGCCCTCTGTGCATGAGGATCTGGAATCTCAGGACCAGCCAGAAAGGGTATTGCCTCCAGGAGCTCCTGGGACATAGTCCAGTCCTGTCCCCACCTCTGAGCAGCACAATACCTCAAGCTCCTGCCCCATAGGGAGCAGAAAGGCCCAGAAATCTGTTCACTTTGAGAAGGAAGAATGGAAACATTCAATAAAGAAATATTTCTGGAAACTTCCAGAAGCATGACACATGGCGGTCAGCCCCAGAGGGGACAGTCATCCTTTATGACCTCCCTGCCTTCAGTGAGGTCCTCAAGATGACTGAGCGCTTCAGCACCAGGATTCTTAACCAAGGAGCAGGTAGGAGAGAGAAATGTGCTGTCTGCAAAAGTGTAATCAATATGGTAATATCCGGGAAATGAAAACACGCACACACCCTGTTGTTACAAATATACCAACTGCAGACAAAGGTCTTAGCTGGTGAAACTATGCAGGGAGAGTGGGACAAAGCACAAGGCCATGGTTTAAACAAAGCTGACTGCACTGCTCGAGCAGTGCTTTTCAGGATGACTGTTTATAGACAATTGGTGAGTTATTAATACTAATGGCTGTCGTGCATTGTTCCTTCCTTACCACCAGACGAAGACAGCAGTTTTAGATGCATTCTTTTCCTTTGCCCCATTTAATGTATTAATTATGCTTTGCGGACGGGCGCGGTGGCTCATGCCTGTAATCCCAACACTTTGGGAGGCTGAGGCGGGTGGATCACAAGGTCAGAAGATCGAGACCAGCCTGGCCAACATGGTGAAACCCCGTCTCTACTAAAAATACAAAAAAAAAAATTAGCCAGGTATGGCAGCGCATGCCTGTAATCCCACTCCTTGGGAGGCTGAGGCAGGAGAATCGCTTGAATCCGGGAGGCGGAGATTGCAGTGAGCCAAGATCGCGCCACTGCACACCAGCCTGGCAACAAAGCGAGATTCCATCTCGAAAAAAAAAAAAAAGTATGCTTTGCTTTACACCTCTACTCTCAGACCTAATCTTTTGTGTGCTTGCTGGAATTCTACCTTGCCAATCATGTGAAAAGGCTTTGGGGTGGCTAGACAGGTACGTTCCATACAATTTTTGCAAAAAGACAACCAAGTTTTCTTCAACAATGAGGCAGAAATTCCCTGTTGCTTCCTCACAAGGTCTTCTTGGGTCTTCTCTGAAAACAGCCATGCATACCTTTTCTTCCAGATGCCCTGGAAGATGCCCACCGGCTTGCTGAACTCACCAGACAGCATTATGGGTGTTTCCTGCAATCCTTTTTTAACTTGATGGGCCTTTTGAGGACAGGTCCCAAGAGCATGGCTCTAAACTACCACAGCAGAATCACTAGGAAACTTTATTAAAAGTGCAGATTCCTGGGCAGCTCCTATCGCCTTTCTGCTCCAGAATACCCAAGAGTGGGGCCCAGGAGTCAGCCTTTTTCACAAGCTACCCAGTTGATTCTTCTGTGCACTCAATTTTGAGAACCTCTGGCCTAAAGCATGGCAGGTATTTGGGAAATATTTGCAGAATGAACTGTTGGTGAATGAGTTTCGAGAAGTGCAGTGCAAACAGAAGCGCCATCTGTGGTGGAGTTGCTCAGGATTCTTCCTGGCTATAGAACTGGGCAATGTTGCCTCTGAGCCACTCACTGGACCTTGCCTGGGCACCACACTTTGTCCCCATGCGGCTCAGGCTGGTGTTCCTTGTGACTCCTCAAGCTGAAGCTAAGGCTGGGAGTGATGAAGTGCCCCACTTTGCCCCAGGTAACTCCTGCAGGTGGGTACCCAGAGTAGGTGGCCAGGGGATCATCAAACTCTTTCCCCTTCAAACTGCAAACTGTATTCTCTGCCTTCTATGCCCAGCTGGGCTAGGGTAACCTTCTGTGGCCTAGTCATAGGTTCAGTTTCAGTGCAAAACACACGCCTACCCCTCAATGCTCATTGACTCCTATTCTGGGTATAGATTACTCCATTTCTGGGTACAGTCTGATCCTTGATCCTGGATACAAACTGGCTCTTAATCCTAGGTATAGACTGATCCCTAATCCTAGGTACAGTCCTGGATTAGGGATCCATATTCCTTGTCCTGGGTACAGATTGGTTCCTAAGCTTGGATACAGACTGACCTCCTACTTCTCGGTATAAACTTAACGCTGGTCCTGGGTACAGACTGACCCTTAGTCCTACCTAGTCAAAGTCTAATCCCTTTAACCCAGAAAACAGGCTGACACATAACCCTGGTCAGAGCCTGACCCTAAACCCAGATCTCAGACCCTTAATTCTAACCACAGACTGGCCCAACCCTGCAGAGATTGTCCATGACCCTGACCACAGACTGACCTAAATGAGGCTGGTCTAGGAGTGCATGCGGGAATTGGAAATAGATGTCCTGCCCATGGAGGCCAGAGAGCTGTGTCCACAAAAGGACAGGGTGTGACCAGCCAGAGTTGCCGGAGTTTTGGCAACTTGTGTCTTCCATAATAGAGCTGGGGCATTGATGGAAATGGAGGGTGCTAGAACCTTGTGACTTTGGCCAGGCACCAATCATCTGCCTCCTTCTGTGCCTGCCTGGCTGCCCCTACCCTGGGGCTCCCTCCTAGCCCCCACCTCACCTACTGGCTCACTGAGACAGAGCCAAACATGAAAGGGAAGGTGACGGCCTGGCCATAGGGCCCAGGAAAATGCAGGTATCATTAACAGCCTGGAGCACTGTGGCCTGTCCACTCTCAACCCTCTGCTGCCCACCCCTTCCTGGAATAGACCCCAGGCCACATACAGAGGGGGCAAGCCCAAGGTATGATACCAGCAGGGCCAAGTGGACTGTCCAGATGGGTAACGGGGGCCTGCCTTCCTCTGGCCTCCACATAGGGGCCGCAGGTGTTCACATGGTTGGAAATGGGAGGGCCAATGCTGTTCATAGGCCGCTGTCTGGTCCACAGGACTCAACTGGCCCTCCGAACGCTATCCCACTTTCCAGCCAGGATTGAAGGAGATCCCATCTTGGGTCTAAAGGAATGGGGGTGAAGACTGCATCTTGTCGTTCCAGTTCCACCCCATTCTGGCATGGGAAGCATGTGTGGGCTTCTACTCTATGGGAGATTCATAGCCTCAATCCTTAAGGAATTCTCAATCTGAAAGGAAAACACAAACCCTGACCTCAGGGAGCTCCCAGTTTGACAGTGGAGACAGAGAGGCCCTGCATCAAGTAGAAAAACAACCCCCACTGCTCTCAAGCACACAGCAATGAAGATATGTATCCTTGGTGCTACAGGCAAGTAAGTAGGAAAGACTGAATGGAGTAGACAGAGAAGTCTAATCCAGGTGGCCTCCTTGGAGGAGATGATACTCCTGTCTGCAGGAAGACCACCCCACATACACACCCGTTCACTGGCCCTGCGACCACCCCAGCCCCAGGAATGCTCAGGGCCCAGACCATTTCCCTCTCTCTGCCCAGTGCCCGGTAATCCTGAGGCCTGTACTCCTTCCCCCTGGGGAGTTGAGGATGGGTGGGGGACGGAACGGGCCTCCCAGGCATTCCTCCTGCATTCCTGGGGCCATGCCCTCCTTCCTCCCGGCCTCAGCCTGGCCATAAACTATTTCAGGCTTGCAAAATCTGGTCTGCTGCTCTCTTGCTCATAGCCCCCAGCGAGGCGGAGGCGTGGGTCCAGGCCAGAAAACCCGTAGCACCCACAGAGTCCAGAGGGTTCTGGTCAACTAGGACAGAGGAAACTGGGTGACCTCTTGGGCAAATGAACATACAGGGGCTGGGGAGCAGAGAGGATGGGGACTGGCCCCTCCACAGGGCAGCAGCCACAGGGCCCCACTTCCCAGAGAATGTACCCTGGGAAAAGGGAGAAAGGACTGGGAAGACAGGCCAGCTCATGTTTGGGGGTCCAGCAGTGGGCTGAGGGTGTTCAGACAGATTACTTCATATGAGACTCACCTCCCTCCTGACACGAGGCCCCCATGCCCAGGTTCATGTTATCATCCCCACTTTACAGATGAGAAAATTAAGCCTTCGACCAAAGCTCTTTTTGGGGCTTATGTAACGCCTCGCCACTCTGCCCATATGAAGTGCAGGGACTGGAGTCTGGCCTTTTGCCTCTCTACACCAGCCCCCACTCTGCAGCCTACCCCAAATGTCAATAAATGGCAGTGTTCTTTCTCTGTCAGCCCCACCTGCACAGCCTGCCCTAGACACCCAGTGCCCAGAGCCTCCACAGTACTCGTTCACCCTCTCCTCCTAGGATTCCCCTCCAAGTCCCCACACCCTGCCTCCCAAATGAGCTTCTACCTTCCTCCCCACTGCCACCTCCCTGGTCACAAGCTACTGTGTTCACACTCCCACTCTCCTCAGTGCCGTGGGGGCTTCCCTGATTCTGCTCTGGGAGTTCCTTGGAGAGGACTCTTAATTCTCATCCCTAGCTTCTCCTCCCCTGGGGTGAGCTTCCAGAGTCAGCGCCAGTGGGACCTGGGTGAGGGGATCCCTCCCACCCCCCAGGCAACTGGGGCCCAGAAGAAAGGGCCTGAAGCCACCTGAGCCAGGGTCTAGGGGCCAGGTCTGACACCTTTCTGTTTCACCAGGGTCTGGAATGGAGAGGGCACATCAGAGAGGCGACCAGCAAATGAATGAATGAATCCCACCATTCTGTGTTTTAGATGCTGACGATACGACAGTGAATACAACATGAAAAAACAAGCACACTTCTCACCCCTATGGAGCTTTATTCTGGTCAGGCAGAAGGAGAAGGAAATGTAAACATGCAAGGTCAGGTACTGCTGTGAAGCAAAATAAAGCTGTGGGTACTGTGCGAAGGATAGGCTGTGTGTGTGTGTGTCTGTGTGCGTGTGTGTGTGTGTGTTGTGCATATTAAGTCAAAAAATGAATCTGGATGATCCTGGGCCAGGTCTGACCCCAGCATTGCCACTGACTGTATAATCTCAAGCAAGTCATGCCTCCCCTCTGGGCCTCACTTTCCTCATCTGTAAAGTGAGACCGTGGACTGAAAGGCCATTGTGATCTGGCCTCAGTCTTGACCCTCCAGGATCTAACACATTTTGCCTCTGTGAATTTAATGGGGGGAATTATAGGCAGCTTAGAAGCAGTTCTGAAGGAGAACCTCTCTGCTCCAGCAATTCCCTGAGGTTCCAATTTTTCTGTTGATGTCACATAATGTGCATAGATTTGCATACTAGGCCCCCAAACTCCCAGGGAAGGCACGTCTCAAAAATGTCAACGATTAGCACAAATGACTTGACTTATATTCAGGCCTCTTCCCAGAGCAAGGGGAGGAAGTTGAGGTCACCTCCAGCTACAAAGAAAGCAGAATTCTTTGCCCTGAAGAGGCAGAGAGAGGAGCCCTGCTTCTTCTCCTCTCCCTGGTGCCCTCCAGCCCATTCCCTCATCTCTGCTCAGACACCCCTGGCTGGACTCCCCAACAAATGCCCAGGGGGACCTCCTAAAGACCTACTCCGAGTCACTTGATGACTTTGCCTAAGCCCCTAACAGGAGCTGCGTGACCCTGCCCTGCCCTGTTAGTGTCCAGAGCAGCAGCTTTCAGGGTTTACAGAAGCCTGGGGGATCCAGAGCACCTCCAACTCCAGTCCCGCCACCTCAGCCCATGCCAGGCCAATCCTAGAGGCTCCAACCTCTAATACCTCCCAAGGTCGGTAAACATTGCCACTTCCCCTCACAATGGCCGCCTGGTCAGGATTTGCAAATCACACACTCACATACATACTAACACATACACACGGAGGGGCTTGTGCATGCTTTCACACACACAGCATACTCACTCATGCACACACAAACACACACTGAGGTGCACTGAAGACTCCCACCCAGGACAAATGATCTGTGGGGAAAAGGAAATTAATGTTCATAGGGTGCTTTACTTATGCCCATCTCGTCTAATCCTCTCCACACCCTAGGAGCAACTTTTTGGCACTCCCATTTTGCAGAAGAGGAAACAGCCTGCCTAGGTCTGCTGATTCCTGTCCTGGTGAGCTCACTGCCCCATACTCCCACCCTTGTACACAAATGGAGGTGCTCTTACAGAAGTTCTGAGCCTGATTCTGCTGCTGCTTCTCCAGCTAACCTTAGGTACAACTCTCCCCCTCCCAAGGCCTCAGTTTCCTCATCTAGGTAATGGGAATCCTAATGCCTTTCTTTTCTCTGCATAGGCTTAAACCAGATGGCCCATGACAAGCCCTTCCAATTCCCGTGTCCCAGAGATGCCAAATTTGAGCCCCAGTCACCCACCATGAACCTGCCACCTATTCCAGGAACCTGGCCAGGAAGCCCAGGATGGGCTTCTTACCTTGTCTTCCCATTGGGGTGGGTCTCAGAGGAGGCCAAGCTGGGCAGAGCTCTCTCTCTCATTGGCCCTCAGGTACCACCCCCATTAGTGCTGACTTACAGCTTTGCACTGCTGCTGACATCAGCACCCATCTGTCTGTTGTGGTAAGAGAGGCCTCCTAGGGAAACAGGTTTGCTAAATCTCAGCCAGGAAGGACCTCCCAGCTGGGCTGTTGGGGCAAGTTTGGTAAATACCCTCAACAGGCACCTTTGGAAGCAGGAGCGGGTGATCAGAAAGCAATGCCTCCCCCAAGCAACCCTCTCACCTCCCTAGCCACCCCCAACCATGATCAAATTCCTATCCCTGGCTTTGGACTTTCCAGCTGGTTCCCTGAGCTACTCAGCCCATCATCCCAATAACCAGCTTCCTACAACGTCCATCTCCTATACCACCATCCCCCCAACCACTGCTGTCACCATCCTCTGTCACCTCCAATCATCAAAACCCCATCCGCCCCCACCTTCCTCCTCCTTCTTCATTCTCATCCCTACCATGAGCAGCACTCATCCATTCCAACTCAAAAGGTCACTATCTAATCCACGATCTATCTTACTTCCTGCCTAAATTCTTTATGGAGCAATAAACTTCCACTGGAATGATACCCAGACCACAAATCTGGGACCCAGTGACAGTTCCAGGAGGCCATGGTGCACCGTCTGTGGCTCAGTTGGTTTCCAATGGGGTCTATTCATATGGCATCTGTAAACACTCACATGATGCAGATGCTTCCCTTACTTAATACCCATCTGGCCCAGGGTGGGCTGAGGGTGGCCCAGCTGGATGCAGCACTATCCCTAATCTCTCAGAGCAAGCAGCAAGCAGCAAGCAGCATACCTGGCTTGTTTAAACACACACTTTGCCAGATGCTGAAGAACAACTAAAAGTGATCACAGTAGATCTGCTACCCTGATCAATCTTGCCTGTCTAAAGCTCAGATAAGTCTGTATAGGACTCTGTTTCCAAATCTGTCATTTCTGATGGTACATATGCTGGACTTTTCCTTGCAGGGCAAGCTAAAGTCAATGGAGTTCACACCCCAAGCAAGAGAAGAGCTTGCCCTAGCCTTCATCCAGCCTCATGTGTCTGCGATTTGGCTAGAAATTGTTCAGGGGAATCTTAATTAGCATTCACCTGTGGTGTTGTGTTAAAAAAACAAAAAAACAAAAAACACCTCACTTCAGGTTCCAAAGTCTGAGTTGGAGTAAAAAGATTGTTGGAATCCAGGATCCACCATACAACTGCTAAGCCTGTTTCTTCATCTGTAAAATGAGAATGACAATGTCTACCTCATAGGATAGGTTTGAGGGTAGAGTGTGTTAAAGAACTCTTAAGGACCTTTTGTCAGACCCAGCTTGACCACAAGATTGAGCTGAATCTGAATAAACATTCTAGAACACTGCCAGAAAAGCTACATTTACTATCTCGTCTGACCTATGTAATTTGCAGAGTTCTTTTTACATGGGTTACTTCCAAAATCAAAATTAACGTTATTACTGATGCTCAGTTAAAACAGCGTAGTAACTTCTGATTATTTCTCTCATGAAACTACCTATTTAGTTTTATACAGTCATGTACCGCATAATGATGTTTCAGCCAACGATAAACTGCACATATAACGGTGGTCCCGTAAGATGATAATGGAGCTGAAAAATTCCTAGCGCCTAGTGACATTGTAGTGCAATGCATTACTCATGTTTGTGGTGATGCTGGTATAAACAAACCTACTGCATTACCAGCCACATAAAAGTACAGCATATACAGTGATGTACAGTACATAATACTTGATAATGATCGTAAACCACTATGATACTGGTTTATGTATTTACTATACTTTTTATTGTTATTTTAGAGTATACTCCTTACACTTTTATGTTAACTGTAAAACAGCCTCAGGCAGGCCCGTCAGAAGGTATCCGGAAGAAGGCATTGTTGTCATAGGAGATGACAGCTCCATGCCTGTTACTGCCCCTGAAGACCTTCCAGTGCAGAAGATGTGGAGGTGGAAGGCAGTGGATGTTAATGATCCTGACCTCAAATAGGCCTAGGCTACCGTATATGTTTGTGTCTTCGTTTTTCACAAAAAAAAATTTAAATTTAAAAACAGAAAACAGCTTATAGAATAAGGACGTAAAAAAGAAAATATTTTTGTAGAGCTGTACCATGCGTTTGTGTTTTAAGCTGTGTTCACAAAAGAGTCAAAAAGTTTTTAAGATTTTTTTAAGTTTATAGGGTAAAAAAGCTGTATTAAGCTATGGTTAATTTATTACTGAAAAAAGAAATGTTTAAAATAAATGTAGTGTAGCCTAAATGCACAGTGTTTATAGGGTCTACAGTAGTGCACAGCAATGTCCCAGACCTACACACTCACACACTCACTCACTGACGTACCCAAAGCAACTTCCAGTCCTGCAAGCTCCATTCATGGTAAGTGCTCTCTATAGGTGTACCATTTTTTATCATTCATACCGTATTTGTACTGTACCTTTTCTATATTTACATATGTTTTGTATGTTAGACATACAAATACTTACCACTGTGTTACAATTGCCTCCAGTATTCAGTAGAGTAACACACTGTATGTGTTCATAGCCTAGGTGTATAGCAGGCTAGACCATCTAGGTATGTGTAAGTGTACTCTATGATGTTTCACATGACGAAATTGCTCAACAATGCATTTCTCAGGATGTGTCCCCATCGTTAGGTGATGCATGACTCTACTCTGACATCCTCTCCAGCTTTCATCTGTTTTTATTTTTATGATGTGCTGAAGACAGGACATTGTATCTGCTCTTCCCTCTGTAAGTCTTGCCATGCCCTTTGGCCAAAGGCAACTCAAATATGGACTTCCTACTGTCACCATCAAGGTCACTATGATCTAAGTGTTTTTTAGGGCTTGTGCAGAGAAGGAAGAAGATGCCCCCTGCCTTCTCTGCTCCCCATCATGTAGGAAAGAAGACACAGGCTGAGCCCCGGGAGGAGAGATCAAAGCTTTGGATCTGAAAGAGTGGTTCCAGCCCAGCAGCATGAACATGGCCTGGGAATGTGTTAGACATGCAGGTTCTCAGGCCCCACCCCACACCTGCTGGATCAAAAACTCTGATTTCTGCACTTGAGCATACATCACTCAAGTTTGAGAACCACTGCATTAGAGAACAGAAACCCTCAACCATAGCATGCAGGAACAGCGAAGCCATGAAGACACATCCAGGTCTGAGGAAGTCATTTTAGCCTGGAAAGGAAAAGAAGGAGGGCATCATCGGCATAGGCCTGGGAGCCCCCCACACTCAGCACTCCTGAAAGCGCACAGACAGGGAGGTCTGGGGTCTGGAAAAACAACAGGAATCTTGGGAATTATAAGGCTGAGAAGGAGGTGGGGAGGAGGCAACGTGCCTGGCTGCTGCTCAGTCCTCCTCACTGGCAGGGGGTCCCAGCAGCCTTGTTCCCCAGGCCCATGCTGAATTTGCTAGTGATGCTGGCATTCCCAGCTGTGGTTCGGCACCAAGGTCCAGTGACCCCCCTAGACCCAGCCCAGGGCCATTTCCCTAATAGAGACCTAACCAGAGGGCCAGAGTTTGGGGTGCTGACGCATTGACTATGTAAGGGCCCCGACCCACTACCCCATCCACTGTCCTCCCTGCCCCCTCCCCATGTGCCTGGGGCTTTCCCAGGAGTTGGAGCCACACTGAAGGGACATAGAAGCCACAATTCTTGCCCTCAGAGAGCCCAGCAAGCTGCTGGGGAGATGGATACTGAAGACCACCAGTTCCCAAGTCCTAAACCATGTGCCAGACATCGTGCTGAGCTCTTTGTGAACATTATAGGATTAAATGAGACAGTCACCCTGAAACAGATACAAACCCAGAGCAGAGAAGGGTCAGCACAGGAGGAATCTAACTGGCAAGGTGTACCACGGGCACCTGAGAGCCGGGCAGTCAAGAAGTTTCCCAAAGGGAAGGAGGCCCATTGCTGACTTGGAGACAGAGAATATGGAGGCAACAAGTTCATCTCTGTCTCTATCTCTCTGTCTCTTCCTCTCTCTGTCTCTACCTCTCTGTCTCTTTCTTTCTATCCTTCCTTCTTCCCATACAATAGACCACTCCATAAATGGGCAACCTCTCCTATGCCAGACTATGATCCTGTTGTTAAACCCCTATTGAGGCCAGGCATGGTGGCTCATGGCTGCAATCCCAGCACTTTGGGAGGCCGAGGCGGGAGGATCACCAGAGGTCAGGAGTTCGAGATCAGCCTCGCCAACATGGTGAAACCATCAATAAAGAGAAACAACCTACTGATACATGCCACAACATAGATGAATCTCAAAAGCACCATTCTAATGAAAGAAGCCAAACAGAAGAGACTATACATTGTATACTTCTATCTATAAAGACTTTCTGGAAAAGGCAAAATTACACAGAAAAAAAGCAGATAGATTAGTAGCTGCCTGAGACTGGTAGCCGTGGTAGGGATTGACGACAAACGGTATGAGGAGAACGTGCTTAGGGTAACAGAAGTGTTCTAAAACTAGATTATGCTGATGGTTGCACAACTGTATAAATTTACTTAAATCATGAAATGTGTGCCTAAAATGAGGATATGTTCTGGTATGTCAATTTTACCTTCATAAAGAGGCACTGACAATGAAAAAAGAAGATGGCTGATGGAAGGCTAGCTAGCTAGACATGTGAAAAAGTGATTATAACAAGATGTGGATGATGTGATTATATTATATGTTTGGTGATGATATGGGTGATCACTGTAAAATTTTTTTCAACTTTTCTGTAGAAGTTTTCATGCTAAAATGTTGGGGAAATGTTAGGAAGCTCAAAGCAGGAAAGAGATCAAAGGATCTATGGTTTAGAAAGGTAATTTTGGCCACCAGGATATTAAAGTGAAACCACTGACAATGGTGTTGGTGAGGACGTGAAGAAGCTGGGACTGTCATATGCTGCTGCTACAACCACTTTGGAAAACTCGCAGTGTCTATGACACAGTAATTTCACTCCTAGGTATTTAGTAGAAACGTGTACACTTGCACACCACAAGGCAAAGATAAGAATGTTACAGCAGCATTATCCATCACAGCCCTAAGCAAGCAACAACCCAAAGATTATCAGTAGAATGGATTAAGAATTGCATAGTCATACAATGGGACACTATACCACAATGAGAATAAGTGAACCGCACACATGACATGGGTGAATTTCAAAATGGTGAGCCAGAGAAACCAGAAACAATCAAGTTCATCCAATGTGATTCCATTTATACAACGTTCCAAAGTCAGGCCACACTAACTGTCAGGAATAGAAGGCAGAAGAATGCCTGCCTTTGATGGGAGTGACAACTGGGAGGGGACACCAGGCAAGGGTTACAGGAAGCTGGCAAAGCTATATTTCTTGATCTAGATGATGTGTTGCAGGTAAAAGATCACTGCAATATTTACTTATGATTTGTGCAGTTTTCTCAGTGTGTTTTTTAATTAGAGGGAAAAAAAAGTTTACTAAACAATTGGGGGAAGACAGAAACCTGGCCGGGCACAGTGACTCCTGCCTATAATCCCAGTATTTTGGGAGGCCAAGGCAGGAGGATCACTTGAGCTCAGGCGTTCAAGACAAGCCTAAGCAACATAGGGAGATCCTGTCTCTACAAAAAAAAAAAAAGAAAATTTAATTAGCTAGGTGTGGCCGTACATCCCTGTAGTCCTGGTTTTTGGGGGGGCTGAGGTGGGGAGGGTTGTTTGAGCCCAGAAGGTTGAGGCTGCAGTGAGCCATGATCGTGCCACCGTACTCCAGCCTGGGCAACAGAGTGAGACCCTGTCTCAAAAAAGAGAGGAGAAAAGAAACCTATTTGACCTTCACTCAAGGACACCCTCACCTTAAACCTGACCTCTGAGGGGCTTCTGGAGATGCAGCGAGTTTGCTTCCGCCCCTCTGAGCAGCCTGGGACAGTCTTCGGCTACACATCCAGCGTAGGCAAAGTCCTTGGCATTTGTCAGATCTGCAAGGTCAGAGGAGAGGAAAGAGGCATTGGAGCCTTTGATGCAGGATAGCCCACAGAGCCCGCAAAAGTCCTAGAAAGTTTGGCTGCCACCCTAAATCAGAATGAATCACAAAGGATCATTCCAGCCCGGTCCTGCATGAGATCAGGGGTGAGCAAGCTGCGGGTGAACAGAAGTTAAGAATTGGTGAGACACATCAGGCCTGCTCTCCTGCTCAAAGCTGCCGCCTTCAAACAGTCCTCTCTGCCTTGTTATAGTTGTCTAAAAAGGCTTTACTAAAAATCCACTAAAATTAACTCAGTAGGAACTCTTTTTGTAAAAAGAATACTCATCCTTTTGATATATTTTGTGTTGGTGAGGTTTCCATTTTCAGATGACAGGGCCTCTTAATACAGAGTCTACCTTTTTTTTTTTTTTTTTTTTAATAATCAACTTCAATTTTCCACGAAGGGAAGGCAGGGAGGTTGGTTTACAGGTTATCCATAGCAGGAAGTCTAATTCCAGGTAGAGCAGTCAGGCTTTCCATGATTACAGCAAATTGAGTACTGGCATTGTCTGTGTGCCTTTGTAGGAGTGAGAAAATGTTAAAAATGTGATTAGAAATTGCAAACCCCTGGCTCAGGAATGAAATGGTGAAAAACAAGCACAACCTAAAGCATTATCAGATTTAACCAATAGTTTTAATATGCTAACAGGCCCCAGAAGAGACTGCCACCAACAACGTATAAACTTGTGAGCACCGTAATATTGAATCAACATATTGTTGTATCTTTTTTTTTTTTGGTCAGGGATGGGGTGGGGATGGAGCTTCACTCTTGTTGCCCAGGCTGGAGTACAATGGCGTGATCTCGGCTCACCGCCACCTCCACCTCCCAGGTTCAAGCGATTTTCCTGCCTCCACCTCCCAAGTAGCTGGAATTACAGGCATGCACCACCACGCCTGGCTAATTTTTGTATTTTTAGTAGAGATGGGGTTTCTCCATGTTAGCCAGGGTGGTCTCGAACTCCCAACTTCAGGTGATCCACCTGCCTCGGCCTCCCAAGGTGCTGGGATTACAAGCGTGAGCCACCGCACCCTGCCTGAATCAACATATTGAAGGAATATGCAGCTGACCTTAGCAGAGACTTTCAGGAGCCTTTTGCTGGCTGTAGACCAGTCTAGACCATATGGTGGGCTGGCTTCTCCCAACAAACTCCTTGACAGACTCAGGCAGGTATAGGGGAGAGGGGCTTGAAGGCCAAATGATCCCCCAAGAAACTCCATAACAGACTTCTCTGCCCAAACAAATTTGAGAAATGATATGTTCAAATGAAACACACACTCTGTTGGTGAGGCTGAGGAAACAGGCTCAAACTCAGCTGGTGGCCCAGTGACTGGGACCACCCCTTAAGGGGGACAACCTGATGATATCTTTCAAAATTAAAAATGCACACGGTCTTTGACCCAGCAATTCTACTCCCTGGAATTTTTCCTGTTGATGCACTCCCACAAGGAGCAAATGACGTGTGGGGAAGGCTATTTGTTTGCAGCATTGTTTATAATAATAAAAGTCTGGAAACAGCCCAGCTCTCTCAAAAAGGGTCTGGCAAAATAACCTCAGGAGGAGCAGCGAACACTTATTGAGTGCTTACTGCACACCAGGCACTGTCCTAAGCCATTTACAAGCTTTATCTTATTGAATCTCCACAAAATGCTTCAAGGTAGATGATGCTGTTATCTTTGGATCACAAATGAGGAAACTGAGTCACTCAGACATTGAGTAACTGGCTCAACATTAAACAACTGGCTTGAACGAGAGCATTCTGCCTCCAAAGACTATGCTCTTAACCACCTTATTATACAATCTCTTCCAAATAAACATTTGAAACATCTGTTTGGTAGAATAAACTGGAGTGAAGAAAAAGAATGAGCCAGCTATCTGTGCACTCACACCAAATGGTCTCCAGATTATTGTTAAGTGAGAGAAAAAAGTTGCAGAACGGTGTGGAGAAAAGTCATCATTCATGTGGGAGGAAAACAGTTTATAAATGTATATGTTTTAGACTACCTTTAGAAGGATACACAGGAAACTGGTAACTCAGGGGCCTCCAAGAGAAGGACTGAGTAAGTGGCTAGAAGAAAGGTTAGAAGAGAGGCTTACACTTCTGTCTGAATTTGTTTTTAACTTCTTATTTATTTTACTTTTTTATTTTTTTAAGCATACAGAAAAGTTGCAAAAATAAGAACTGCTGATGTCCTTCACCTAGGTTCCCTAATTCTTATTGCGCTTGCATTTTTCACTGTGTCCATATAGTATCTCTTATTTATTTCATTTATTTATTTTTTGGAAATAAGGTCTCACTCTGTCGCCCAGGCTGGAGTGCAGTGGTGCGATCTCGGCTCACAGCAACCTCCGCCTCTCAGGTTCAAGCTATTCTCATGCCTCAGCCTCCCCAGTAGCTGGGATTACAGGCGCCTGCCAACACTCCCAGAAAATTTTTGTATTTTTAGTAGAGATGGGGTTTCACCATGTTGGCCAGGCTGGTCTCAAACTCCTGACCTCAAGCAGTCTGCCTGCTTCGGCCTCCCAAAGTGCTGGGATTATAGGTGTGAGCCTCCACGCCTGAACTAAAATTAATTATTTAAAAATAAGACAATGCTAAACAAGTATTTTCTACTTCATAAATTCTGGGAGATTGTTAAAATGCTAGCTGTTCAAATCTCTCAGAAGCAAGCCAATTGCATAGCATTTTCATGAAGTCTATCTTCAAACTCACCCACCTTCTGGAAGAGACGCCTCCCAACCCAGAAGGATGTGCCTGAGCCAAGGGTCTTAGAGAAGGGGCCCAAGGAAGCTTCCAGAACCATAAGTAAGGCCAGAGGCAGCTGTGCCTCGCTCAGGGGTGGGGTAGGGCAGAGACAGGGCTGAGGTGGCCCACAGGGCTCTTGCCTCCCAAGTGGGTTCTCTCTCCACCCAGCTGCCAGTGAGGACCACAGCAGAGAGGAAAGAAACAGATGCATGCCAAGTGTCCGAACAATGCCAGCAAGCCCTCCCAGTCCTGCTGAGTCTCTTTTATTACCTGCCCAGGCCCTGGTGCCATGGGGCTTAGTGTCTGAGATGGACTGAGGCCTCTCATCCTGTGAACCAGGTGCTGGGGAAAAACCCAGGTATACACACATGGAGGACAGGGGACAGGTCCCCTGCCATCATTAAAGGCATTGCCTCCCCTGAGCACTAGCAGCCACTCAATCCCAGTGCCAGTCACTTGCCCCGTTCCCAGCACAGCCCCTGGGGCCCTGCTGTCCTAAAATCATCTGCTCTGGCTTTTCTGGCGCTTTGCAGGGTTCATCAGGTCTGTTCCACTCGTGTGTTTTTCCTTCCTGCTCCCGCCCTCATCAGGGATCTCTGGGGTTCCCTGAGGGCAGGGCTATGTCTCCCCCTCAGACTGGGGCTCCTCAAGTCAGGAACCTTAGAGAACAAGCGACTGGGCACTGTCCCCTCCTCCCACCCTCCCTTTTGGTTCCAAGGCCAGGTGTTTGAGCAGGCCGTCATTTCACACATCCCAAGTCTGGGCACATGCACCGCCCAAAGCCCCTTGCCTCCCTGAAGGGGAGGCTGAAGGCCAGCCGCTGACACCAGTGGACCCACGGCGGGATCATTGCATAACAGCAGCCTGGCCACAGGATGATTCAGCACTGAGGCCTGCACAGCACTCTGACTTCTGTGGAAGACTCAGGACAGGGCTCCTCAGAATCAACAGACACGAGACCCAAGGATTCCACCTCACCTGGGGACGCGATGTTGCAGCCCTGGCATATTTGGGCCTCTTCTGGCTGCCCTGGGCCTGGCCTCTCTGTGTCTGGACCTGAGTGCAGGTACCTGGCCTGGGTTCCAGCCTGGGCAGGGCCAAGAGAGTCACCCTGCCACCAAAAGCCCACTGTCAGGACTTAGACTGCCCTCAAGCAGGGTTGTGGCCCAGCAGGAAAGTGACCTGGGGCCAGGGAAGGGACCCCAGGGGCAGCCTGGGGCTGGGGGGGGTCAACTTGGCAGTTCTTTTTCAGACCACTAGATGTCACTTCCATTTCAAAGGAACCCACTGGTTGGAATTTTCCCCAGTCAGGTCCCCACAGCCTTCAAGTCTTAAAGACACACAGACCACAAAAGAAAACTTCATTTTCCCCGGAGGACCAAGACACTGGAAACCTGGCCAGGAGCTGCCCCCAACCCTCAGCTGAAGCTTCCAGGGGCTCCATAACATCCCATCCCAACCCTGGAAAGAGCCAGAGGTGATGGAACTCCATCTCCCCATCCCCCACCTGTCCTACAGGTTAGTATGGGGATGGTATTTTCTGAAATGAACAAAAAAATGAAAGACGTGATGAAATGAATGTGAGTGCATTTGAGGGGGACGATGTTTGAAACAGGGGACATATATGCCAAAGATCCTCTTCAGGGCCAGGAGATTCCAGGT
Organism: Homo sapiens; assembly: GCF_000001405.40. Taxonomy (NCBI): domain Eukaryota; kingdom Metazoa; phylum Chordata; class Mammalia; order Primates; family Hominidae; genus Homo; species Homo sapiens. The sequence goes on along the minus strand of NC_000006.12, from coordinate 43,838,057 downwards.
TCATCAAGGTCATGTTGTCCATCCCCAGGCTTCAGACTATCCTCAAAAAGTTCGGGTAAGGCAGCGCTGAAGGGAAGTTCCAGGGACCTTGCTTTCTCCACTCCAGTCCCCAATATTCAGTCAACATCTCTTGGCTGGCTGGGGCTGATTATTATAAAGTACAACCTTTGTGAGGTAAGTATAAAGATAACCCCATTTGACAAATGAAGACACAGAGGTATGGAGAGGGTTAAGTGAGAAAGTTCTCCCCAAGCCTCTTGCTGCTGTCCCATCTCAGCTCCCCACAGAAATGCGGCATGGATTCAGCTGGTTGGTTTATCTACAGCTCAGGTTGCTGCTTAAAGACTCATTCTCTTTAGTTCATTTGTACTGGCTTTTACCCAGTGGTTTTCAAACTTGGCTGCCCATTAGAATCACCTGGGGAACTTTCAAAAATTCTGATGCATGGCTGGGCACAGTGGCTCACACCTGTAATCTCAGCACTTTGGGAGGCCAAGACGGGAAGATGGCTTGAGCTCAGGAGTTTAAAACCAGCCTAGGCAATAGAGTGAGACCTTGTCTCTATTAAAAATTTAAAAATTAGCCGGGTATAGTGGCATGCACCTATAGTCCTTGGTGCTACTTGGGAGGCTAAGGTGGGAGAATTGAACCCAAGAGGTCGAGCCTGTAGTGAGCCGTGATCGTGCCACTGCACTCCAGCCTGGGGGACAGACTGAGACCTTGTCTAAAAAAACATCTGATGCCCTGGTCACCCCATATAAATTAATTCAGAATGCAGGAGGGTTGGAGTAAGTCAGGCATCAGTATGCTCTTGTAAATGTCCAGGTAATTCCAATGAGTGGCCAAGTCTGTGGACCATTATTTAACCACTCCCCCAACCTACCCTCAGCCAACACTGAGGGTTTACCTACAGGCCTGGCAGGGTGAGATTGGAAAGGCTGTGTTGCTATTAATGATTATTTAATCACATTTAATAATAGGATACCCAGAAACAAATACCTCACATACTGTAAGGCAGGAGGGCATGCATTGTTACTTTCCCGCAGAGGGAAGACTGACGTTCAAAGAAGTGAAGCAACTCACCCAGCGAATAAGTGAGTAGAACAAGGGCTAACACCCAAGTCTTCTTAGTTCTCAGACAAATGCTCCTGCCTCTTCATTATGCCTCCGAGATAAGGTGAGCTGCTTCCAGAGCAGTTAGCATCATACATAGAAAACTGTTCATTGTCAGTATCTGACCTCTAGCCCCAACCACTTATCAACAGCCAGTCATAACCACAGCTGACCCTTTATCTTGACTACAAGCTTGCTTTACCCTGGCTACCACTTGACCCCTAACCCTGGCCACTGCTGGCCCCTAATTGAGACCACAAGCTATCCCTAATGCCAGCCATGTTCAGCACTGGCCAGAATATGGAGGGCTCAGGCTACCCAGTCACCAAACCAGGGAATACCTCTGTGTCGTGTCATAATTACTAATGATAATAAGCACGTGGGGCCTGTGTGCCAGACAGGGTTTCAATATGTCTCTACGAACTATCAGGTCAGATCTAAAGGCTTCCCCAAAGTTTCTCTTTCTTGTAAGGCTCGCCCTTTCCTGCTCCGATCTCTCTCTTTCACACACACACACACACACACACCTCCTTGCTCCTGCAGTTCCCCAGGCCTGGAATGCCCTTCCTCCTCCCCACTCTCCAGGATCCCCTCAAGGCCTTCCTCCCAAGGAAGCCTACAGGGCCCCCAGGGTCCCACATAGCCCAGGCTTACGGACCCCTTCAGTAGGTGTCACCAGGCCCAAGAGAGCAAAGTCACTCAGCTTAGCATCTTCTCTCCTTTCTCACAAGGTCAGGAAGGTCAGGGCCGCCCAGCAGGGGTGACAGTCAGATGTCAGGGGACACTCACCCGCACAGGCACTCACATACGCACACATGCTCACCAAGTGTGTTTATAGAGTTCTGGGCAACTGTAAACTTGGCTCACTCCAGCTGCCCCCAGGAGAGGGAAAACCATAAACACCTCCTGCTCCCACCAGTTTCCCTCGACAAGGCGAGTCACCTCCCAGGACCTGGACACCCACCATTATAGGGAACTGGCTGTACTCATCGACTCTACTCAGTGAGCAATGCCCAGCCTCAGTCACATCCCCAACACAGGGGAAGCGCCCCAGGCCCCTGCCATAGCCCTCCTGAGTCTTTGCAACCCTGGGAATGCCTCACCCTTCTCTTCCCTCGCCACCTTCAAAGGGCCACTCTCGGTCTTACCTCTAAGACACTCCCACTGATCTCCTTACTACATACTGAGTACTTTCTGGAAGGGGCTTTAAGACAAAAAGCCTTTGGGATGAGACCTAATATTCACTCTTAGAAATCCATTCCCCTGGGTCAAGCAGTGCTCTTTCCTCTGGAAGGGTTGTCTCAATGGGTCTCTGGATCTCTATGTGACTGTGCTGCAGCAGAGGCAGCTGGTATACAGGTGGGTACCACCTGGAGCATGAATTCTGGCTCTAAGTGTGGCACCACCTGCTTGGGCGGTACACTCTCTGAATGCGCAGTGAGGAACGGACTGCAAATCTCTAGGGTCCCTCCAGCTCTAGTAGCCAGTGGTTTCTCCTTCCAATCAAGGATTTTTATTGGGAAGTCACACAATTGATCTTGCTACTTTGAAATGTTGCCGTAACTTTAAAGGAGAAGTCCTACTGAGGCAGGCCTAAAGCGTAATAAAATTAGGTTAGCTGTAGGGAGGAACTTCCAAGACCGTGCATTACAAGGCACAGAGGATTGTAAAGCAAAACCAAAGAATATCTCTTCTGGAAATCTTTTAAAATGCAAGAAAGATATTCCTCAAAGGCCGAGTCTGACTTTGCTGGATATTTGGGGCCTTTTATTACTATTGAAAGGGGAGAGAGTGTGACCTTTCCTCAAGCCAGGAAAGGGTTGGGGGGGCCTTGATGGAGTTCCCAGTGCCAAAGGATAGAGAGCTGAATGGACCCAGGGCCTCACCCCTACCTCCTCCATTGTCCCCTGTTCCCCTTAATGAAGGCTCAGACCAGAACAACCAATGAGGCTTGGAAAATCCGCCTGTTGTGTGAGGGGATTTTCCATAAATCTCCCTCATTCAGGCAGCGACAGCCCCGTGCCCTGTGGAGGGAGGGCTGCCTGGCTGCTGGGGACCCTTGTTAAGAACAGGTGCTTTCTAGCCAGATCCCTGTTCCTCTGGGCCCCTCAGCCACCTAGGGGCTTTTGTAGGGAGGTAGTGAGGAAACCCACCCAGGCTTCCAGGAGCCATCTCCAAGGAAAATAACCTTGGGCCCCTTCAAGCCTGCAAGGGTGAGAAAATGGGCTCTGACCTACCAATGGGATTGCAGTTTAGAGGGTTGTTTTGCATAAATCTGTTCACCACCCGTTCAAGGCCTCCCTTGTGAAACATTATAGACCTCACCACGGAGTATGGGAGCCACTAGCCACATGTGGCCATTTAAATCTAAATTATCAGCTTGAACAATGTTGTGAAACCCTACCTCTACAAAAAAATTTTCTTAAATTAGCCAGGCGTAGTGGCGTGTGCCTGTAGTTCCAGCTACTCAGGAGGCTGAGGTGGGGGAATGGCTTAGGTCTGGAAAGTCGAGGCTTCAGTGAGCCGAGACTGCACCACTGCACTCCAGCCTGGGCCACAGAGTGAGACCCTGTCTCATTCATAAATAATCTAAATTAACTAAAATTGGGTTTTAAAACTACCGTAAATCAGATGCATAGTTTAAGTGCTCGGTACCCGCGTGTGGCTAGTGGCTACTGTTTTCCACAGTGCGGCTCGAGAACATTTCCACCATCACAGAATGTTCTAGCGGACAGCACTGCTTAGAGCTGACACTAAACAGAGCAGCCTTCCATTAGAGCAGAAATGCAAGCACTGACAACAGGAATAGAAGAAGTCTTGTGCTGACAATGGAGAAGGCTCCAGGGACTCAGGAAGCCCCAGTCTGAGGGGAAGGCACAACCCTGTCCTCAGGGAGCGCCCAGCCCAAAAAGGGTTAAATAATTCCTTGGTCGGATCTTGTTTTCCTGAGCAGGTGAGGGGGAAAGGGCCCAGCTGTCACTTAGCAGGCTCATTAGTGATGTCTGCTGGGGCCTTGCCCTCCCCAGGGGTAATTATTAACAGGCCTCAGGTGTGAGAGAGCATGCAGCCCAGGCCTCACCCTCCCGTTCAGCTGACTTGGCCAGCTGGGCATCCTTGGTTGGGGCGGGAGGACCCCAGAACCAAGAATCCCAACTGGAGAGACAGCCCTGGGGCTGCCTGAATAATGATACCACCAAGACCTGGCTCTGTGGCCCCCGTTCCCCAGCGCTCCCACCCTGAGTTAAGCCCTGCTCTGTGTTTGATAAGATGGACTGCCAACCAGGGGGCACAGCACTGACCAGGAAGGCTGCCCGCCACTTCCCAATTAAACTGTTCAAAACTGGGGGGCCGTCCCTGCAGCCTCACTGGGGAAAGTCTAATCTCACCAAACCTGGGCCAGGGCCCCTTGCCTTGTCAGCAGGAATTTTCCACATTTGCTGAGATTTCTGTTTGTCTTCTCCATTAGCTCAACAAGCATAGATGGAAAGATGACTAAGATAATTAGTGACTGACAGTAGCTCTGACCATGGGGCCAGGCCAGGAGTGAGTGGCAGGGGCTGGAGTGTGGCTGGAGAAGCTGTGAGTCAGCCAGAAAGTGTGAGCGCAGGGCCTGTACCAGGCCTGGAGACCTCAGACCAGACAGGAGGGAGCCCAGAGCAGACCCATCAGAGTCAGAGGCAAGGGACAGAAAGAGCAAGTGATAGCTCCTGCCTCATAACCATGGAAACGGCTCCAAACGGAGGCCGCCTCTACCAAAGAAGACTCAAGCCCCTGGGTGGGTCAGTGGGCCTGAGGAGGGAGAAAGAAGCCTATTCCACAGCTGCAGCCCAAACCTGGCCCTCAAATGGCCTATGTTCACATGGCACAACAAGCAAGCAGGGATGCCACTAGAGAGAAAGCCCAACCTTAACCTCTTGCCAGTAGGGATGGGGTAGGGGAGCTGGGTTTAGAACCTTCTTTCTAAAGCATATCCCAAGCTTACCTCAGCCATCACCCACTTCAGTAGGCTCCCAATTCTTTTGATTATATACCTCTATCCACAGAAAATCTGTGACATATGCCCCTAACATGTATATAAGATATACAATATGTGCTACCATACTAATAAATTATGTACATTATAAAGGACAAAAGAAAGAATAAAAGTGAGGTTCCAATGTCTTCCCAAATGTGGATACAGTGTGGAGACTGTTGATTTACTTAAAGAGTGCGGGTGACACATTTCTAACTAAGCTCAGTAAATGAGCAAATCTTCCTGTGTTTGCAAATTCAACATCAGCCAGTCCTCCCTGGTTAACAGTTAAGATTAGTTGCTATCTCAAAATTATTTTGAACTTGAGCTGACCCTTATGCTGGGATGGAGATGGTAGCAGAGCTGGCCATGTCAGCTGACAGCAGGCTCAGAGCACCCCCCACCCCACATGGTGACTTCGCCCATGCTGTTCCCTCTAAGTAGAATGTCCTGCTGCCACTTTTCACAGTGGCAATGATTTGCCTTCAAAACTCCACTCTTCTCCAGGATTTCTTCCCTGAATTCCAGGCTGGTCAAGTGTCCCACCCCTAAACTCCCACAGCCCACTATGAAGACAGTACTGACTTTAAACAAAATGACAGACAGCGGGTCCTCAAATAATGTCATTTCATTCAACATTGTTTTTAAGTGAGAAAAAAATTCATTTTATTATACGTAATTTCACTTAAAGTTGCAATTTCCAAGGACCTATTGATGATGTTAAGTGAGGATGTACTGTACCTCTATTCTGGAATGTACTGTGCTGCCCTGGAACAATGTGTTTAACCCTCTGCCTCCCTGACTTGATTGTACAACTCCTGAAAGGCAGGGGATTGCTTTGTTCATCTTTGTATCCTCAGCTATCAGCATATGCAGACACGGATATATCCACCCATGTCCGCTCAGCACCCACCATTCTGACACTTTGAGCCCGTTTGGATTCCCATACAGGGCAGGTCAGAAGTGCCAGGGAATTGACACCCACTTCCCTAGGATCTCTCAACCAATGGCTACATGATTTCATGGCTAATACGCTAGCTCCCTTGCCCGCTGGCTGGGTAACTTTGAGATGAGTTACCCAAAGGTCCCCAGTTGCATACAGCAGTCACCTACTCAGTAGCAGGCATTTATTTTATTGGCTTCTTTCTCTTTCCTGCCTCACTTCTCTACTCCTTTACTGGTGTTTTATGGAAATCTTCCAAATAAACTATTAATGCTCAAGTCCTTATTTCAGAGGAAACCAGCCCAAGACACTGACATGTAATAGGTGATCAATAAATTCTAATTAATGAGAATCTATTGAGCAACTTCTATCCCAGCCATTGAGGGTCGTGGGAGGAGAAAGCTCACTAGGATGGAACAGCCACAGAAGCTTCTTGAGGAGTTGGATTGAGCTGGGGCATTCAAGATGGGCAGGGTTGGAGCAGGCAGACAGGAATGCAGATGGAGTTCCCAGCAGAACGAAGGGCATAAGCAAAGGTGGGGAGGCTGGAATGAAGCCTACCTATCTGGAGGGCAATGAGGAAGCACTGAGTGACACATCATATCTCCGCCCCAAGGGTTTTCCCTTTTCCATGCCTAGTTCCCCAGGTTCCTCTTTCCCTGAGCCCTGGCAGTTGGACTTGGGGCTTGGCATCTTGGGGGAAGGGCTTCTCAGAAATTCCGTGCCCTGCCAAAGAAGCAAGCAAGCCCCTGTCCCCACCCTTCAGAGCAATCCTCATTATCTTTCTCAAGACAGGCAGAGATTAGGCTGACTTCTGGGAAGGCGGATGCCTCCACCTGCCCCTTCTCCCCATGTCTGGAAAAGGGAATCAGAAGAAAGGAGCCAGGGATTGACTCGGTTCTTCTGCTGATTATTACATGCAATTAAAAGCAGGCGGGAGACAAATCTGGGCACGCTGAGAGGGGGCCCTGTGTATCCCCTCGTCCACCCTGGCCTCTGGGGGTCCTGCCTGAGCCGGCAGCCATCCGGGCTGTGGGGGCAGCAGCTGCAGCAACACCCATCCTGGGCATCCACACTTAGGGAGGCATGCGGGCTTGTTTTGGGGCTGCAGACCAAGCCCCCACCCCTTAGTGCTCAGCTGAAAGAGGTCTGCTGGCAGAGAACCCAGCAAGGGCAGGCCTGGGAGTCTGATACCACCTGCCCAGCCTGGCTTTGCCATCTGCTCGTTGGGGGACCTCAGGTGAGTCCTTCACTTTACCTGCAACCCAGTTTCCCCAACTGTGCAATGAAAGAGCTGGATACTGACTAAGACTTCTTCAGCTCTGATGTTTTATGTTCTTGACTCTGAGAAGCTGCTTTTTTGCCCATGTCTTCAGGCCAGAGTTTCTGGGATGCTGACCTTGAGCCTCAAACTAAGCTGCTCTGCGGTCCCAAGCTGGGTCTGGGGTGCTGTTGACCTCAGACTGGAAGCTGACCCTAAATGCCAGATTCCTCAATACACACACACACACACACATTTGTATATTACCATGCCTGTAACAAATTGTAAAGACTGACAATTTGCAAAGAAGGAGACCCAGCATTTAAACACACAGGCAGGTTCCCAGGGGAGAGGATCCTACACGAAGCCTCCCTGGCCTCAGCAATGCCAGGCTGAGGGTTTAGGGTCAGGTGGCTTCTGTCCTCTCCTTAGAGGAATGAGTATCAGGAAAGAGACTAGGGATTGCATGGAGCAAGAATGGGTTTACAGAGAATAAATCATGTTAAATTAACCTTCTTTTCTTCCCAACGGGGTCTGTGGTCTCTGAGGGACACCATGGAAATTGTGATTCCAGTGAGACTAAAAGGGACATAAGCACCTATTCATTCACTGGCATTTCCCATCTTGTGATTCTTCCAATCCATAGGGTGCCAACCTGGAAGAATGGAATGATCTTTAGTGGAGGAAGTTAGGTCTCAGGGAAAACCTCCCCACTGACATGAGACCCCAGGGACCTCGCAACGTCCTGACAGGTCGCCCTAAGCTGATGTGCAGACCCCACCCCACCCATCCACAGGCAAGGAGAAGCCGAGTGACTTTTCCAGGTACCTTTAAATTTGGAGATGACTTGGGTGGTTCCAGTCTCTCTCTGGCCAGTTGCCCACTGGTTAAATCAAATGAGGTCAGGTGCATAGATCCTTCCTCAACAGCTTGGCCTTAGAAAGTCCTTTGCTCCCCAATACAACACTGCATTCCCCACATCCCAACCAGACGCCGTGTACATAAAAGCATGTCCAAATTAGAACTATATTAAGATACAATGTTTCACCTATCAGATTGGCAAAAATCCAAAAACAAATTGATAGCGCCCTTTGTGGGCCAGGCTGTGGGGAAATAATCACCCTCATGCATTGTTGGTGAAAGTTTAATTGTTACAATCTCAGTGGAGAACAACTTGGCAAGAGGAACAATCCCAGGTCTGGGAATCGATGCTATAGATGTACCTACTACGTGCGAAATGACGCATGTACAAGATTATTGACTGCAGGATTGTTTGTAAAAGCTAAAGATGGAAATGACCTAACTCAAGGAAAGCCTGGTTTAATACATGACAGATCAGCCATACAATGGAATACTATGCAGCTGTAAAAAAAAAATCAGGATATTCTTTTTGTACCATTAGTGAACATCCTCCAAAGACATGGAATTAACTCAAGACAGTTACGGAGCCATGTGCAAAGTACACGACCTTCTATAGAGAAAAGGGAGACATAAAAATATATATTATTTTCTTCTTGTAAAAGTAGAAATTTAAAAAATTACACCTTCCCTCACAGAGGCAGAGTAAAAGACTCAAGAACCCCGGAAGGAACTTGCCCTGCCCACTTCTCCGGGTTTGAATGGGGTGCAAATGAGGTAATGGATGAAAGTCAAGAGCTCTAGACACTGTCAGGGCCAAGGGGAAGGCATAGCCTGACCCTCTCTGGAATTAATGCCGTCCCGAGGCCTCCACCTTCATTGGCTAGGGTTTTCTCAGTTGCAAGCTAACCTCAGGAAATGAGTTTAAGCATACTCCCCAATGAGCTCATTAGGGCCAGTTGTCCTGGCCAATGAGAAAAGTGCAGGGGTGGGACTTAATATGTAAATGGCGCATTGGGTCCGGTGAAAGCAAATTCCTCTTAGGTCCCCCTTCAAAGAAGAACAAGCCTGCACACTGTTCACACTGCAAGTGATGATTTGGTTTCAGCAAGAGACATCACACTAAAGTGTGTGCCCTCCATTTGAAATCAGTTTGTTGTTTTCTTTGTAATTAAACTGCAAATTGATCCTTCTTTTTGAGTTGTATGTAAGCTGAACATGAAAAGTGTTTTGTATCTTGGTTGCATGTTTGCAGAGATCTAAGTGAATCTAATATTAAGGTAACACTGGGGTCCCTCAGGATTCTTTTCCTTTAAGTGAGGTCCTAGACATTATTCATGGCTGAAATAAATCTATTTGAGTACAAGTTTCTAGAAAGCCCGGGAAGAGTCTTTTTTCTTTTTGAATCCTCTTGGGAATACAGTAGGTGCCTAGGAAATGTTTGCTGAAATAATTATCTAATTTAAGAAGGATTCTAGGAGGGAAGCTGGTGAGGTCCTGCCCCCTGCCCCATTGGCTGCAGCTGGCAAGGAGGCAGGGGCTTCATCAAGGGGTGGCAGATAGGGCAGTGCCCAGCTCCCAGGCTTGGCCTGCATCTCCCAGGCTTGGCCTGCATCTCCCAGGCACCTGCCTGAGTACACAACCTCTTCCCTCGTGGGGCCTCTGGTTTCCTGCCTGGGAACGGGGGTGGGAGCAGTGGCTGACCAAGGCAGACCACTGCCCATGTCGGGCGTGGTTTCCCGAGTTGATGGGAGCACGTTCCTGAGATAGGGGTGCGATGGCCGGAATGTAAGGGGCCAGAGGCAGTGATAGACTGCGCCAGTCCAAGAGCTGAGCAAATATTGACCCTCAGCAGGACAGCCTCTTGAAAACCCTCCACAGGATGCCTCTCGCTGTTCCCCTATCTCTAGCCACCCTCATGGTAGGGTGCCTCCAGCTGGATGGAGGTGGGGTAGGGGCTGCTGATGCTCCCTCTGAGGCCCAAGCCCAAAACCCAGGCCCAGAGACACTGGGCTGGGGACACCAGGGTGGCCTTGCTGCTCCTGCAGTAGGGTTCTAGGTGCTTCCAGGCCTAGGTCTCACTGTTCTCTGGGCTCTCCAGCCTGGGTGTGGGTGGCATCTGGAATAGGATGTGGACCTCCCTAGAGCCAGGCTGTCCTTAAAATGCCCCAAGGAGGCCCTTGTCTCAGTTCATTCATTAAAAAAGAAACCCACTACGAGCCATCAACAACTGCATAGCAATCAACTGCCCTCTTAATTACCAAAAATAATAATGATAAGTAACATTTATTAAGGGCTTTCTGGGGCGAGCACAGTGGCTCACACCTGTAATCCCAGCACTTTGGGAAGCTGAGACCAGAAGATCACTTGAGGCCAGGAGTTCAAGACCAGGCTGGGCAACATAGCAAGACTTCATCTCCGCTAAAAATTTTAAAAATTAACTGGGTGTGGTGGTGTGTACCTGTAGTCCCAGCTACTCAGGAGTCTAAGGCAGGAAGATTGCTTGAGCCCAGGAGATCGAAGCTGCAGTGAGCTATGATCACACCACTGTACTCCAGCCTGGGCAACAGAGCGAGACACTTGTCTCTAAAACAAAACAAAACAAAACAAAAAGCTTTCTGTGGGCTGAGCGCTGTACTAAATGCTTTACATGTATCACTCATTTAATCTTTACAACCACCTTAAGAAATAGATATCATTTTTATCCCTAGTTTACAGATGTGGAAATTGAGGCACAGGGAGAGCGAGAAATGCCAAACAGAGAAAAGTATCTCAAATCTATTGTGTCATTCTCTGTGATGTAGAAATGTGGAGATGGGAGGTCCTTTGAGAAGGCTGTGTGCTGGCTTCCCTTTACAGATGGAGAGACTAAGACCTCTGTGGGGGAATGACTTTTGCAAGATCACTCTGGGCTATAGAGCAAGGGTGCCGAGTCAAAGGTGCTGCTGACTGGCCCACATTCCTAAGGAGCTGACCAGCTGACCGCTGACCCTTGGGGTTGCCTGAGGTCTTATCTTGCAAGAATCCTAAATGCTTCGTTTTCTTTTCCTGCAGCCCTGCTACTCTGGGCAAACACCCCAGCCCCTCCTCCATCCCACTGGGTATCTGTCTCCTTTGCCACCTCACTCACTCTGACCTTGGCATTTTCCCACATCACCCCAGCAAATTGCTTTCTAGGTCCCATCATTGGGCCTTCTCCTGTGGTTTCTCCAGTATGTTTTGGAAAAACCTCTATGGGTCTCAGTTACCCCACTTGGCCAATGAGGGCATTGGACTGGATGACCCAAGATCCCTCCCTCTCTAACTCTCAGGTGCTGGGAATCACAGATTCTAGTCTGCACTCTGTCTAGCATGGCTGCTCTCTCCATCTGGTCCTTGCTCAGACCCTGCAGGCAGCTGGGGTCTCCCTGTCACCTTCGCAGCCAGGTTGGAAGGAGGTCAAGAATGGAGACAAGAAGACTGACGGGTGGGTGAGCTCAGAGGGGAGTATCCAAAAAGGGGTTCATTTCATTGCCACCTGTCTCCCAACCAGATTCCATCATTCCATCCGCATACATTACTCCAGCCTCTCAGGCCTGGTCTAGACCCCTAGGACCCCTCCTCTGCCAGTGGGGGAAGAAAGGGGAATGCAAGTTGGGGGAGTGGCAGGTACGGCCCTTCCCTGGGAGGTGGTGGTAACTGCAGGCCACTAGCTGCCCCTCAAGGGTGCTGAGGAGCCTGGCTGGAGCTAGGGCTCGGCCCTCCATCTCGGCTGAAGGCAGCACCCTCTGCTCAGAAGAAAACACAGCAAGTGTGCCCAGTCTGCCCTGCCCTGGCATGCCCTTCCCTTCCCAGGTCAATGACTTTGTGAACTCCAAGAAGGATTGAAGGCCTCGCACTCATCCTCCTGCCTGTCTCCAGATAGTCTCACTGGACGTGATCCCTGAGCCGGGAGAAGTCCCTGGGCTCTCCCGCAGTCTCAGTGCCCACACGCTGCATGGGCAAAGGGCAGGGCAGTCCCCCAGAGCTCCACACCACCTGGCACACTGGCCCACCCTCAGCCCAGCCCAGCTCAGCCCTCAGAGTGGCAGGTGTAGAGCGTGTGTCCTGGGGAGCTATCGAGGAAGCCAGCACAGGCCTCCCCCAGCCCCTCAGGACATGCATTCCCTGGCTTCAGAAGAGGCTGAAGGCAAGGAAGAACACATAAACCCCTTCCAGGGACCAAGGACAAGCACTCTGGGGAAACAAGTGTTGACACACAGAATAGGCTGGGAACTTAGGAGGTTTCCTGCGACGGGAAGGGGAGCCAGGCCCAGAGAGGAAGTGGATGCTTCAGAACACAGAGGAATTCCCTCCACTAATTTTACCTGACCCAGAGAAGCTGGGCTTGGGAACTCCCTCAGGGCAAAGCTCTGCGTCTCCCCTCAGACTGAGGCCCCCTAAGGACGGGGCTGTGTCTTCCCTCAGACTGAGGTTCCCTGAGGACAGGGCTACATCTCCCCTCAGACCGGGCCCCCCTGAGAAAGGCTGCATCTCGCCTCAGACTGGGACCCCCCTGAGGATGGGGCTGTGTCTCCCCTCAGACTGGGGCTCCCTCAGACTGCGGCTCCCTGAGGACACAGCTTCATCTCCCCACTCAAGTTGGGGGCTGAGTGATAGAAGGAGGTGGTTTTCCTCGTCGTACTGGAAACTGGGAGCCAAACATAGAAGTTGAAGAAGACTAATTCCATGCCATGACCAGAAAGAACTCACTTTTTTTGGTCATGTAAGTGGATTATCTTTATTGAAAATAAAATAAAACCCTTACATACATTCTGGATATCAAATCAGTTTCAATTAGGTGTTCAAGCTCATTTACTCTGAAAACATCTTCATCTACCAGGAAAAAATAAATAAACAGTTAAAATTTCATCTCACTTGTTTTTCAAATTAGGTAATATATCCTCACAGTTCAAATATCAAAGTAATTATCCTTGAGAATTCTCACTCCCAGTACCCGCACCCCCCCCACCTTCCCATTCCCTCCACCACATGTAATCACTTACATTAGTTTCTTACGTATTTTTTCAGTGTTTGTTTATGCAAATACAAATAAACACTAGTGTTCTCCCCTCTTGGAGAGAACTTTCTGATAGCTAACTAGATGGCATCCAGTCAAAATCCCAGCTTTGTCTCCAGGCTGTGATGCTGACTCCTTTGGCTCTCACGTCCCTCTCCTGGGCTGGGGTGACAGCCACAGCCCTGCTTGCTGCGAGAAGGAGGAAGTGTATGTGACAGCCCAGCGTCTGCAAGCGCTCAGTACGTGCTTATTGGTTTGGGTTTCTTTTTTAAAGAAATCATCTGAACCCAATCTGTTTCCCATCCCCTTAAGTTTGGCTGAGCTGGCTTGTTGGCAAGTGGATTTGGAGAGAAGAGCTCTTTAAGTGAAGAGGGTGGGTTGTGAGTGGGAGACTGTAAGAAGTGGGGTGAGGCCATTGCAAATGTGGAGGCAAGTGGCACTCCTGAGGTCTGCGGGTTCTGAGAATCTCCCAGCAAGGAATCCTGGTCCTGGGAACAAAAGTCATGCCCATGTTTCCCTGGCAGCTCAAACCCTGCAGCCTCAGAGGCCAGGTTTAAAGCCCTATCTAAGGTACACAGCATTATCTCCATTCCTCCCCGTGGGGGAGCCCAGGCCTCCTGGAGGGCCTGGCTCCCACTGCTTCGTTAATATTTACCATAACTGGAAAACAGCAGGCACACACAGGCATGGGCTCCCTTCCCAGACAGAAATGTGCACTCAGCAAATCACCCCTGTGGATCCCCAGGAGCCCCTTCCACAGCTGGGCGGGCACCAGTAGAACAGACTAGACTGGTGACATCAAGTCTCTGCACACCCACTGGCAGCCCTGGCTCCTTCATGCAAGGGAGGACCAGTGAGACAGGTGACTGACCAAGACCCCACCATCCATACACGCGGCTGTTGAGCATTTGAAACATGGCTGGCCCAAATCAAGACATGCTCTGGTGTGGAATACATGCCACATTGTGAAGTGTTTGCATGAAAAATAATGTAAATTATCTCAACAAGTTTTCATATATTGATTGCAAGTTCACCTGTGCATTTTACTTTTTGATGAGGCTTCTAGAAAATTTTAAAATAGAGATATGGCTCACAGTATAGTTCTATGAGACAGCACTGACCCAGAGTGCTACGGGAAGTGTAGTTTGGAGGCTGCCCTTTGCCTTCTGCCTGGCGCAGGATATAATCACCACACCGGCTCCAGCTCCTAGAGCCTGTCCTGTTCTCTGAGAACAGGAGCCAGGTCTCCCTTCCCTCCTAATTTTCCCTGAGCGCCCAGACGTTTGGGAGCAGGGATAGGCGGCGATGTGAGGAGCCAGCCAGTCACGCTGTCTGCCAAGTCAGTGACAGGGTAGCGCAGGGAAGGCCAAGTCCCCAGCCCTGTGGCCACCATTATAAGCCTCCTCTGTGCTGATTAGTGATCAAATTAGAAGTTGCTCATTTCCTTCAGGTGGATTTTAGAGGAGGCATTGTTTCCTCAAGACTTAAGATTCAGGCATTCAACAAGGTGTAGATGAGAACACACCTGGGTTGGAAATGGCTTGGAATACTCAAAGATTACAAATTTTCACATAGAATTCACAAATAAATGTAGGAAAAGGCATGGCACAATGTCTGTCTTCTTCCGTCTTCCACTCAGCCTTGTCCCATCATTTTTTATTGTTTTTGTAGAGACGGGGGTCTCATTATGTCGTCCAGACTAGTGTCGAACTCCTAGCCTCAAGCGATCCTCCCCCTCGGCCTCCCAAAGTGCTAGGATTGCAGGCGTGAACCACTGCAACTGGCCAGCATTCCACCATTTTTAGACACACAACCCACCTAAGTCCCTTCCTCCTAGAAGAGCTCTTCTTGCAAAAGAAGGTCCCCCAAGTCCATTCTTTTCCAAGCTCAACATTCTAGTTCTTTACCCATTTCTCACGAAGCCTCCTTTACAATTATTTAACTCCCTGTGTGCTCCTTGAACAGACTCCACTGTGTCTCCCACCTTACTGTCCCCTAGCCGAACCCAGTTCCCCTCATTTGGACTTGCTGCTGCTGAGCCCAGGGGGCCAACCGCCTCTCTCATTCTGGATACGATATGTCCATTAACCCACCCTATAATTGCCTTGCTCTTCAGATTACTACACATCATTGCTGACACACAGGGAGTTGTCAAAATTCTCTAAGTCTTTTGCACTAGGTACATTTACCCTCTCTCATTATGTAGTTGGCATTTGGGACCTGGAAATGTCACCTGGTATCACTGTGTCCTCTATTCTTCCTTGTATCGTGGCCACCTGTCTTGGTTCTTCTGAGTCCTGATTCTCTCACTGATGGCTCGCTTTTCCACCCAGGGGGAACAGAATCACATCTAGGCCCTCGTCGGAATCATTAGCTAGTGGTGGGTCAAGTGCTCACCCCCACCACTCTTGGAAAGTGCTCTGGTCAAGGTACCAGTCCTACGATCAATCCTCAGTCCTCATTCCACTTGGCCTTTTGGCACCATTTGTCACATTTGGCCGCCCTCTTTTTTTTTTTTTTTTTTTTTTTTGAGATGCAGTCTTGCTCTGTTGCCCAGGCTGGAGTGCAGTGGCACCATCTCGGCTCACTGCAAGCTCCGCCTCCCAGGTTCACGCCATTCTCCTGCCTCAGCCTCCCAAGCAGCTGGGACTATAGGTGCCCACCACCACGCCCAGCTAATTTTTTGTATTTTTAGTAGAGATGGGGTTTCACTGTGTTAGCCAGGATGGTCTCGATCTCCTGACCTTGTGATCCCCCCGCCTCGGCCTCCCAAAGTGCTGGGATTACAGGTGTGAGCCACCGCACCTGGCCCACCCTCTCTTATGGAAAGGTTTTTTCACTTGATTTTCAAGTCATCACACTCTCTGGTTTTCCTCCTTCCTCCCTGGATGCTCCTCCTTAGCCTCCCCTGCTGGCTTTTTCCAGCTTCTCAACTCTTCAACACTGGGATGCCTCATGGCTTGTCCTTGGACCCTGGTCTTCCTTATTTTCATTTACTCTCTTTTCACACCATCAGCAAAAATATAGGGAAAAAGACCCCCTCAGACATTCAAAAATGGCCACAACTTCTATGAAATTTGGAAATTTGACAATACCTGTAAATATTAAACACACATACATTCTTTGGCTCAACAATTTCACCTCTGAGTATTTATTCTACAGAAACACATACATATCACATGTATCAACCACGTGGGAAGTGATATATAGACATACAACCCTGTTGACAACTCCCTGTGTGTCGGCAATGATGCATTATTCACTGTGGAAATCTTGATAAGAGACAAAGACTGGAGACTTTCGGAGGCTGGTTGAATCCATGATGAGGCATCTATACCACGGTGCTCCACCAGCATGAAAAGAATGAGGCAGCTTCACATGCACTGCTATGTAAAAATCTTCAAGACACATTGTTAGAGGAAAGGAAAGTTAGAGTTTTTAAATGGCAAGGAAAATATGCTACAGTTTGTTTTTTTAAAGGGTAGGTAGGTAGATTAGATTAGATAGATAGATAGATAGATAGATAGATAGACAGATAGATAGATAGATGATAAATGAAAAAGATTATATAGATCATAGATAATAGGTAGATGAAAAGATAGATGAAAAAGATTAGATGATAAATAGATAATAGATTAAAAATAGATGATAGATGATGATAGATATATAGAAAGACAGATTCATATAGAGGAACTGTTTGGCTAAGAGTGAAGGGTGAGAGGAAGACTTTTCATAGTATACCTTTTGTGCTTTTTGAATTTGATTCAATGGATATTTCTTATCTATTTCTCAACACTCCTATTTTTTCAGTTGACCTGACACAACTAGTTGTGGGGAGCCCATGCTGGCTCCTGGTGACCTCTTTCCTTTTCTATTGTCTTTTTTTTTTTTACATTTACTGATGTACCATAAAAAATATTACAAATGATACAATGAAGAGGTGCATAGGGCAAGGTATGTGGGGAGGGTCACGGAGCTTCCATGCCCTCCCTGGGCTGGCCACACTCCAGGAACCCCGTGTTCAGCTATCCGGAAGTTCTCCGAATGCTGTCCTTTTGGAGTTTTATGGAGGCTTCATTACGTAGGCATGACTGACAACTCCGTAGAAATATGATTGGACAAAAAGAGTATGATCTCACACTAACATACAGAGTAGGAACCCAGCAGGGCCTGTCTGTTTGGATTCTTCTTGGCCTCTCTGTGCAGCATTCTTTCCTCCAGAGGATGGGGCAGGACCCTCTCTGGAATAAGGGTCTTTTGACCTACAATCAGATTAGAGTCTTGCCTTGGGCAGGTAAAAGGAGGACAGGAGAAATTTAGAGAGCAAGATTCTGTAAGCACCCCAACATTATGACAACCATGTTATGACAACCATGTATCAAAGGCTATGTCTGTATCAAGATTGTATCAAAAGCTATGGGAATTATGAGCCAGGAACCATGGACAAAACCCTACACACACACACACACACACACACACAATCGTAATATCACAGGCCATTCCCTTGTTTTCAAACATGAATCCTTCACATCAAAAGAATGTACAACTCAAAACATACTGCCACATCTGCTCAGTTCTGGGAATTACTTTTAGTTTAAAAAAAAGAAACATACTGCCACATTGCGAGAATCCCATTCAGTCATTAGTAATTAGTCCAGTCAATCATTGTAAGGTACGAATATGTCTCCCAGGGGAGGCCACTCAGGCTTGTAGGCTTCCTTTCAATCTTGTCAGGTTCCAAAAGCATGAATGGTCTCAGCAAACATCGTTTTCACCTTTTGGGCATCTGTTATAATTGAGCTAAGCAATAATGTCGTCACTTGCTCTGAGTCTCTTTGAAGGTGTTAATGTAATGTTGGACTTCCCTCCATTTATAACCCATTTGTTCATTCCTTTACCCTCAGCTACTGTTTCTCCTTCTCTCCATTAATACCCAAACTTTTTCACCTTTGGAAGGGACATTAGAATCGCCACTGTGCTAGTCTAGTTTGCAGGCAGCAATACAAGCTTAGCAAGTACTTCCTCCTCAGTTCGCTCCCATTCAGATAGGGTAAAGTTACATAGGTGCAGAACTGGTGAGCTATTTTTACCACCAGGCAATATAGCTGCATTCACTCTTAGCCCCACTTTTGCTAGGTGGGGTAAAGGCACAACCCTCCCCCATTAGGCACTTAAGAATTCTGATGTAAGGTTTAAAAGCATAGTGACAGTGTCTTGCTTAGAAATCATCCCTGCTTCCAGCACTTTTGGTTGCAGCCCTGGTCCTAGAACCACTGCATCAGGCAGGGGAAAAAAATTTTTAAGGTGATTTGGGGAAGAAAAAATATATATAGTCGTTATACCAGTGTACTCCTCCCTTGGCAAGAATTGCATCGTCATACCAGCATCCTCCCTGCCCCATCTTCCCCAGATCAACCAGAAAAACAGAGAAAAACCCAGTGGGGACGCCTCTTCAGTCCCACTCATGTTGAGGTGAGCACGCACTTGTGAAGGCATGTAAGCCAGCCCTGCGTGCTTTCATCTCGACTTTGTCTTAGAAAACCAATTTTTATTTTTATTTCATTTATTTATTTTTGAGACAAAGTCTCACTCTGTCACCCAGGCTGGAGTGCAGTGGTGCAATCTCGGCCCACTGCAATCTCCGCCTCCTGAGTTCAAGCATTCTCCTGCCTCCTGCCTCAGCCCCTGGAGTAGCTGGGATTATAGGTGTGTGCCACTATGCCCAGCTAATTTTTTTATTTTTTGTATTTTTGTATTTTTTGTAGAGACGGTGTTTCGCCATGTTGGTCAGGCTGGTCTCGAGCTCCTGACCTAAGTGATCCACCCGCATCAGCCTCCCAAAGTGCTGGAATTACAGGTGTGAGCCACTGCTCCCGGCCAGCAACTGATGTTTTAATTGCCCATTCCACTTCTCTATCAAACTCTTACTCTGAGGAGGATAGCTATCTGCTCATTGCTGGATATTATGGGCTGTACACTGTGTTCCTTGGTCTGAAAAAAGGATGGTTGGCCATCCAAATCCATGCGATATTTTCTGTTCTGGTTTTTTTTTTTTTTTTTTATGGCACTCTAAAAATTTTCATCTTCCACCAGGTAAGCAAAGTCCACTCCAGAGCCAGTGTCTATTTCTGTCAAGACCCACTTGTAGCCCCTCAGGGTACCACTCACTTGCCAGCTTTCTTTAGGGCCTTCCCACCAGGGAAATGGCCACATAGCCATTGGCAGTCTCTGGCTCTCTTGCTGACAAACAGAACAGTCTTATTAGCAGTTTGTGCCGGAGAGGGTACAAAAGGAACATGTCTAGATCCAGCCCTTCTCTGCACCCCCATCTCTGCTCATTTCAAGGACCCAGGTGAACACCTCAAAGAAACAGAGATATCTGCTTGTCAATTCCAGTCACCTTGCAAACATGGAGAGGGGCTTTCTTAGTGGGCGTTGACATGTTCTACTTTAAGGCACCCCTCAGATTTCCACAGGGCCATGCCCCGTAAGGGCATTTCTTCAATAAGCCAGGTTTCTATTGCCCTTCTGCCTAACCATCTGGCCAGGCCATTGGCCAATGCCCATGAGTCGGTAAAAACCCAACCACAGGGGCTTCTGGCATCGTTCAATTCTTCCATCGCTGTTAGGAAAGCAGCATGTGATTCAGCCCACCAAGCTGATTAGTTTTTACCTTCTTGGATCATAGTAGCAGCCTTCCAAACAGGAGGTTGTCCATTTACCTTGGAACTGCCATCCACAAACCAAGCAGCTATTTGCTGGTCAGTTGAGAGCACTGTAGGATCCACAGCTCCTCACACAGTTCCACAGTCAGTCCTAGGGTGTAATGAGGCTCCCTGCTCATATCTCCTCCTTACATTCCTCAGGTTGCATGATTCTGTATAAGCCATTTCCATTTTATTATGGAACCCTCCTGGGCACTGCTGTCCTCATTAGAGTGTTTTTCTGACATCACCCGGGACAGCATGGATGTTTCAGGTGTCAAGATCATTTTATGTCCTTCAGACATGGGGTACCAAGGATACAATGAACAGATGCGTAAGACAAGGTATGCAGGAAGGACGTGGAGCTTCCATGCCCTCCCTGGGCGCACCGCCCTCCAGGAACGGCCATGTTTCCAGCTATCCAGAAGCTTCCCACTTTTCTAATGCTCACTAACTACTCCTTCCATAATCCACAAGGATCCTTGCCCAGGACTCTTTTTAAAACTCAGAACCACGTTTTTCCCTTCTCAAGGCCCCCGTGCTCTTGGCTTTCTCAGGTGGGACAAAGTGGCCCCAGCAGTCTGGTTCACAAGCTTCCTTTGTGCCCCAAGTGTTGTTTTATGGGGAGAGGCCCTTTGAACACCCCAGCAGCAGTGGAGAGGGGAGGGCCCATCCCACCTCCAGGGCTCCCTGGGCCTCTGTGTCATCTACTGCTGCCCTCTGGGTTTGCAGGCTGCTCTCCTGCCAGGGGGCAGCAAGGAGCCCTACTCTTCGTACACTCCCCACCCGTGCTGTGTCATCAGGCCCAACTGCAGCCTCTGGATCCCTTGATCTTGACTGGCTATGATCACAGCTAAACAAGCCTGGGTTGCCCCTAGCATCTTTCACAAACCTCTACCTATTTTTATCTTCCAGAAACTCTCTTTACAGGCCCGTAGTCCTGTCTCACATCTGTCCTTCCCTTCTCTGTTCAAGCCTCCTTAACACAGCAATTTGGCAAAGAGCTCTCCTGCCACACACTGATTTCTGTGGTCACCTCCCTTCTTCCTTCATTACTGGGACGCAGACTACCCTGTGTGGGATTGCACAGTGTCATGTACATTTTTGAGAGCTTCCCAGCCCTCTTGAGACAGCTATCCCACCCAGAGATTCGTGGCATGGAACCCTGCCTGTCTTTTTGCTGAAATATTGGCAGTCTGACTTTGGAAAGTCTGTTCCAGGCCCAAGTCTGTTCCAGGCCCTCCACAGCTCTCATCTGGATGGCTGCAAGAACCTCCTTGCTGGTCTCCCTGCTGCACTCTGAGCTTCTCACGGCCTCTCCCACCCACCCAATCTCTGTACCAGCATTGAGTAATATTTCTAAATTGCACAGCCAGCCCTGCCCCTGCACTGGCAGAAGCCAGGATAAATTGGTTAGACAAGGTTGACAGCATGACTTTCAAAGCCCACCGTGGCCTGGTTTCTTCCCCTCTCCACCTGCACCTCCTCTCTCTCTCTCTCTGTCTCTCTCTCTCCCCATCACTTAACTAAATATCTAATTGTGCTCACTTTCCTGGACATACTAGGTTATTTCACATGTCTATTTCTGCTTCTGCTCCTGCTGTCAATCTACCTAGGATGACGTTGCAACTGTTCTTGATACAGCTGCTCTAAAACTCACTCAGGAGCCACCTTTTCCAGGAACCCTTCCCTGAGCCCCCAAGTTAGGCCAACTCTGCTCCTCTGGTTTCTCTTTGCATCCTGAGCCTATCCTAGCTCTTACCACACAAGGCAGGCACTGCTCATCCTACCTAACAGTGATTCTGCTCCACCCTTTCTTCCTTGCCACCAGAACCTCACCTTTTCGGGTGACAATGTATCTAGGCCCAGAAGATGAGTCAAGCTTCATCTAAGACATCACCAGCATCCTGTTCCTATTTGCTAGTCCCTCAGTTTCCCAGCCTCCCTGAAGCATTTCCTCTCAGTTGTGCCCAATGATACATGAGAGGTCATTTTCAGAGGGGGTATCTGGGAAACACGTTTCTTCCCTGATAAAAATAGAGCCCCTTTCTCTCCTTGGCTTTTTTCTTTTCTGCCTTGAATATAATTATAGGAGTCACCATAGCAGCCATCTTGTGACCAGGAGGCAACAAGCATGGAGACAAAAATTAACACGTTGAAGATGGCAGAGCAGAAGGATAGAAAAAGGCTGAGTTTTGATAGCATCATTGATGTCATCCTTTCACCAAAGCTGGAACCCTCTGCCTCCAGACTTCCAGTGATGTGATATTGATCAATGTCTTTATTGCTCAAGCCACTGTCTGTTGGGTATTCTGTTGCTTGATACCAAATATATTCCCAACTGATGTGGGCTGTCATAAAAACAATCTTGGTATCTGCCTCCATGACTAGACTCCTTGAGGGCAGGAATGGTGTCTTATTTTTCTTAGTATTCCCAGAGCCTAACACAATGACTCAATAAATTATGGTTCGAAGGAATTAAACTGATGACTTCCCTTCCCTCTCGATTACAAATAACAGAACAGGTCCACTTTAAATTTTTTTTAATTTTTAAATTTTTTTTTTTTAGAGACAGGGTTGCACTATGTTGCCCAGGCTGGACTTGAACTCCTGGGTTTAAGTGGTTCTCTCACCTCAGCCTCCTGAGTAGCTGGGACTACAGGTGCACTCCATCAAGACCAGCTGGTTGCCTTTAGCCCAGGTTTGCCCTGTCACTGAAGCTTTTCCAACCAATCCCTCCTTCTTCCATTCACTTCCCCCACCCTCTGAAAGATTAAATGGTCCCCAGAGCCAGTTGAGAACAGTCCAGATGCTCTGCCCTAGCAAGTCCTCACAGGTGAGGTCCCCACCCGCTGTGTTGCCTTGGGCCAAGTGGTCATCGAGAAGGCGCCATCCACCTCCTCCTGCTGCCTCCATGGCTGGAGGACAGGACACACCCTGTTAGCCCTGATATCTGGATCCAGATTTCTGCTGTTCCAGAGAACCTCACCTTCACTCTCTTTAGGAATAGAACTTCCTTGAAGCCAAAAAGTTGGCTTTCAGAACAGGCCCCAGGCCTAGGCAAGTACAGACACCTGATTAACAAAGAGGCCATCTGGGTCAGCCACTCCCACTCCAACTGCCATACCTACCTGCCTTTCCTGAGCTTGGCTTGGGAAAATCTTAAGTTCCAGAAGGAACCACCACCCTGTGCCCTAGGTCTGCTCATTAAATATAGATCTAATTATTTATGGTACAAAATATACTTTTAAAACCTAATCAGTGTTGAGCACTTAAAGACTGATAGCATTTCGTATCGATTACTGGGGGCTCCAAATATGTGTACTAAATACTGAATGCAGAACTCAGCTTCTTATAAAACTTCACAGAAAGTATCACCCAAGGACAGCTCTCTGACTCGCCCACATTGACATTTGGTAACTGGCCTCGCCTAGGGACTCACCCATCACCCCTCAGTCCCCCTGTGAAGCCTTCAGACAGAGGCCCACCTCATGGAGGGCTCCAGCCGGGTGCTCTCCAATGTGCCTGCCCATTTCTGCTCCCACCAGCCAAATCAAGCATGTCCCAAAAGCCATTATTTCTGTCCCCAAACCTGTTTGCCAGTTGTGCTTGTTATTGTAAGTATGCAGTTTAATAAAATATGACACAAAACAATGAAATATGATGTGAAAAGAAAGAGTTTTCTTCTTTTCTTAAAAATCCAGGTTGAACACTTTGGAAGAGTTTGGTAACAGGAAACAGCTGAAAAAATTGCCATTGAGCAAGGCATAGAAGAGACAGACTATAAAGAATGGTGCTGGCGGGCAGGGTGGAGGGCCTATTCTGGAAGGAATCTACCCTTGATTGGTTCTTAAGAGCCAGGAAGTTCTCACTCCACTTTAAATAAACCAAAACCAGAACCCAAAGAAGTGAATATAATGGGTTAGTTTATGCCAGAAGACCATTCATGGCACAGGAGGGCCTGTGCCCAGGGGAAGGCTTCATTCATACATCAAAATGCTGGCACATGTTAGCACATCCATAGGGCTCCAATTAAAATGAAATCTTTACATTGTACAGGTTTTCTTTCTTTATGATCATTTGTCAAACTAACCAACTACAAGCCTTGATGGTATTGGATAGGAGGGCCTCACCGCACCAATTGTAAGTCCTGCAGCAAAGGCTTTATCACTGAGCCCCTGTTTCCTTGTGGATTTTCATCTGCCCCACCTCAGAGGACCGTGAAGATTACCGGGCGAGCGAAGCAGCCAGTAAAGTGCCTGTCGTTAGCAAGTATCAATTCTCCATTCCCATAAATGGTCTCACCATCCAGCCAATTAAGCAACTCAGAAATCTCGGAATCATCCCCAGCAGCTCCCTCTCCTTCCCTTCCGAACTCCTTCTACACCTCGCCCATCACCAAAACCCTGCCAAGTCTCCTGCTGAAAAACTCCTGATTATCCTTGGAGCTCCAGCCTCATAGAAGCTGCCCTGGACCAAGCCATCACCCTCTCTCGCCTGAGATCCCTACCTGGCCCTGCTGCTTTCACTCTCACCCCCGCCCCAGAATCCAGCCTCCTCCAGCAGCAAGAGGGATGTTTTAAAACATGACTGTAATCATGTCACTCCTTTGCTTAAAACTCTCTGGCAACTTTCAAACCTCCTTCGAATGACTGAGAAAGCCATACACACACACACACACACACACACACACACACACATACACAGCTGCACCCGCCACCTGTCAGTTCCTCAGAATGCACTCTGCTCCTTCGCACTTCAGGACCTTTGTACACACTGTCCCTGCAGCTTAGCACAGTCCTCACCCCTTCCTGGCTCGTTAACGCCTACTCATCCTGCAGGCCTCTACTTAAATGCCATTTTCTCAGAAATACTTTCCCTTTCACTTATACTAAAAATATTTATTCAGCACCTTCTAATGCCAGGCATTATTCTAGGTCATGTCTTGGGAAGACAATCATGAACAAGACAGACAAAATCCCTGCCCTTGCCAGGTGCAGTGGCTCATGCCTCTTCGTGAACAGAGTGCCGAAGCCAATGGCTCAGCACTTTGAGGGGCTGAAGTGGGGGGATCGCTTGAGGCAGGAGTTCAAGGCCAGCCTGGGCAATATAGCAAGACCCCATCTCTACAAAAAATACCAAAAAATTAGCCAGGCACAGTGGTGTGTGCCTATAGTCCCAGCCTTGGGAGGCTGAGACAGGAGGGTCCACTGAGCCCAGGAGGCTGCAGTGAGCTATGATCATACCACTGCACTCCAGCCTGGGAAACAGGGCAAGACTCTGTCTCTTAAATAAATAAATAAATAAACCCCTGCCCTCACAAAGATTACATCCTAGTGGGGAAGAAAGGGAATGAATAATTAAATAAATACTATTTTCAGATGGTGATAATAAAGGCATCTGATCACAATATGATTCATTTTATTATTAGAAGAAATAAATTATTACAAAAAATTCATATTTTTAGTCGCTTAAGGAAATTAGGTTTGAACAATATATCAAAGGCATTTATTTATACCAGTGACTGTTGAAATTTAGTTCTAGAATGTTGTTTCTGTTTGTACAATTTTTAAAATGTGACTGTGGCATGTTCCTTCAGTCAAAAAATAAAATAGAATACAGTGGCACCACTCATGGATACACACACATGAAGACACAGACATTTGAGTCGCTTTTGAGGTCACACACATTTGAGGTCAAAAGTGACATGTAGAGACATCACAGGCTCTCATGGGTATACATAAAAACACACCAGACACAAAACATGTCCCACACACACACACACACACACAGTCATTTGGAAACACACAGAGACAAGAGGCCAGGATGTTAGCACCACTACCCCTGACCTCCCTGGCACCTCCTACATCCCCACCTGCCAAGCTTGACCCTGACTGCTTGAGGCACCATTGCTGAAGGTGGCATGTCTCCCTCCTCCAAGGACATCTTCAGGCCCTAAATTCTGCCCCTACTACCAACAATTACCCAGCAACCTGAGCCCTGGCAGAGGCCGAGCTTAAATTAAAATAAAGACAGATCAAGGTACATTGAAATTTTGTGGTCATTCTCTACTGTGACCTCTACTCACCCCCAACCCCCAAGCCCAGTATCACACTCAATACCTATCCCATCACCACCATAGACCAACCCCACGCACCCCACACTCACCGAGTGCACACACTCCCACTGGCCCTGTATGGCATGTCACTACCTCTGCCCACAGACCCAGATCCCTCAGGTCTAAGACAGGTGTACTCACTGGAAATCCACAGGCACATGTAACCCCCATCCTCACATCCCCACACTCACACCCACAAGTCACACAGTCCTATGCAAGCCTGTCCCACAGTACATGCAGATGCAGATCAGCCATTAGACTTCTCAGAAGATGGGAACATATGGGGTGTGAACCCCACACCCACACATACCCAAGGTCCATGCACTGCCCTCTCTCCTCACCACTACCTGAAAGGTGTGACTCACTGCACTTACACCCAGAGCCAGCCATGCAGGACAAAGTGGTACCTCTCCACCCCCAGCCCCCAGCCAGCCTCCAAGCCTCCCCATCACCCACTGCCACCTGACACCACCTGCCACACTGCCCGAGAGCATCCAAGAAAAGGCCAAAGTCTTCAGAACAAGGTCCCTGCTGAGTGGGAGGGGGGTAAGTCACAGGACCTGAGGTGATGTCAGAGCATAAGGACATCAGAAACCTAGTAAAGGCTGAGCCCTGGGCAGAGGGCACAGCTGACCGCCTAGGCCTGTGTAGGCCTGGCACCCCTGGGGCACAGCTGGCCATGGCAGCACTCCACTTTAAATAAACCAAGGTCATCATGTGCCATTCTCTGCATGGGGCTGGGGCCTCCTTATCTCTCCCACCCACCCACCCCCAGCTTAAATCATCTGTCATCACACGTAAGTCAAATTTGCCCATTCACCAAACACAGGGAGACAGATGTAGAGGCAGTGTAGGCATGAGTCACTTCAGAGCCCCAGATGAAGGAGCCACATGCGCAGCATCATGTGTGCCACCACACTCGGCAATTTTTTTCTTTTCTTTTTCTTTCTTTCTTCTTTTTCTTTTTTTTTCTTTTTTTTTCTTTTTTTTTTTTTTTTTTCAGATAGGGGGTTCTCACTATGTCGCCCAGGCAAAAAATGAAGGAATTCTGACACAGGCTACAACATAAATGAACCTCAAGGACATCATGCTAAGTGAACTGAGCCAGTCACATAAAGACAAATACTGTATGATTCCACTTATTTGAGATACATGGGATAGTCAAATTCATAGTAACTGACCAGGGAATGGAGGACAGTGGGGCCTCCGCAGGAGTCTGCCCATTGCCACTGGACGCAGCGAAGGATCAGGGATGTCTCCCGCTTTTGCTCCAAGGCTTTTGGCTCCAGGGTGCCTCTGAGAGTAACAACGATGCCAAGGAACCAGCCAAAATAATCACATCAGAGAGACTGTGACGGAAGACAAGGCCAGCACTCTACAGAAGGCCTCATGGTCTTCTCTCTGATCCCCTGATACCAAGAGTGAACCAGGCAGCCAGCAAGGTGTAAGGAGAACAGACACAGAATGTCCTGGGCCCCTCTGTGGGAGCAGAACAGCCCTGAGAATCCATGATTCTGTGACTTGGGGCAGGGGACACAGAGGACAAAGAAAGGGGAGAGCAACAGCCCTCCTCCAGCCCCTCCTCTTGACCTGCCACCTCCACCTGAGTCCACACCTGGAGAAGTGACTGTTCACATGGACGAAGTGTGGCCAGATTCGAGGTTACAAACCTGCTGCCGCAGCTCACTCAGCCCTTGCCCCAGCCCAGCCCCAGGAGCCCTTCATGAAGGTCTGAGAACCAGCAGTTTCCCTTGCTAGGGGCCCCTGCAGGGCAGGGGGAGACGAAGACCCAGTGTGCAGCAGGATGCCGGAGAACAGGACTGATAGGGGCTCAGAGCTGCAACAGAAGAAACTGAGGGTGGCATGAGGAAGGACTGCCTGCACGACAAAAGACAATTTAATTTGATTAACAAATACTGGCTGAGTGCCAGCTCTGGATCAGGCACTGTGTTTAGGTGCTGGGCCATAAGAGATGTAGAAAATGTATTCTATGCCCCCAAAGAGCTGAGACTGTAACATCATAATAATGACAGCCAGCATCAGCACAGTGTTTATGAGGTGCTAAGCTCTGTCCTCAGTGCTTTTCATGTCATTTGATCCTTTCAACCAACCTTCTAAGCTAGATAACATTATTATTCCCATTTCAAAGATGGCAAAGACACGGAGGCGTATGAGAGTTGAGTAACCTGCCAAGGCTGCATAGCCACGAGCCAGGTTTGGAATCTGGCACTCTGGCTCCAGGGCCCTCGCTCCAGCCATGTTGCTCTCCATCCGCCTTCTGTATGGCAGTGGCAGGTCATCATGTGCCCATTCTCCGCATGGGGCTGGGGCCTCCTTATCTCTCCCACCTGCCCACCCCCAGCTTAAATCATCTGTTATCACACGTAGGTCAAATTCACCCATTCACCGAACACATGCTGAGCACCCACTACATGCCAGGCCCTATGCTGGTGCTGGCCCTTAACGAGTTCTTTGCCTGGTGGGTGACGTCATCCAGATAAACACAGGGAGACAGACGTAGAAGCAGTGTAGGTGTGAGTCACTTCAGAACCCCAGATGAAGGAGCCACATGCACAGCATCAAGAACTAGGGCCATTCATGAAAAGTATAAACTTGTGTGCATCAAAAGACTCTACCAACAGAGTAAAAAAGTGGTCCACAGTATGGGAGAAAATATTTGCAAATTATATATCTGGTAAAGGATTGATACCCAGAATATATAGGGAACTCCTAAAACCCAATAACAGCAACAAAAATTCAAAAATGGGCAAAAAGACTTGAGTAGACCTTTCTCCAAAGATGATATACAAATGGCCAATAAGCACATGAAAAGATGCTCAACATCACTAATTATTAGGGAAATGCAAATCAAAACCACAATGAGATATCACTTCATACCCATCAGGATGGCTACTATGCAGAAAGCAGAGAATATGGAGAAAATGGAACACTCTGCACTGTTAGTGGGAATGTAAAATGGTGCAGCCACTGTGGAAAATATGTATAATGGTTCCTCAAAAAATTAAAAATAGAATTGCCATAGGATCCAGAAATTCCACTTCTGGGTGTATACGTAAACCCAAAAGAATTGAAAGCCAGGTCTCAAAGAGATACTTGTACACCCATGTTCATAGCAGCATTATTCACAATAACCCGAAGCTGGAGGCAACCCAAGGGTCCATCAATAGATAAAAGGACAAGCAAGATTATTTAACATTTAAAATATTTAAAATGAAGAAATTCCTTTTTTTTTTTTGAGATAGGCTCTTGTTCTGTTGCCCAGGCTGGCGTGCCATCGCATGATTGCAGCCCACGACAGCCTCAACCTCCTGGGCCCAAACCATGCTCCCACCTCAGCCTCCTGAATAGCTGAGATCACAGGCACACCACCGCACTCAGCAATTTTTTTTCTTTTTTCTTTTCTTTTTCTTTCTTTCTTTTTGTTTTTTTGTTTTGTTTTGTTTTGTTTTTTGTTTTTATAGATAGGGGGTTCTCACTATGTTGCCCAGGTGAAAAACGAAGGAATTCTGACACAGGCTACGGCATAAATGAACCTCGAGGACATCATGCTAAGTGAAATAAGCCAGTCACACAAAGACAAATACTGTGTGATTCCACTTATTTGAGATACATGGGATAGTCAAATTCATAGTAACTGAAAGTAAAATGGTGGTTGCCAGGGACTGGAGGGAGGGGAATGGGGAGTTAGTGTTTAATACAGAGCTTCAGTTTTGCAAGATGAAGAGTCCTAGAGATGCATGGTAGTGATGGTTACACAGCGATGTGAATGTACTTAATACCACTGAACTGTACATTTAAAAACGACTAAGAGGGTACATTTTGTTACATGTATTTTACCTCAATAAAACACATCTTTAAAAAAATAGAAGAAGCAGCTAGGCGCAAAGTATAACTCCAAGGCCAGCCAGCCTCAGAGGAGAAAGTCTCCTTGATGCAGACACAGCAGAGGCAGCAAAGAAAGCAGCACCGGGGAGAGCCAAGTGTGTGACGGCAGAGCTGGCCTCAGCCACCAAGCCTGGCCGTGTTCTAGATGTGTCACTTCCCTGCTCTAGGGTTCAGTTTCCTCACCTGTCTAGTGGGATCAGTGAAACCTGCTCTGCCAAACCCGTATGCAGAGCTTGGAAAATGATAAGCCGCAAGTATGCAATGTTATGACACAGATAATAACTGTGAAAAAGCCGCGGTCAGGAATCTGATGGAAGTCTTTAGATTTGAACACTTGAAACAAGACACGTTCAAACTATCATGAGAGGTCTGTGAATCACAAGGAGGAAAGGAGCACTAGCTTGAGATAAAGCCTTCCCAGAAGGAGAAACAGCGCTTTCTGCAGCTGCTTTCCTGAGAGGATAATCTTGTCCATCTCTGTGCCTCCTCCCTGCCAGTCAGAGGCCCTGCCCTGCCCCTAGGGAGCCACCGGGCTGCACAGAGGCAGAAGCAGCCTGCAGACACAGAGCCCAGGGTGGTGGCAGATGAATCCAGCCTGGCTGAGCTCAGGGCCAATAGATTCTCACTAGGGGAGGAAGCAGAGGGGGACATGGGCTGGATGTGGTAAGCCTTGAAAGCTTTCTGGAGGACTGGCTGAGCCACTGTGGTGGGGAAACAGCAGGCACACAGCCCATCACCCATGGTGGCAAAAAGCATGGACTTTGACACGGTACAGACCAGGGTCAAGTCTGCTCTGCCTCTTGCTCTGTGTGATCTTGAGCAGTGATGTGAGCTGAGCTTCCCTTCTCCTCTGGTAAAATGGGGGTGTGATATGCACCCTTCTCACAGGGCACTTGTACAGATTACAAGTGAATCTACGTGCTATGCCCAGGACCCAACAAAGGGCAGCCTTTGTTATCATTATTAGTGCCTATTACTAATATAAGTGTTTTCCAAGGCTGGGAGGTGAGACAGAGATGGAAGATGGGAGAAAGACTGCGACTGTGGTCGGGTCGAGTCAGGGTCACACTGGGGCACCTTCCAGGTCTGGTGGGACATGAATGTGTATAGGGGAAGGAGATAGTAAGGGTCCCAGGGTCCTGCCCTAGCCAAGGCCTGACCCTCTGAGGTCTAAGACATACCCTCACCTCCCATTCGGCTAGGAGAGTCCCCCACCTCCTACTGTGGGAATCTGTCCTGTCAGAGCTGGGGGGAAGCACCCTAGATAAATCTTACCCTCCCTTTGGGGTTTACAGGTTGGTTCCCTGTGCTGTTAGCCATTAAAGACAGATCCCTCCTCATGACCCAAGGCTAACCAGGAGAGCTCCAGGAGGCAGCCTCTATGAGGATGTATTTAAAGGAAGCCCCAGCCTCCTCTTCAGGCAGGCCACCCCTCTTTCACCACCTCCCACCCATCCGCCCAACCGTCTTCACACACAAGGACACCTGGGTCTATTGGTGACCCAACAGGTAATCATTAACCCTGAGAGGAGGCACTGGCCCTTTAAGGCTGCCCTGGGAAGAGATGACAAAATCACACCACTGGACTTTGTGCCCTGAGGCTGTTAGGGAAAACAAGACCCGGGAGTGCGAGAGCCTCAGCTGGGAATCCCAGAGAGCCACTTCTGTCAGCCTTCCTCCCTCTGACTCCTCTCTGATAGGCTTGCCCTGCATGTGAATAATGGTAACTCCGCTATGCATGCAGGTCCAGGGGAGTGGTACCCTCTCTGATAGGCATCCTCTCTCCCTGGATCATTAGGCTTTGTTCATACCCCACCTCCTTCTGACAAGGGTCTCAGTCTGGGCTATCCTTTCAATGCCCATCGTGTGAAAAGGGGGACCATGGTAAGGACCACCCCAGCTACACCCAGCACCCAGCCCAGAGCCCAAGGTACTGACCCACAGAAGGCACTGGCCTCGTAAAGGCAACTGGGTGGTGGCATCCACGGAGAGAGCACAGGGGTGGGAATCAGGACTATTAGGTTCTAGACCCTGCTCCGCCCTGGGTCACTGTGGGGCCTCTGGTGTGTCTCAGCCAATCTCTGATCCCGGTGTCTACACGCAGGCAACGGGCCCTCTCACTGCCAGCTAGTCCTGTGGCTTTGCAGCCCTCGGTAGCAGTGATGGAACAGGGGGTGCTGATGCAGGGGATAGCCACTACTGTCCCTCCTCCTTGTGAACCAGGACCACAAACAGGTCACAGGCACATCTTGGACTAACCAAGATGAGCAAAGCTCTCTTAAACAGCTTACACCAAATAAGTGATTAAGAATCTTTCAAGGGCCTCAAGTGCCAGCGCCTCTGGGAAGCCTTCTCTGACTGTCCCAACCTTTGGCTCCAGTGCTGAGGAACTGCTCTGGTAAATATCTCATCTCCCTGATTGGTTTGTGACCTCTTTGAGGTAAAGGAACTGTATCATCTTCAACACAGAGAGCCAGAGCAAGCACGGTCCCAATATTTTCTGAGTGAATAGATGCATTGACATCAATGGTGTTTAAATATCAGCTCTGCACACAGAAGGAAGCCCCAGGTCTGAGTGATGATGTGCAGGTTTGGCCAAGGATGGGCCCAAGTTCTTTCACAGCTGGGTGACCTCAAGAAACAATCTGACCTCCCTGGCTCTCCTTTGGCCCAGATCCCATAAGCTGGTCAGTTAGTGACCATTGATCAGGAGTCTGCTGTCTGCAGGGCCCTGGGGAGGTTGTCAGAGGGCCACATGGCTCAGTTGTTTTTGGTTCCTTATGAAAAACTCTGAGAAAAACAGCATGAAGAAATCAGGACAGATTAGGCAGACCAAAGATGGGAATAAGATGCAAAGAATAGGCTGGAAGTAACCCCAGGAGACCTCCTAGGGGAGGTGAGTTCTGAAATAGAAACCCAGGACATCCATCCCACTCATTCATTAATTCATTCAGTCATCCATCCATTGAAGCAGCAGACATTATTAGAAGCCAGGCCCTGAGAATGTAAATGAACACAGCCCTTCCCTCAAGTTGTTGACAGTCTCGCTGGGCAGCCAGCATCTAAACTCAGGTGACCACACAGTCTGAGATATGACCTAATAGATACAGACCACATGCCAGAAAATAGAAGAGTGGAAAGCCTCTCAGGAGGGTTTATCTTGAAGGAACCCCCCACCAAAATCTGCTCAGCTGATCTGAGCTTTTACGGGAGCAGGAAATGCAGGTAATGAAAGAAGGGGCGAAAGAACCTTTGTAAAGCAACAGTTACCTGGCAGGTAAACAAGGTTAATGGAGACCTGTTGTTTTTCCAGGTTCTTGGTGACCTCACCTTTGACCAACAATTTCCTGGCACTAGCTCAGGCTGCCAAGGGGGGAAGAGGGGGAGGAAGAAGAGGGTAAACAGCAGGTGAGGCCAAAGGTGGCCCTAGAAGGCAAGGGACACATTCCAAAATGTCTCCCCAGCCTGAGGCCTGCAGCAGAGCCCAAAGTCCAATAGGGAACCCACACCCGCATTCCAGTCATCAAAAACACCATAAATACTGGATTACCCACCAGAAAGGATGCTTTCCGCTGCCTAGGAATGCCTCCCTTTCCCCAAGCTGAGGCCCAGTTCCCCACCTCCCCAAGTGTCCCCTTGTCCAGGAGGCCTTCTAGATCAGCTGGAAGGAGCTGAGGATTTCCACTTGGGCATGACCTGTTCCTCCTACCACCTCTTCCTCTTCTGCAATATCATTAACAACCAACCTTTAGGGGAAACTCCCTCTCTTCACTTCATTCCCTTCAGCCCAGACTGGCCAGTGGGAGAGCCCCAGAGCCATGTGGTGCTGCAATCCTGCTGGGCACTCAAAGAAGAAGCCCTGAAATTTCTCAGCCAGCAGCCAGGTTCCCGGCTCACTCTGCCACTCACAGGCTGCATGACCCTGGGTGAGTCACCAGACCTCAGTGTTGTCACCTGAAAAACAGGGATGCTGATGAGAAACACAGTCACATGGCTTTTGAAAGGAGCAAAGGAGATAATGTACAAAGTAAAATTAGGCATTATTATTCTAAATGCTGGATGTTACCAGAGATCACCCAAACTTCTAATTTTACTGATGAGGAAACTAAGGTCCAGAAAAGACATTTTAAAATAAAAGGATTTGGGTCCTCTCTCCTCTTCCTTCTCCTCCTCCTATGACTTATCTTCTTAGTTCAGCCTGGCCTTCTAAATACAGGTTTCTAAACTTTGTAAGGCAGAAATCCCTTGGAGAATCTGATAAAAGATAAGGACTTTCTTTCCCCAAAGGACATTCATTCACATACCCCCAAGACTGTGCAGGTAATTTCAGAGGGCTCGTGTGTTCCAGGCTGGGGCTCTGCTCTATGGCAGAGCAGAAAAAGAGAGGCTGTCCGTTCTTGGGTCAAGTCTCCCACAGCCACAGCCACAGCCCCAGGAAAGCAGGAAATAACAAGGGGCCAAGCCTGAACTTCAGGGATCAAACCTCACCCTGAGAGTCCCCCAAAGCCCAGTCCTCAAGGCCCTGGGAAGAAAGTCCCATTTAATCCCCCTCCAAACTCCTCACTACCCTCTCCCTTACCCCCACCCATCCTCTCTCAATCCACCTAAAACCCCCACCCACCCACAGCTCTTCTTTTGAACTGGTTAATTCTGTTCTGGTCTTTGAAAGTCAAACAGAATCTTAGAGACCATCTGTACAAACCTCTTTATCTTTACAGATGAGAACTATAAACAACGAAAGGCATACTGACTTGCCTGAAGTCACCCAGATAATCAGGACAAGAGCCAGGCTACATTCACCAACTCAGTCCCATGGGTGTGCGCTGAGGACCTACTGTGCGTCCTGGGCCCAGCTGGGAGGGGTGGGGCTGCCAAGAATTGATGAGCTGCAACAAGATTGGCAAAGCAAGTCTGAAATCCTTGGAATGAGAGTGCAAACAAGGTTACCAAGCTCCTGATTGTGTAAGAGAGGTTGCACAATCTCTAGAAGTTCAGCAAAGGCAGGGTTAGAGCATTCATTCATTCATTCATTCACTTATTCATTCGCTTAACAAATATTTATTGAACCCTAAGCACTAGTCATGGGGCCAACAGTCTCGACAATCACCCAGGCAAGGTTCCTGCTCCCCTGAAATCCTAGAGAGAGAAAGTCAATCTGTAAACAAATAAATTTTAGCTAGAGATAAATACCATGAAGAAAATTAAAAGAGTGGAATGCAAGCAACTTGGGGATGCCATTTATATTGCAAGGGAGGAGGGGAGAGGTGTTCAAGGAAAGCCTCTTGGAGGAGGTGACATATGAACAGAATCCTGAAAGGTGAGGGGGAGGTATCCATGCAAAGATGTGGAGGCAGCATGTTCCTGAAGGAGGGAACAGCAAGTACGAAGTCCCTAAGCGGACACAACACTGATATGTTCAAGGAAGGAGAGATTATTGTGTGCAGAGGGTGAGAGGGGCCTGCAAGGAGGCTGAAGAGATGGTCAGGAGGCAGACAAGGCCGGGCCTTGTGGACAGGCGATGAAGGCAGGCTTTATTTTGTGTGCAGGGAGGGTTTAAGCACAGAGGTAGCATGATCCTTCCTGTGGCATTAAAGTGGTTTCTGGCTGCTGGGAGGAAAAAGAATTGGAGAAGCTGGAGAGGAATGGAGAAGCCATGGAGCTGAAGCCAGATGGTAGAAAGAGGGGAACAAGGACAGAAGTATTTTTGAAGCAGAGCAGGCCCCGGGATTGCTGATGGCTTTGATCACCCGAAGGGATGGTCAGATTATGAATGCGTCTTTGGGCTTGAGCAGCTGTGGGGATGGAGGTGCCGTTCACAGGTATAAGAAAGTAACAGGCTTATGAGGAGAACGAACTCTTGCAATTTGTATATCAGGGAAAAAAGCTCGATATCCTTTGCTCACAAAACCTGTTCTGTCTGAATGTACTATAAAGACCATGTGTCCATATGACAACAAAAGATACAGCCATTTAAAGAACTCAAAGGTGTCTGTGACAGAGGATGGGGGAGCTAGGCTCTGAAAATAGCCAACGTGGCCAAAAGTGTATCAATCACAAGTAAAATTTCAAAACTGCTTTCCTTCTGGGCTTTCCACACCGTGCGGCTGACAGCCAGGGCTCTCCCTCCAGCCAAAGGCGGGGCCGTGTGGTCAGGGACCGAGGCTGGCAGGGGCACCTCACGCCCTGTGTTTGAGCTTCTTTCACTCGTGCTCCCTCTCATCTGATTTTCATGTTGTGCGAACCATGGTCACTAGATTTGGGCATGGTTCTTTCTGTAAGTCAAGAGATTTTTTTTTTCTTTTATAATCATCTTCTTTGAGAATGAAGGCGTTTCTTTTTATTGGGAAAAAAGTACCAGCTGGAATTATACACTGAATCACATTCCCGGCGCCACGTTCTGAGGGGAACTTGGGCATTAGATCCTGCCACGGCACTCCCGCTGGGCGCCCTCAATCAGAGGACAACACTGACCATCTGCCCTGTGCCTGTCAATGCAAACCCCAGAGGAAGACACAGAAAATTCCTTCCTCTAGGGATTTTGGTTGGGAAAATCCAGGCTTTTCCTCCAACTCTGTATCCTGTGTAGTCCTACTGGACCCCAAACCCAAGGCTTCTGACCTTGACGAGCCCCAGTCTCAGTCCTAGCCTCAGTCAGCCCTGCCTCTCTCCTGGGCCTTCCCTGACCTCTGCCACATCCCCTTCTTTCTTTCCTTCATCCTTCTTTACCTCTGACTGGAGATGTCCTGAACTTTTTTGCTCCGGTGCTGGTCTAGCCCTAGGCCACCTCCTCCAGGAAGCCCCTAGTGGTCAAGCCTGATGCCATCATCAACCTGGCAGCAGTTTCCAGTGCTCTCTCCTTCTATATACTGGTGTGTGATGGTCCTGGATTGTGTGCGTGTGTACATGTGTAACAGATCTGAAGGAGCATCTCTTCTGTTCAGATAGGAGGATCTTAGGGGCCTCATAATGACCAGCGGACACCTTTCCATTCTCTTCCTCGAGAATCCTCTCATTACGGGCCTGTTGCCAGTGACTGGCCTGTCTTCCCACTCTCCCTGGCCTCTGTTTCAGGTCCCTTCCATCCAGCCAACACATATTTACTGAGTACCTATTCTGTGCCAGACACGTGCTGAGAGCACAAGTATGAACAAGATAGGCAGTTCCCAGCTCTCATGGAACTGCTATTCTGAGTGAGGCATCCTCAGGGAGGTCGATGGGTGCGTGGGGAGCGTGTACACAGAGGGAGAGAGAGAGATCATCACCCACAGTGACAGGTGCCATTTGCTCCACAAGTTGAGTATCTATTGTGTGTCAGGTCCTATTCCAGGGACTTAGGACACATCAGTGAATAAAACAAAGACACCAACTCTTGTAAAACTTAAATTCAAGGTGAGGGGAGACAGAAAGTACACAATGCACTTAATAAATACATGCATTTTATAATGTGAAAACATTAAAGAGTGGTAAGTGTTTAGAAAAAAAGATAAAAGAGTATAGGGTAAGAGGGCTGGAGAGTGTAGGAAGAATATTGCCATTTTAAATAGGATGCCCAGGGCAGGCCTCATTGAGAAGGCGATGTTTGAGCAAAGACTTGAAGAAGGCAAGGGAGTGAGTCCTGCAGATATCTGGAGAAAGAACATTCCAGGCAGAGGGGGAAAGCTGTGCAAAGGCCCTGGGTCAGGAGTATGCCAGATGTGTTTGAAGAACACACTTGCTGTTCTTGGAAAGGAATCATGTAGGACCTTGAAGGCCATCGTAAGGACTTTGGTCTTTAGTCTGAGGAAGACCAGGAGCCACTGCGGGGATTTGAGCCAAAAAGTGACATGAGCTGACTCAGCCCTTCCTCATTAAATGCAGCAATTGATAGAAAGTGACTGAGGTGGGGAGGAGGCTGCTACTTTAGGTAATGAGGTCAGGGCAGTCTTTCTGAGGAGGAGCACCTAAGCTGGGAGCTTAGAGGCAGAGAATGACCCCACCCACTCTTCTTTCCCCTCCTCTTCCTCAAACTGTCAACCAGGGAAAAGCCTTCTGATGTCTACCACACCTCACGCATCTCCTTTCCCTCATCCTTTCATCCTCTCTCCCTTCCTCTCTCACCATCTCCATTTTCTCCCTCCCCTCTTCTTTAGTCTTCTGCCGCACCCCTCAGAGATGAGGCCTCTGCCTTCCTGGGGTTCTTAGAAAACAGTTGTGAAAAGCAGAAGGAAATGCTGCAGTAGGCCCTTGGCAGGAAGGAGGGCAGCAGATTACAGTGTCTGGTCCCAGAGGCTCACCCTGTAATCATCACTGTGTTTCAGGTGACCGGGGACCCTGAGGCATGCCCCTACCAGGCCAGGACTTTCTATCCTCAGCCAACCCTCCCCAGTCCCCCACCTCAAACATAGGCAAGAGAGAGGAGGCAGCTTCAAGGCCTCGCCGTCAGCCCAGCCTTCAAGGCCTGATGAGGAGCCAGCTAGAGGGGACCCCTGAGCCTTCAAGCACAACCCCCACGGGGTACAGAGGATGGAACTGAGGCCCCAAGAGGAAACAATGTAACTCCAGGTCTCAGGGTGAGATTTGAACCCAAGGCACTGTCTGCACCCCAGACTACCTCATCTTCTGGCCTAGGCCTTGGGGTCAAGTGGCAGGTCAAGGATTTGGCTCCCTTGCCTCAGACAAAGAAGAGGGGCTGTCTGTGGTCAGACACTGCATTACCAAGGCAGGGCAGGGGTGCTTTGCTGCTAGATGCTGGCATCCAAAGGGCCAGGGAGAACTCATCCCCAGTGGAGAGTGACCCTAACCGCACATCTTCAGGAGAATGGGGATGGCTCAGGACAGCCCTGCCCCACTGAAGTAACAGCTCAACCAGCCAGTGGAGCAAAGCTCCAAGGGACAGGTAAGCCCACAGGCCGTCTTTTCAGCCCCATCCCAGGGGCCCAGGCTCTGAGTCTGTGAATAGAATCCCTCCTATCCTCTAGGAAGAGAGATTTCAGTGTCAGCCTCCTGGGTCACCTGTCTATCCGGTCCAGAAATAGACCTGGCCCTCCTTGGCTGTCACGTGCCATGCGTGGCTGTGGCCTCCAGCACCTGAGTCATCTGTGACTCATCGCCCTCTGCCCTTGGTCTCAAGAGGGCTGGGCCAGGACTCATAAGACCAGTCTGATGTCCCTGCTACAGGCCTGTCCCTCCCTGCTCCACCCCACACTGTGACATAGGAAAATAGCCAGACGCCTTGCAGCAGACACCCATATGAACTCCCATCTGCTCACAGGGGACCCAGACGCCTAACCCCACTCACCCCTGCACACACACACACACGCACACACACACACACTCCTTCACAGCGCCTCTCTGCTCACATGTGTGCTGGGTGGCCCCACATCTCCCAGAGTCTCTCCATAAGCCCAAAGCACTGCTCTGAGATTTAGGCCCTGCTATTAACTCCCTGGGTGACCTCACACAAGATTCCTCCCCTTCTCTTTTGGGGCCTCAGTTCCCTCCTCTGATCTGGGACTCACACGTCTCCAAGATCCTTTCTAGACCTTAATTTAAGGTGGGGCATGGTGATTACAGACTACGGTGAATGATTGAAGGGAAAGAACTAGGAGGGTGATGGTGGGCACAGTGGAGGGGAAGGAGGACACCTGCCCGGGACCCTTCAGATCACACCACACCTCTGGCTACAGTAAAGAATGACAAAGAATGGCAATGCCCTGAAAGACTCTTCCTCAAACAGCCAACTCTGGGCCTCCAGTGCCCCACAAAACCCACTACCTCAGAAGAAGGACCAAGGGGTTGAACTCCTAAAGGGACCTCCCTAAAGACACTGCTGTGTCTCCCCTCAGACTGGGCTCCCTAAAGACACTGCTGTGTCTCCCCTCAAACTGGGGCTCCCTGAGTCAGGGCTGTGCCTCCCCTCAGACTGGGGCTCCCTGAGGATGGGGCTGCATCTCCCTCAGAATGGGGCTTCCTGAGGACAGGGCTGCGTCTCCCTCAGACTGGGGCTTCCTGAGGACGGGGCTGCATCTCCCTCAGACTGCGGTTCCCTGAGGACGGGACTGCGTCTCCCCTCAGACTGGGGCTCCCTGAGGATGGGGCTGCACCTCGCTCAGACTGGGGCTCCCGTAGGACGGGGCTGCGTCTCCCCTCAGACTGGGGCTCCCTGAGGATGGGGCTAAACCTCGCTCAGACTGGGGCTCCCGTAGGACGGGGCTGTGTCTCCCTCAGAGTGGGGCTCCCTGAGGATGGGGCTGTTCTCTTCCTGACTCTCCCACAGGTCAAGAGCTTTCAGTCCCACCTTTTTTCCCAAATCTTCCTCTCTTGACTGAGTATGACCCAACTCTAGGCCAGTTCTTCTCAGCCTGGTTTCTTCTCTGTGAATTGGACCCAGGATGACAGCACCCACAGAGAGGGGCCCATGTACTGATGAAACCATCTAAATAGCCATCACCACCAGGTGTCTCCCATATTCCACCTGTTTTATCCTCAAATTCTCCTGGTTAATGTGGTTCACACCTAGATATGGTTCCTTAGAGGAAAGACAGGGCAGTGTGATCCAGAAATCAGAGATTTGGCAGGAGCCACAAAGCTGAGGGTCATCAGCCACTCACACTCTATTTGTCGTTTTTCACCCACCTGGACCCCAGAACACCTCCCCCGCCCCAGGAAGGGGTTAAGGAGTATCCCTCCCAGGGTACGGGGCATTGGGAAAGCTAGGAGGGAGCCATGTTCCTCCACTTGGCCCAAGCTTCAGTTTCCCAATCCAGTATTATTACCGTGAGGCAGAACCAGGCCGGAGGCAGCTGGGCAGACTGGACACCACCAGGCTGTGGATCCCAGAATCTTCTTCTCTTATTGGAGTGGCCCAGGGAACCAGACTAGCTCCTGAGAGCTCTCAGCTGGGAGGGCCCTGGGCTCTGGGTAGAGAGGGGCATGAGCTCAGCAGAGGCAGGGCAGGAAGACTACTCAAGAGAGCAAGGAAGAACCCCAGACAGGAGGTTGTAAGTGGGCCTGTCATCTCCGTGACGTGGAGAAGTAGCAGAGACCACGTCCGGGTCTCCAGTTGCCACCGTCACCCTTCTGTCACAGCTTCCAGTACTGACTTCCTTACTTTTTTGTTTTACCACAACCCCCCTGAAAAATATATCCTACCTCATGACCCAGAACGCATGTACACACACACACACACACACACTCCACACAAGTTTCAAGAAACAATACTTACCCTTACTCTATGCAAGACTAAATATTTTCTGCCCTATTCTCTTCCTATTTAAGAAAAAGAATCATGCTGGTTGCATGCTGTTAAATCGACTTCATGACCCACATAGATCACAATGTGCATTTTGGAAACCCTACCCCAAGGTCAGCAAGCTAGATATAGTGCCATTGTACAGGTAGGGACACTGAGGCCCAGAGAACAACCAAGAGCTGCCTGAGGTCACAGGGCTGGTTGGTGACAGAGCCCCAGCCAGAGCTCTGGGGTCTTGGCTCCCAGAGAATTGTTTCCACTGGAAGTTTCCAGAGCCTGAGGGACTCGGAGATAGCTGCCTGCAGAATGAGGACTGGGGAAGAGAATTCCCACCGGCAGGTCATCAGGGAGGAGGAGACGGATGTTTACTGAGGCTCTCTCAGAGCTTCTGCAGGTAGCAGCAGTGAAGGCTATGCTAAGCCTGTGGAAAAGGTCAGCCTTGAGGGTCAGCGCCAGGTCCTCCAGAGCACGATGAAAAGGAGAAAGGGGAGTGGCCTGGCTACAAGGTCACATGGACTCAATCCAAAGGAGGCTCCCAGTCTGATGGGGGAGACACTGCCTGTGCCCTCAGAGAGCTCCTAATTTGTTTCAGATCTCTGCTGCAGGCAGAAAGTGAGGACAAATCCAGAACGAGGGCCCACACACAATGTCTACACTGGATACCTCAGCAGCAAAGCAGTGAGAAGGCTGGGGAGGAGGAAGGGGAGCAGCAAAGCAACTGAG
This sequence comes from Homo sapiens, assembly GCF_000001405.40. Lineage (NCBI taxonomy): Eukaryota > Metazoa > Chordata > Mammalia > Primates > Hominidae > Homo > Homo sapiens. The sequence goes on along the minus strand of NC_000006.12, from coordinate 43,796,151 downwards.
AACTCGCAAGAGGGAGGTCCAGCCACTCCATCCAGGCAGGGTTGCCAGACAAAGTACGGGATGCCCAGTTAAATTTGAATTTCACACAAACAATGAAAATTTAATGGGGCACCTCGTGTTTTTATTTGCTGCATCTGACAACTTACTTCTAGGATCTTCCCTCCTCAGACCCAGAAGGCCAGCTGACCAGAGAGGCCTGAGGCCCATGCAGGACTAACAGACAGCAGGAGAAACTGAGGAAGAGCTTCATGTCCAGGTACCTGGTATTGACCCAGGGTGAGGGTGAGACAGAGATGAGGGGCTCTGGGACCCCCCATCCCCTAGAAGGTAGTCCTCAGATCATGGATACCTCCTTCCCACCTTCAGAGAGGGAGAGAGGATGGTCTGGGATGCAAGAGATAGCCTTTGGAGTGGACATGTAATGGTGGGCGAGGGAAGAAATGGCTTCCTTTGCCCCCTCCCAGCAGCCACCCATTCAAGATAAGCAAGACTCCAGGGACACTTCCTGTGAAGCAAACGCCAACGGCCGGCACACCACTGGCATCTGGGGGCCGGGGTGGGAGAGAGGCAGTTTCTCCGAAGTCATGGGGCCTGGAGGAGGGTTTTACCAGCATCGAGCTGAGCCCTTCCCCTCACCCCCATGTCTCTTCTGCCCCCTTTCCCCACTGCGTGCCCTCCACCCACCACCAGCACCACCATTTGGGTTTTTACTATGGCTGCCAGAGACTTAGGCAGTGTCAAGGGTGTGGCTGGGGTCACCACAGTCACAAGGAAAGGGGATGAGCCCCGCTGGCCTCAACAAGAAGGCATTCCCTGGGCTCCCATAATCTTTGCCAGCAAAATGTACCCTTCCCCAGTCCCCAGAATGGGGGGTAAGCACTAGGACTTGGGGAGTGGGGCACAGAGCAATGCTGGGGATGCAGCCAGGAGCCGAGCCTGGGGCCACATCCTGGGAAGGGATTAATTGTAGGCCTGAGACTCTGTGCCCAGGGCTTAGGGCCCTGTGCCCTGCCTGCACCTCATTACGAGAAGGAAAGGAAAAGTTGTTTCCATTTTTCCTTGTGGGTTTCTGCACTGGCTGTTGCCACACCAAGAGAATGAACCATCCCCAAAAAGGCTCGGCATTTTAGATGGTTCATCTAAAGGGATCCGTAGATCCCTTTCTCCCCAAGGGAGAAGGCCCAAGGTCATACCCTCACCATCAGGGAGCACACGGGCTAATCAGAGAGAATTTGTCCCTGCTCTTGGGGACCCTGACAGGGTGAGGTGACTAATGTTCATTTATTCATTCATTCTACAAGTACCATATTTATTGAGCCCCTTAAGAGGGGACTGGGGGTGGGTTTTACCAGCATCCAGCTGAACTCTTCCCCTCACTCCAGGTCTCTTCTTCCCTCCTTCCCTTTTAAGTGGCAATCACTGTGTGTTCATTGTCTAATATAATCCACATCAACACCTGGGAGGTAGGTGTTGCCATGTCCATTTTACAGAGCAAGACAATGAGCCCCAGAGAGATCCAGCAACTTGCCCAAGGTCACAGAGCTAGAAAACTCTACTGATGTCAAAAGTAGAGCTCAGCTCTGTCCGATTTCAAATCCTCTCTTCCTACATCCTTGTGCCAAATCACGACGACAATAGCTAACCTTTATCGGGCCCTTATTGCATGCCAGTCATCCTCCTATAACCATCTGCATTTCCCTGAGCACCAGCACTCTCAGCTCTAGTATGGGGACACTACTGCCAATGTCTGGTGTGGGGAGGATGACATGATCATATGTACACGAAACACTGTGAAATAGATATCATGGTGCCTGTTTCAGAGATGGCAAGTGAGATGCAGAAAGGTAATTGTCCTAAACATAGCTGAGAAGCTGTCGGAGCTGGGGCTGTGTTTGGGGTTTGGGTTTTGGACCTCGGGGCTCAGAAATTGCAGCCAGGATTTGAACCCAGGCAGTCAGGCTGGGCCAGGCCAGAAGTGACCCAGTGTTATCAATTCTGGGCTGCCACACAGAAGACTATTAATAGCCATGAGGTGTTTATTGCTGAACAGTCAGCAGTTCCCAGAGGGCAGCTCTGGGTCATGGGACCGCAGCCAGGTCAGCCCCCAACCCCCAGCCCCATGGGGGCTCGTCCCGAGATGCTGGCTCCCCCAGCTGGGCCTCACCCAGCCCCTAGGAACCCTTACCCAACCAGGCGGCTGCCCCGTGACTGGCAATAGTGACCCCTGTCACACTTGTGTGTGTGCGAGCCCGTGTGGATGTACCCGTGTGAAAGAAGATCTATAGTAGGAGTCTCGCTCCAGAAGCGAGGACGCCTCAGGAGGGCATCTGCTGGGGCCAGACCTTCCCCACCAGTCCCAGCCTCAGGGGCCCAGCAAGCCCTGCCATCCTCTCTCTATCTCAGGCTGGCCAGGAGAGCAGCTGGGAGGGAACCCTGGGGAGTGAAGTAGGGGAGACCTGGGGTGGGGGTGGAGATGCCTTTGGGAGCCAAAAGCAAACACCCTCCCTGAATATTTCCCCAGAAGACATCCTCTTGTGGCCTCCCCAGGAGATGGCAGCTCCCAGCTCTCCAAAGTCCCAGGGAAGGGCTTCTCCCCTGCCTGGGTCCCAGAGGCCCTTCCATACCTATACCACAAATCATTTCACCTAAACATCCTGGAACAGACAGGTTTCCACCTTGAGGGAGCTTCTGAAGACAGCCCTGGGGGCATCCGTCCACTGCAGCCTGGCCCAAGCAGCCCTGCCCAGCCTCAGCATTTCTTGCCCAGAGCACAGCTGTGTGTATAAGGGTGGACATCCGGCCTCCTCCATCAGACTGGAGGTTCCCAGTGTGTTTGGGGGACCTAAGAGAAGATTGGCCATGCATTCTGCTCCTGTTCATTTGTTCATTAATTCTACAAATACTCATGCAAGCCCACCTTGTACCTGGTCCTGGGTTCAAAGCCACAGGGCATCATCCCTACCAGGAAGGGCTCTCCACACCCTCTTTTCCCTTCAGTCCAATCCCTTTCTCTCACTGCTGGGCTCCAGGGCTGAACCTGCCCTGGCGTGCCTCACTCCTCAGCAGGAGAGTAAGGATGCATGCTTGCAAAAATGGTTATAAAATCCAGCCAGACCATTTCAGGTTTTTTTAAAAAGTGGGAAAAAAGCCCCACAAACAACCAAAATGTACTAAAGGGGGCACTCAGAGAGGAAAAAGCATTGGCATGGAGACTAGAATAACAACAAGATGATAATGACTTTTTTTTTTAGGACATCCTATGTACCAGTCACTTCATGAGGTACTTTTACATGTCAATGTCACTTCAGGCCCTCAAACTCCATCATGTAGGTGTTACTGTGCCCATTTTAGATGAGAAAGTTGAGGTGCAGGCAAGTAATTTCTCCAGTGGCAGACCCAGGATTCCAATCTAGATCTGTCAGAAGTCTTGATGGGACTTAGGGCGGCCCAGATTAGGCTCTGCAGAGGCATCCAAAGAGAGGTCCCTATGGCCGGGCCTCACAGGGCATCACCTCCTCAGAAGCTTCCAGCCCCAGGACAGCTGGATGAGCTACAGACAGGGAGTAGGGGAACAGTCTTCCTGCAGGAAGTCTGAGGAGCTGATGAACAGGGTTCTCAGGCCTCTCCAGGAGAGGAGACAGGAGAAGCCCAGGAAAGGGACATGTGCTAGCATCTGCTCCACTTGGAGCCAGACCCAGGGACCGTCAGGGGATGTGTGGAGAAAATCAGGGCCCAGGCTGGTGAGCCACGCATGGCTGATGACAAACACAAGAGAAGCCCTGTGAGCATTGTGAATGCGCACCGAGAGTGGAGGGAAGGATGGGGTACCAGCATCCGGTGACTCCGAACAGTGCAACAGCCAAATGGTGGCAGGGTGGTGCCTTCCCGAAACTAGTATCCAAAGAAATGTCTGATGGCAGAAGCTCTGTCTCCTCCCTCAGATTAGATACTCTGTAAGGACCGGGAGCATCCTGAGGGCCAGGGCCATGTCAATCCTCCTTGAGACTGGGAGCTCCCTGGGAGCAGTACTTGCACTTCCCTCATAGAGAGACTAACTCCCCAAAGGCAAACGCAGCCTTTGAAAATCTTTGTCAGATCCCGGCCCCCTCTTGTCCTGGGAGACTCAAGCCCAGCCTTGCACCATAGGCACCTGTGCCTAGTGGGCCCTTTCCTCTGACTCACTGCTCCCTGGGTTCTAGCTCTTCCCCTTCCACGTCACCCCTTCTGTTCCTTCTCAGCAGATGCTCAGTCAAGCCCTGTCTTTGCCTTGCATTTTCCTTTTCTAGGCAGATTATAAATATTTACTGATTCCTTCCCTGCCCTCCCCTAGTCCCATGTCCTAATGGACAATGTCCTGCGGATGTAGCTGAATTATCTCTCTCCCAGCAACTCTGAAGCCAACCTGATGGAGCCTTCCAAGGGTCAGCCCATCCATCCCCCACCTCTAGGCTGGCTCATGCTAAAGCCCCTCCTAGTAAATGAGAGACCATCCCTGCACCAGGGCATAGTACATATGGCTGGTATTCCATAAACGCTGGAGGATGGAAGGAAGAAGGGAAGAAAAGGATTCCACAGTCTTTTCCTCCAAATCCCTCATGCTGTGCTCTCTGGCAGTTCTTCTCATCCTCTATCCTCTATCCCCCATGCTGTAGGTGAGGCCCACTTTCTCTTGGTAAGACTCCAGTACAACCAAGTCACTCTCCTCACTCTAGAAATTAGGACAATATTTTGTCCTGCCTGGGTCAGCCCTTACCCTGACTTCTCACCAAACTTACCACCATGGCAGATGCCTGGTCTCTGATTCCCTTATAAACACACCCTTCTTTCCTTGAACATCCCTCCATCCACTTCATGAATACCAGTTAAACCTTATGGATGGGAAGGGACAAACACCCTAATGCCAAGGAAATGACTGTTTTGTTAGATGGCTCAGTTATTATTGAGGAATAATAACCACCCCAAAACTTAGTAGCTTTAAACAACACAGTGCATACATTTGCTTACAACTCACTAAACTGGGGCAGGGATGGCTTCTCTCTACTTTATGTGTTGTTGGCTAGAGTGGCTCACCTGGCGCTAGGGAATCCAAAGTGACTTCACTCACATGTCTGGTGCCTCAGCTTCAGGTGGTTGGAACAGCTGGGAGTTGGCTGAGCCTCTCTCTCTCTCTCCATCTCTGTCTCTCTCTTCCTCTATCTCTCTGTTTCTCTTCCCCTATCTCTCTCTGTCTCTCCACAGTCTCTCTCTCCAGTAGAGTATTTGGACAGTTATAGCCTGGCAGCTGCCTTACAAGAGGACAAAAATTGACACTACAATGCCTAGACCTGAAAGTCCCAGAATATCTCTCTTGTGTTGCATTTTTATTCAAAGCAAGTCATAAAGCCGGCCCAGATTCAAAAAGAGGAAAAATAGACTCTACTTCTTGGGGGGCAAAGCACGTGGGCACAGGGATGGAAAGAACTGTTGACAGCCATGTTTGCACACTGGCCACCACAATGATCCTAACACACGAAATTGATCCAGAATCACCAAGTTTTGTATGGATCCACCCGTCAGCCTTTCAGTTCTTGTGGGAGGGAGGAGAGTGGGCCAGCAGGCTCTCTAAAGGCCTTTCAGGGCCGGGAGCAGGATGGGCAGCTCCTTGGAGAAGGGAGAGTCTCAGGCTAGACAGAGGAGAAGGAGCACTGGGTAGCTCCAGAGGAAACAGTGGCTAGACCAGGCGGTGTGAGTCCCACAGAGAGGAGATGATCTGGGAAGGCAGGGTAGGCCCTGGGACTTGCTTAGGTCTGGAGAGATCCTTGGGAATGGCTCCAGGGGGGTATCTGGGCAGGTCTTATACAACTGGGGGAGGTGGCATTTTCATGTTCTCCTTCTTTTCTCCGTGGTCTGTTTCAAGGCTGTTTCTCTCATCTAAGGCCGTGTGTTGCAATCTCTTGCATGCTTAGGTTTCCGATCTTCCACTGACGAGCCCCAGCCCCTGGAGACATCTCTTGCTTGCCTTGCCTTGCCTTACCACACTTGGGGAAGTCTGGATTTCAGCCCTGGGTTTGGCCAGCACTACATCCTCCCCCTGTCCCACTTTTCTTCTTCCCTGTTTGTATTGAGTCTAGACGATTCATTTTTATTTGTTGATGTCCTGCCCTAGCCTGAGGCAGCTGTGGTGTGGTAAAAAGAGCACTAGATTTGGAGTCAGAAAAGCTGGTTTAAATTCTGGCTTGGCCATTTACTGGCTGCGTGTAAATTCGGGCAAGTTATTTACCTTCTCTGAGCCTCCTGCTTCTCATCTGCCAAGCAATAATAATGAGCCCCATCCCCAGGGTGGCTAAGAGGAGACGGTACTGGCACTGACAAAGAGGCCTCTGCTGTAATCCCTACCAGCTGACTTTGAGTTCACTTCTTCTAGACAATCCCCACTTAAGTCCCCACCTGTCCAGCTAACCCTCACCAACAACTCCTGGCACCTCTGTAGAAATCCTGTACTCACCTCCGTAGTCTTGGGATGAAACCTTCAGGTCCAGGCCTCAGTTTCAACAATGTCAGTCATTTAACAAATGTTTATTGAGCATGTACTGTGTTCCAGGAGCTGGAGATACATTGAACAAAACAGACAAAAATCTCTTCCTTCATGGAGCTTGCATTCTAGTTGGGGGAGACAAACAAAGGGGGGAGTACATTTTAAAGCTATTCTGTCTGAAATGGTAGCCACTAGCCATGTGTATATTAAGCACTCGAAACGTGGCTACAACTAATTGAGACATGCGATAAATATAAAACACCCACCAGATTCAAAGATTTATTTTTTCTTTACACCCAATTTCTGCCCTTGGACAGACGCAAAGACTTAGTACCAAAAGAGTATACAATTTCTCATTAATAGGCTGGGCGCAGTGGCTCATGCCTGTAATCCCAGCACTTTGGGAGGCCGAGGCAGGTGGATCATCTTAGGTCAGGAGTTCAAGACCAGCCTGACCAATATGGTGAAACCCCCATTTCTACTAAAAATACAAAAATTAGCCAGACGTGTTTGTGTGCGCCCATAGTCCCAGCTACTCGGAAGGTTCAGGCAGGAGAATCACTTGAACCCAGGAGGCAGAGCTTGCAGTGAGCTAAGATTGCACCACTGCATTCCAGCCTGGGTGACAGAGCAAGACTCCATCTCAAAAAAAAAAAAAAAAAAAAAAAAAAAAAAAAAAAAACTCATTAATAATGTTTCCATTGATTAGATCCTGAAGTGATATTCTAGATATGTTGGAGCTAAAATAAATTATTAAAATTAATTTTACCTTTTTATAGCTTTCGAACTCTGGTGCCTGGAAAATTTTAAACTCCATAAGTGGCTCACACTATATTTCTGTTGGGTAGCACTGTTCTAGAGTCTGTCAGGTGGCTACAGGTACTAAGCGGAAAAAGAAGGGATGGTGAAAAGGAGGTACCCAAGTGTGGAGTGGGAAGGGGGGTCAATCGTAAATGCAGTGGTCAGGGTAAGCCTCACTGAGAAGGTAACAAGACTTGAAAGTGAGGGATCCAACAACATGGGTCATGTGTAGGAAAGAGTGCTCCAGGAAGAGAGGACAGCCAGTGCAAAGGCCCTGTGGCAGGAGCATGCCCACTGCATCTGAGGAACAGTGAAACCAGCATGGCTGAAGCCACGTGGCCAAGGCGGGGCCCGAAGTCATTGAGTAGTCAGGGAGGCAGCCCAAATGGTGCAGGCCTTTTAAGGCCATTTGGGTTTTTCTCCGAGTAAAACTATCTCTGGAAGGTTTTGAGTCAAAAGGTGCCAAAACTTAACTCACATTTTAACAGGCTCACTCTGGCAGTTGTGTGAGATTCAACTAAAGGAAGGCCAGAGGAGAAGCCAGGCGGCCAATTTAAAGGCTCCAGCAAAAATCCAGATGGGATGAAAAAAGCCCCTACCTGCCGGGCGCGGTGGCTCACATCTGTAATGCCAGCACTTTGGGAGGCCAAGGCGGGCAGATCACCTGAGGTCAAGGGTTTGAGGCCAGCCTGGCCAACATGGTGAAACCCCGTCTCTACGAAAACACAAAAATTAGTCGGGCATGATGGTGCGTGCCTGTAATCCCAGCTACTCGGGAGGCTGAGGAGGGAGAATCCCTTGAACCTGGGAGGCGGAGGTTGCAGTGACCCGAGATCGCACCATTGTACTCCAGCCTGGGTGACAGAGCAAGACTCCATCTCAAAAAAAAAAAAAAAAAAAAAAAAGCACCTACCTCCCAGGGCTGCTGTGCAGATTCAGTGTTAACCAATGTAGGGGTCGGCACGTGGTCAGTGATTGGGAAAGGAGCACTTACTAGACCAAAAGCTGCCTGAGGCTGAGACCTTGCAATGGCCGGCACTGCCAGTCACCAAAGGTGCTTCCCCACCACCAGCACAATTCCTCCTGGAAGACCACAACAGCCTCTACCGGCCTCTCTGCCTCCCATACTGTTGCCAGGCACCTATGGAAAAGTCTATCTGACTGAGCCGCTCAGTGTTTAAAACCCCTCGGCTGCTGCTCATCCCTGACAGGCCCTAGGCTCTTGGCATGGTGCTGCAGGCTCCCTTGGAGCTAACCCTTGCCCGTGTCTCCAGCCTCCACCCTGCCCACCCACTCCCTGCCCCTGCCCAAGTGCCACCTTCATGCCTTGCTCACACTATCCCTTCTGCCTGGGATGTCCTCAACCCTTTCACTCCGCCGCCCCGTTCTCCCTGTCTTCAAACCATACTTTAAGTGGCAGCCTAGAGATAATGTCATAAGACACCACCCCCCAGCCACCACCCCCAATACAACTCCCACTCCCAAGCTAGATCAGATGCCCCCAGCACATTTTATGTATTTTTCTGCTCATGGATTTATAGTTTTGGGTCTCCCCACCCACCCATCCTCACCAGATCCTTGAGGGGTGGAATTGTGTCTTATTCATAGCAGCACAATGACTGGCTCAATATTTATTCAAGCCATATCTATGGTTTGCAAGAATAAATGAGAGGCTAGAGGAAGTGAATTTGGAAGCACTGCCCTTCAGTGTCAAAGACCTGGATAGGTGCCACCTTACCCAGGAGCAGGACGTGAGAGAAGAGCTTATGGCAAGCTGGGGCAGGGAGTGTCCCATCAGTGGTGACCAAACCTATGGGTCCATCTTCCAGAGGCTCAAGGAACTCCAGGGTGTAAAACTATGTAAAATTAAGTTACACCCTGGAGTCACAGCCCTCCAGCAGCATCCCCCTCCCACTCCCAGCCTGTTGCAGCCAACAAGACCCCCACAGACAAAAACAGCTCTCTCCTGTCTCCTGGGCAGCAAGCTTGGAGACATGGCCAGTTCTTTCCCTGGCTAAGGGACAGGGGCCTGGATCATCTAATTCCTGAAGGCAGCACTACCAATTGCAAGGGCCCTTGGCTCCTAAGCTGTTTCTCCCCCTCCACCCATTCCCAGAGCTTCCCACCTTCTATATCAAGACAGGATGGATGGGTTCCCCCAGGACCAGCTCAGCCAAAATGGAAGGACTTTGCCCCCAGCACAACAAGGTGGGTCACCCCATATCCTACACATTAGACGTACCTTTCCCAGACCCAAGACAAATGCCATGTTCCCCAGAGGAAGAGGGAAAGGGGGCGGGAGGAAGTCTAGAGCAAGGATTCAATGGAGAAGGAGAAACCAAGAGGAGCTTTGAGATCAGAATTAAATTCTTTAATACAAAATGCTTTTTTTTTTTTAAGATATATCTGTATTTCTTTGTCGTTGTTTAAAAATAAATATGTACTACGGAATATCTCGAAAAACTGCACTAGAGACAAAGACGTGATGTTAATATCTTTTCCCCACAATTATTACGGATAAACAGTAGCACCAATAAATAAATGATAACAAATATTAAAATTAAAAAAGGAGAGAGATTTAGTATGTAGAATTCTCTATTTTTTCTTGTTTTGTTTTTACATATAAAAAACAGAATAGCAATGTCTATTTTATCAGAATCACATATATACATAAACATATATATATATATATACACACAAATACAAGTTGCCAAATATATATATAGTATGTAGATGTATATTGAAACCTTATTTCAAAGGAATGTGTGCTGGGGAGCCAGGGGATCGGGGAGGGCAGAGCTGAGTGTTAGCAAAATTAAATATCTGTTCAAGATAAGCTAGTGACTGTCACCGATCAGGGAGAGAGAGATTGGAAACATGAATTTTATATACAAAAACCGGTACAAATAAGAGAGCAAGAGAGAGCAAAAGATACATCTCATAAATAGTTGAAATTAAATATTAACCAAGAATACTGAAAAAAAACCCTACTCTTTAATTAAATTAACTGTTTTAATTTCTAATTAAAAAGGGATATTAAATAAGTACCGTATATAAAACACTTTCTCTTTTCTCTGCCTCCACAATGGGCACGTGGATCCTGCCCTGTCTCTCTGTGCCTCGGGAAGGGAAGGGAAGGACCAGGGGATGGAGGAAGGTCAACCACTCACACACACACAACCAGGTCTCCTGGGGGGACAGAACTAGTGGTTTCAATGGTGTGAGGACATAGGTCCTTTTAGGCTGCACCCCAGGAAGGGGAGCAGGAAGAGGATGAGGGCGAGTCCCAGGAAGGGGAGCTGTCATGGGCTGCTTCTTCCAACAATGTGTCTCTTCTCTTCGCCGGGACATCTGCCAGTGGTCTCCTGGGCAACTCAGAAGCAGGTGAGAGTAAGCGAAGGCCGCCCAGGCTCCTGAATCTTCCAGGCAGTGCCCCTGGGGGCGAGATGCGCGTGCAGCATGTGGAGGGAATCCCCAAAGCACAGCAATGTCCTGAAGCTCCCCAAACTCCTGGTCAGAGCCGGTGTCCTCATCCCTGTACCTGTGATCTGTCTTTCTGTCCGTCTGACCTGGGGTAGAGAGGCTCAGCGCCAGGGCTGGGTTTGTCGGTGTTCCCAAAACTGGGTCATATTTGCCCCCATGCCCTGGCCTTGCACATTCCTGGGCAGGGGAGAGGACCCTGGCCCCACCAAGTGGGACAAAAAAAAGATCATGCCAGAGTCTCTCATCTCCTCCTCTTCCCTGTCAGGATCTGAGTGGGAACATTCCCCTCCCAACTCAAGTCCACAGCAGTCAAATACATCCAGTGAAGACACCAATAACATTAGCACTGTTAATTTAAAAAAAGAATATATATATTTTATATATATAAAATAGAGATATTTATTTTTATATATATATAATATATATATATATAAATGTATGTATGTGGGTGGGTGTGTCTACAGGAATCCCAGAAATAAAACTCTCTAATCTTCCGGGCTCGGTGATTTAGCAGCAAGAAAAATAAAATGGCGAATCCAATTCCAAGAGGGACCGTGCTGGGTCACCCGCCCGGGAATGCTTCCGCCGGAGTCTCGCCCTCCGGACCCAAAGTGCTCTGCGCAGAGTCTCCTCTTCCTTCATTTCAGGTTTCTGGATTAAGGACTGTTCTGTCGATGGTGATGGTGTGGTGGCGGCAGCGTGGTTTCTGTATCGATCGTTCTGTATCAGTCTTTCCTGGTGAGAGATCTGGTTCCCGAAACCCTGAGGGAGGCTCCTTCCTCCTGCCCGGCTCACCGCCTCGGCTTGTCACATCTGAGGGAAATGGAAAACAAAGGCTGGGGTTAGGGCCAAGTGAGGAGGCCTGGCGATGAGGCAGGCGGCCTCCCCATTCCTGGGGGCCCCTGGGTCACTGCAGCCTCCGGCACCATAAGAGCAGAGAGGACAGGAAGGTGTGGTCCTGGGGCAGAAAGCCCCAGTATGAGAACAGCCCCAGCCCTGCCCTCAGGGAGCCCCGGCCTGAGCAGCAGCTCCACTCAGGGGCTCCCAGTCTACCCTCCTGAGCTTGCAATCTACTTGAGACAAGACAAGGACATGGGAACACTTTACAAAGCAACAAATGAACGGATACCAAAGAACAGTCCCCACTTGACATTTTAAGAGCTGATGGGTGACCAGAGCTGGATGAAGTTAATCAGAAGAGGCTCCCTGCTGAGGAGGGTTTTCAGTTCAGTCTCTAGGGGCTGGTGTGGGGAAGAGAGTGGGCAGATCTTCTGGGAGAACGCCTGAGGCAGAGAGGCTTGGCCGGGTGACCAACAATGGCAAGGGCCTGCCCTGGGGACAGGAGGCTCCCGAGGGGGTAGCGTAGAGCAGGAGGCCCCAGGAAGGTGAGGGACCATCTCCATTCCCCATGTCCCCTCCCACTGTGGCTGTAGGCCTCATCTCTCTTGAGCTGCCTGGAGGTTGCAGGCCCAGGTAACAGGTTGTCTTTCCTTTCAAATATGCTGCTTCACTTAGGATGGGGAGAGACAATTCGGCGGCTTCACTACTCCAGCTGAAGCAAAGGGGGCCTCCAAGAACTTTCTCAGCATGCCCCTGCCCCTGGGTGATTGTGAGAAGGAGGCAGAACAGGCCCTACCCTTCTGGGGAGCCCCGAAACGGAGTCCTAAGCCTCCAATTTTGGAAACTGATATTCCCAGATACAGCCAGCTTGGGGGTTGGGTAAAGGTATTGGGAGGTTAGAGTAACTTCAGTTAGCTCCCAGGTCACTTCACACAAACCCCCATCAGCAGAATAATCACCTAAAAACCCTAAAATGTCAAGTCCCTTATCTTTCCCAAGGACCCCTGGGGAACTGAGACTCCCCTCATCCAGCCCTGAAGTTAGGCAGAGCCCCCACCCCAGCACTAATATACGCCCTCTTGGTTTCACATAGGGCCAAGACAGACAGCACCCCACACCAACTACCCAGGCCTGGTTCCCAGCATCCCCTGAGCACACACAAGCCACAAGAACATTGCTGGGGGAGGGGAGACACTCCAAGGACTTCCCTAACACAGCCTCGGGGTGAGCTGGGGGTGCCTTGGCCCTGTCTAGGAAATCCCCACAAAGTCTTGCCTCCCTGACTGACGCTTACCCTGACCCCCAGGGCCTCCCTCACTCTGAGCACAGGCCAAGTTGGTATAAAGAACATAAGCTAAGGCATTAAAAGATGCCAGCCACCTGTCCCGACCCTGTGCTCCTGACCTCACCCTCTGAACTGAGTCACACATTCACTCATGCACTTGACACTTCCTTGGTCCCCAGTATGGGCAAAGGAAAGAGGTACAGATGCCCGGGGCTCACAAAGGTACGTAAACGAGGCCCGGGCTTACGGAGCTCACAGGCTAATGTCAGGAGAATGGGCACAGACCCCTCCCTCCACGCATCCTGGGGGCACTTGAAAATGTGTGGGCTGCTTGGGGTTGTCACCATGACTGGTGGAGGATTAAAGGTATCTAGTATTCTTGGATGCTACAGCTCCTTCAGTGTGTAGGCAAAAGTGCCCCATCCTAAACGAACAGCCAGACCCCTTGCCCTCAGAGCCCCAGTCTGAGGAGGGAGACATAGCCCTGGCCTGAGGGAGCCTCAGTCTGAGCGGGGAGACAGCCCTATCAGGGAGCCCAGGTCGGAGGGGAGAGACACAGCCCTACCCTCAGGGAACCTCAGTCTGAGTGGGGAGACACAACCCTTTCCTCAGGGAGGCCCAGTCTGAAGTGGGAGACTCAATTCCTTCCCCCAGCAAGAAACACTGAGTGAGTGAGAAGCCCAGCCATGCAGACTTCAAAGGGCCGAGGCAAGGCCCCAGCGAGAGCATCTGTGCTTTGTTGACATTGTCCACACCTGGAATCGGCTTTCAGCTTCTCAGCATTACTACCAGAGGTAGTAATAACATCAGGACCAACAGCCACTATGAGCAGAAGGACCACAGGACACAACACACAGCTTGCGTCCACACCACTACACTAAGCCACACCAGCCTACCACTCAGGCAACCAGGGCAACCTCGGAACAGGCCCCGCCAGGCTGGACCAGTGCCTGCAGCCCACCACAGGGGCCTTAAAAGCAGAGAAGGCAGCAGTCACCAGGCAGGCAGCTAGAAACTGAGCAAGCAGCTGGCCCCTCTCAGGCGCTCTCCCGCTCGCTCGCTCGCTCACTCTCTTTCTCTCTCTCTCTCCCCATCTCTGTGTGATGCCCCTCTCTGACTTGCTTGCCCTCTGGGAACCAACCTGCAAGTACGTTCGTTTAACTCAAGCTGCCTCGCCTTGCAACGCGAGTCTGTGTTTTTGCAGGAACATTTACACGTCTGCGGATCTTGTACAAACAAATGCTTTCTCCGCTCTGAGCAAGGCCCACAGGGACTGCAAAAAGGCAAAAGGAAAGACATCTAAGCTAGAGCATCAGCAGAGAGAGAGAAAAAAAATCACCATGCAACACCCCCTAACATGTCCGCAGCTGCACCCCCACCCAGCCGGTCAGCCCCCAGGCCCTGGAAGGATCCGAGCGCTACAGCAAAAGACAGAGAGAGCGGCGGAAAGAGGCAGCACTGGCTAGGACACCTGCCGCAGGAAGAGGCGGGCACAGACGGGCAGAGAGTGCAGGGAGAGGCTGCCATAAGGGGCAATGCTGTGTCTCTGGGAGACAAGGGTGAGTCTCAGGCCACAGGGACCCAACTGCTGTTGCCCCCATCGGAGCACGCCTTGACTCTTCACCTGCTGGGGATGGCAATCAGGGGCCACCTTCTCCCCGTGCAAGGCTCATGTCCAGGCCCTTCCACCAAGGTGGGCTAAAGTAGGGTGTGATGGGAGGCTAAGCCCGGAGGCGGTGTCCCCAGGCCAGGCCGCTGGTGGCCAGAGGGCCCAGGGCAGGGCCCACCACAGCCTCCGACCCAGAGGAAGAGGCTGCCCTGCAAGGAGGCCTCTGTGGGTGCCATGGGTTGGGCCGGAATAGGGGGCTCCCCTCCAGAGGCCCCACCTCCGTGAGGAGCCAGGGCACTTCCACCAGATGAAGGGAGGCCGCCACATGGTGTCTGATCCCACCCAAGCTCCTCCTTCAGCCAAGGAGTCATTCAGCAAGCTGCCTCCAGTCATTCACAGCCCTTCTTGGGCCATGTCTGCCCTCCCCACCACCCTCAGCTTCCAGACGAGTGCAGAAGCCTAGAGCAATGGAAACCAGTTGGGTGAGCAGGCACCTGTGCCAACATGGGCCCGCCACCAGTGCCCAGTGGGTGAGAGAAAATCGGTGCCCAGCCAAGCCAGGGTCCCCTCCCTTAATCCTCCAGGCCAAGTCGGCACCCCCATTCACCCCAACCCTGGACCAGCAATGCCACCACCAAATCTACCCGTTGGTGCCAATTAGTGGAGTGAGAGAGTGAGAGAGAGACACGGGCCAGGAGGATGAGAGCCAGGGAAGGACCAGGGGAGGGAGGCAGGGTTACAGGGAATGGCAGGCGGAGGTTGTACTGGGGGCCAGGGAGGCTCCAGGGCATTAGACAGCAGCGGGCACCAACGTACACGCTCCAGGACTTATACCGGGATTTCTTGCGCTTTCGTTTTTGCCCCTTTCCCTTTCCTCGAACTGATTTTCTGGAAAATAAAAAAACAGAGACAGAGAGAGAGCGGGGGCGGTGGGGGGAGTAAAAGAAGTGGTAAGGTGGGCAGGGATGGGGGAACGACCAAAGCAAAGCCACACAGGGCCGCTTCCCGGAGGAAGTGTCAGGAGGCAGGTGGTCTCTGGGGAGGCATGCGCGGGCGCACACAGGCGTGTCTGGGCAGCAAGCACTCGATGGCTCTTTCTTCTCCTCACGCTGCCCACCATGGGATGGCAAACCCAGCCCCTGACAAGGCTTTGGTGGGAAGCCGAGACTGGGTGGAGGGCACAGGACCCAAAGGTCTCCACACTCACAGTGGCTCCCAGTCCCCGGCAGGGGGCAAAGCCTGAGGGAAGGCTCTTTGCCCAGCAGCCCTGTCCAAGTCTGACCCTGAAGGTCCGGGGGTGATAAAAGGTAGGCCAGACTTTGGGGAGAAGGTCAGAGACCTGCCTGGATGGGGAGCAGGAGTGGGAGGGAGGGCTGTGTATCAGGCCTTGTGCCTTCATTTGCAACTGCGACAGAACCTCTGGGAATCCCGGTGTGGGGGAAGCGGCTACCTTGGGAGCTGGCACGGAACCAAGAGCAACACCAGCCTGCTCAGCACGACCTGGACTGGGAGGCAGGGCTGGGTGTCCTGGAGCCCTGGGCAGGCAGCAGGATGGGGTGGGAGTTAAGGAGGTCTGGGGAGGAGAGGCTTGGGCGGTACTTGGCAGGGAGTTCTCTCCCCAGCCTGTCAAAGCCTGCTACACCATCTCACCAGACACTCTTCCGAGCCCAGGCGAGCCCCCTACTCTCCCCATGGCAGAGCAGTCATTTGGGGAAACAGGAAGGGGGGCAGGCTGTAGCCTGTCCCCTTCAAGAGAACCAGAGCTCTCCATGCCTGCCAAGCCCAAGAGAACACACCTCAGGATGTCTGTCACAGGGAAGAAAGGAGGGGGAGAAGGGACCAGAGAGGGCAAGTCTGTCCCCCTTAGGAGAAAGCACCAAAGGGTGGAAGGAAGGTTTCCGCATCCCCTCGCTCTGGAAGCTGGGAGCTGAGGGAAGAGGCAAGGGGTTGAGGCCTGGTGGGGGCTTCAATGTCCGCACAGCACTGGAGGCAGACAAGATGGTGTGGGGGAAAGGGCAGGGCACAGGTGCTCTCTCTCAGTCTCTCTTTCCCTGCAAGCTCTTGCTGATGCCAGCCGCCCACCCTGTCTTGAAGGGTTACTGCCGCCAGACCTTGTCCCCCACCCCATCCTACCTGCCCCTTAACACGGAGCACTCACAAGCCTCTGAAAATGACCAACATTCAACTTTTTCTCCCTGGCCAAGAGGGCTGTGTGTCTGCCGCCTGCCGCCTACAGGAGGGCATGCACTGAGAAACCACCCTCCAGCCGGCCTCGCATCCAACTGCACCGTCACAGCAGCCACCAAAAGAGGCCATTTCCTCTGACACACAAAAGCTGGCCTCTCTGCCACCCACTCCCTCTCCCCACTGTGGGTGTCCTAGAGCAAGCCAGTGAGCCAGTGTCCACAGTGCCCCCTGACACACCGAAACAGCAAGTCCTGGTCAGGAATGATCTGGAGACCCAGAAGGCATTGTCCCTTCCAAAGGAAGTGCCAGGCTCCTGGCTATGTTTTCTCACTAGCCCTAGAGCCATCATCCTGGAGTTGGCTCCATCCCATTGTTGCTGCCACCACAAGTCCCCCACAAGACCAAGTCCCTGACCCAGGGAGGCTATGGGAGCCCCCAACAGAGGTAGCCAAGAGCCCCAAACCAAGACAACCGGCCATGGAGAGGGAGAAGTGCTAAAGTCAGGGCCACTTACTTTTCTTGTCTTGCTCTATCTTTCTTTGGTCTGCAATGGGTAGGGAGAGAGAAAAGAGCAAAACAGGGAAGGGTTAAGATGGTGATGATAATGATAGGGATAACAACAATAATAATCACAGTAAAAACAGCATTTATTATGGAGCAACACTGTTTTAATCTTTTCATATATAACTTGTTTAATCATTATAACAATGCTATGAAGTATACTACTATTGTGCCCATTTTACAGATGTAGAAACTGAGGCACATTGAAGTAAAATGCCAAAGGTCACATAGCGGGAAGCTGGACGGGGGCCAAAAAGTACAGCATGCTTAACCCTGGCACAGATCAGGCACCCTGCAGCCACTTGCTGATAATGAATCCGTGACTACATCCTCACCTGCATTCACATTTGTTGTGCTGTAGGAAGCTCATCTCTCCTATGTGCTGGCCTTGGTGAGGTTTGATCCGCATAATCTGGAAAGGAAGGAAGCAGATCACAGAGGTTAGTGACCCAGCCAGCCATACCCAGATGGGACAACCCTGGGGCTCCTGCCACTCAGCACCCAGGGGTTCTGCAGAGCAGGGATGGGTGGTGGAGGCAGGGAGGACCAAGAGCTCTAGCAGGAAAGAGGCTCAGGCCCACCCCAACTCCCCCAACCCTGCTGGCCTCAAGGAGCCCTTGTTCCACTTGAGGCCAAGACATGGCTGCAAGGGTTGGCCAGGCTGGGAATTCAAATCCTAGGTTCTTACCACTCCCCATCCCCTCCCCTTCTTTCATCCTCTCTAGGCTTCACCCTGACTCCTAGTAGATACCCGAAAGCAACCCCCTCCCTGTGTTTCACAGCTCCCTCCCACCCTATCTGGGCTGAGATGTGCCCCATTACCAGGTAACACCAAAAGACTTTTTAAACTCTCCATGGACCAGGCTCATCCAGCTTCCCAAACAAAGCCCCCAAGAAGGGGGGGCACTCAGGACTCTCTCCAAGAGAGGGAGAGAGGGGCTCCTGACACAGGCATCCATCTGTCCCCTCCTGAGCCCATGGGCAACCATCAGGGAGAAGGAGATGGTTGGGGCTTGCTGGGAACCTGGGCTGGGAATGAAGCATCTTCTCCACAGAAGGCAAGACCCCACCATACCTCCCCTGTGCAACTCAGGGGCAGGAGCCAGACAAGGCAAATCTAGCCAGGAAACGACCTGGGACCACCTGTTCCCAAAGTGTTACCCCCCTCCCTATCCCCCCCTTGCCCCACTTCCCAAAGATGCCCACCTGCATGGTGATGT
Source organism: Homo sapiens (assembly GCF_000001405.40). Taxonomy (NCBI): domain Eukaryota; kingdom Metazoa; phylum Chordata; class Mammalia; order Primates; family Hominidae; genus Homo; species Homo sapiens. Next base: position 43,777,651 of record NC_000006.12, on the reverse strand, counting down.
TGGACTCCTCAGTGGGCACACACTCCAGGCCCTCGTCATTGCAGCAGCCCCCGCATCGCATCAGGGGCACACAGGATGGCTTGAAGATGTACTCGATCTCATCAGGGTACTCCTGGAAGATGTCCACCAGGGTCTCGATTGGATGGCAGTAGCTGCGCTGATAGACATCCATGAACTTCACCACTGCATGAGAGGCGATGACACATGAGCCCGGTGGGCGACACAAAAGATGGCTAGCCCCTCTCTCCACCCAGCTCTGTAATGCCACTCTTTGGAGCTTCCGAATCAGGCAAGTCCTTCCAAAATCTAACGTAAGTCCCTCCTACTGTGTTTGAAGCACTTCCCTAAGCTTTCCACCATCAACACTGGTGAAGGCCTGTTTTCATTCCAGAGATCACACGATGTACTCAAGTTCCAAGGGACATGGCCTGCCACATCTGATCCCGCCACCTCACTGTGACAGCTGAACTGAATCCTGGGCCAACCTCGATGCCAGAGGACAGTCTGAGTATGGGTATACCCCATGGGGATGCTCTAAGCTTTCCCTAAAAGGAGGAAGAGCCAGCTTTGCCAAGCTAGTCTCCAGTTTCCTACGTCCTCCCCACAACCACTACCATAACGTCAACCATACCAACAGCTGTTTATTGAGCACTTACTACATCCTGAGTACTGTGTACAGTAGTCCACAGCTATCATTTCACACAAGTTTCTCCACATGGTACTATTAGACACTATTGAGATTCCATTTTACAGATGGGGAACAGGAGGCTCAAAGAGGCTAAGTAAGTTGCCCCAAGGCCGCACAGCTAGTAAGTAAAGGAGTCAGAATTAGCTGACATCAAAGTGTTCCCAAGCCTATATTAGGCAAAAACAGAGGAGGCACCTTTCAGGAGGAGGCACCTTTCCCCCTGCCAGTCCTCTTCCCCAGACATGAGCTGAGAAGGTGGTGGGCATCAGCACAGGGGCTGGGCCCTCCTGGAACCCACAGGTGGCAGTGGGCGGACACGCTGTGCCAGCCCTGCCAGCCACTGATAACCCCGCCCAAGAGGGCAAACTGCTTGCATCATGGAAAAAACAGTGCTGCCACTGTAGCCACGAAACATTTCTAGAAGCTGATCTGAAGGGAGACCAGGGTAGAGACAGTTTCCCAGGCTGGCCACGAAGCCTGGGGTGCACTGGAGCATGAAGGGGTAATTCTGGGCCACAGAGGCGGGGCCCTTGAGAATAAATAAATGCAGGACTCTGGCATGACTACTCCAAATTGTGGCCCAGCCTGCCACGCCTATCGCACCCCACCACCACTACCACATAGCAATCCTGTCCCTGAAATAGGTTCCCTACCCAGAGGGAAGAAATAACACCTGGCCAGTGAGGAGGCCCAGGCTCTGGCCATGAGTTGGTATGACCTTGGGCCAGTCCCTCCCCTCTCTAGGCCTCCAACTCTGCTCAACTGTGTAAGTGGGTTGGGCTGATCTCTAAAGATGCTGAAACAGGCTGAAAAAGGTGGTGTTTTGGCTTCCATTTCCAGCCCTAGGAACAAGTGCTCTTTTTTCAGCCTGGGTAATATGAAGTTTAGAACTTCACCAAAGCATCTTAAGTGTATGCTTCGTGGACTTCCACCCCAGCTCCCAACCCCCACCCCCCAGAGACCACAGCTGAGCCTCCCCCTCACTCCTCCCTCCAAGGTCTGCTTTCCAGAAGAATAAAGGACAATGAGGGGGGCTATGTACACAATAGGTTGATTGGGAAGAAGGTGGGGAGAAGGCCACAGGTGTGAAAACAGAAAGAACAGTGGGGAAACAGGCCAGTCCACTGCTTCCTGTGAGGTCTCTATTTCTTTTATCCAGACCACCAATGGGCACAGAATCCTTCTCTACCCACGAAGGGTTACGGCAAAGCATCATCAAAAAGAGTGAACGAGACTAGAAGTCTGAAAAGGTCATTTTTTAAAGCCAAGTCGATAGGGGAGAAGATGACTAATCAAGAAGTTTTGAACTGCCCCTTCATCACAATTGGGACAGAGGAGGGCCAGGCTTGTGGCCCAGGAGGGGATAGCAGGAAGGTCTGGCCTGGGCAAGGGGTTGGTAACTGAGGGTAAAAAGACCTGGGGTAGGAATTCCCCCAAAAAGCTTCCCCTTGGAATGAATCCCCAAGTCCCATGGGAGGTGGAGGCGGGGAACCTCACCCGCATCCTTCATCAGGCAGCCGCCCCTCCAAGGAGGGCTGGCCTCCACTGCCTGGGGGAGCACACACGTACACTCCAACAACCAGGCTTTCGTGGTTTTCCTTATTTATCGCAGACAACCTTTTCTCCAGCAAACAAAGACCTTTGTCCTGCCTCTCCCAGACCAGAGACCACTGGGAAGCTGGAAGGGGTAAGTGGCGCACTGGAAGCAGGGGGCCGGTCAGTGGCTGAGAAGCCAGGTCCTAGGCCAAGGAAAGGGCTCCTGGGGTGGGGAAGGAGGAGGCAGAACAGGCTGGGCATCACCACTGCTGGCCACTACCCAGCCACGCCAGATTTAGGTCAGGGAAACTCGCGGGAAGGAAGACCCCAGGGCCTTCCCTCCCCAGAGGTGGAGAGCACAGGCCACAGTCAGTGGTGGGGAGAGCCAGGGTGTCCCCAGAGAAATGGGAGGATCCAAACCACAACGGAACAAAAGGCAGGCGGACTCGGGGTTGGGCAGGGGGGCGGGGCGCCTGGGAGCTACAGCCAGCCCTCTGCTGGCCTGGGAGGGAAGTTCACAGCACCCGAACATAGTCAAATGGGGTTTTCTCCACCCCCAAAGGAATGCAAACCAGGGAAGGGAGGAGAGATCCCATTAGGCTGAGCCCTCTGTGCCTCCAGCTCACACAGGAAGGGTCACAGTTCCCACAAATGGGACATGTCTATATAGGAAATGACACTAAATGTCCACTCTCCCCTGGGAGCTAGGGGAAACAAGGGACACTTCCCCCAACACCTAGGATCCCTGAACACTGTCTTCCTGCTCTGTGCGCACGACTCCTTCTCCAAATAAAATTTTACTGGAAAGAGCAGAAGAAAAAGGCAACAAGTCCTACTTCTAGCAGAGACCTGAACAGCGGAGAGTCCTCACGAAACTGAGGGTGAACCTCGTGGTGCCCAGCTCTTTCTTTCTTGATCCTTATATTCCTGTGCCCCTTCCCCTTCCTCCCCACAGTTCTGAAGAAAAAGGAATTAGGCCATCCACCCATCCCCTGAGAGGACAGGGAACCCCATCCAACAGCCAGGGGGACTCACCTTCGTGATGATTCTGCCCTCCTCCTTCTGCCATGGGTGCAGCCTGGGACCACTGAGGACAGAAAGAGAGCAAGGCATGGGCATGGGCAGGGGCTGGGGTGCACAGGCCCAGCCACCCAGCCCCTCCTCCCTCCTCACTTCCCTCCCACCAACAGCCTCTGGCTTCTCCAAGTCTTCTGAGTCGAACAGGACACAACCGGGGGTCCCCACGGGCACAGAATATGCCCACCACTCCTGGACTGCTATGGTTATGAACCCGAGGAAGTTAAAGACTAACCAGATGTTGGGGGCTGGGGAGCTCGAAATGCAGGAGGAAAACCCCAGAATGCTTCACTGTCGAGGTCCCCTGTACCTTCCCCACACTTCCCTCTCCCTGCTCTCACTATCCCCCTAGTTCCCTGGTCCAAAGCCATGGTAAGTATTAAGGTCAAATAGGAGGACAAATTTGGACTGGGGCAGGAAGGAAGGACTAGGGGCGAGAAAAACAACATGGTGACCTTCTCCTGCTGACATGACAAATACCAGGGTGAGCTGGTGTTGGAGACGGAGGGGGGTGCCGAGGACCGAAGGGCACCAACCACCCTCCCCCATCCAAGCTCTTCTAGTCCTTAGGAATAACCCAGCATGCCCACAGGTTGCTTAGAGGGTAAAAACCCAGGAGGAGACCCTGGGGGAGAACCACATTTTCCTCTCTACACAAATCTCTCCAGAGCCTCAATAGATTTCCAAAGCCTCACCTGTCTCCCACTCCTACCTGTTCCCTGGTTTCTTCTCCCTCCCAGGGTGAGGAGGTGCCAAGCCCCTCTCACCTGGGCACCTTCAAATGCCACCAGGGACCAGGGAAGGCTTTTATGCCTTGGCACTGCCCAGCCCCTAGGGGGCCCCCTGCACCACCTTAGGCCTGAGGCCTCCTCTAACCCTCCCCACCCGCATCAGATCATTCCTCCCCTCGCCAGAAGCTGTGAAGGTCAACACGCCAAGACATGCGGACCTGACAGCACCCAAAAGGAAAGGCTTCTGCCAGCCCTTCCTGGGGGTCTCCAGCTCTCACCAACTCCCCTCCCGCCCAGCACTCGCAGAGCAGAGGGGCACTCTAGCCTACGGAACACCAGACCCTGCTAGGGGAGAGTCCCACTGTCCATCTTTCTTTCCCTCTCCTTCCCACACACCCCAAATGCACCCCACTCAGGTACCCCAGCCCTGCTCCCAGAGACAGCCAAGGTCACAGGAAGCCCCTCTCAAGAGAAAACAACAGTTACCAGGCTTCCAGCTGGACAGCTTACCACTGCGGCTCCTGCAGGGACCCCCTGGATTCTGCACCTCAGCCCCCTCACCCATTCCCATGACACCCCCTGCCTTCCCCCTGACAATATTCTCCCGGGACCCTCCACTCCTCCTGGGCCCCAAGGAGGAAAGGGGACGGAAATTTCATACCCCTTCCAAGGCCAGGGAGCACAGGAGGGGCGGTTCTAGGCAGGCAGGGGCCAGGTGTCCTTCTCTGGGGGCCTCTGAAGGTCACACTGTGGCCAGGCAGCCACTCCTCCCCCTCCTCCCTACTTGGAGGCCTGTAGCCAAGGCCTTTGTGCCAGGGTCTGAGGAACTTGCGGTGTTAGCAGCGACCCCTGTCCATGGCTTTCCTCTTGCCTCCTCTCCAAGGGAATTCTGGCTGAGGGAAGGCGTCAGAGAGGAGCGGAAAGGGACCCTTTAGAGTCCCTTTCAGAAGCAAGTTGGGTGGGCAGGTTTGGAGTTCCAAAAAAACACCTGCTCCAGGGCTGCCTTTCACCAGGACAAAGTGTGTGCAAGGCTGGCAGGAGCTCCTTTCCAGGGTTCAGGAAGGACTATTCCCATGCTGCCCGTGTCACAGCAAATTTCAAGCCATTTCTCCAAAAGGGTAAAGTGGGGCAATGACTCTTCAAATCCTCCCTTGACCCACCCCCACGAGAGCTAAAGCACAGCTCACTCGGAACTGTTGGCGAGGGAAGGGAAGCACACTGTCACCAAGTCGGGACTTTCGGTGGAATGTGACAAAGCGCCCAGTGGGCTCCCGCGCCACGACTTCTGACAGTGATCATCCTTTCCCTGGACTCTGGGGCCAGAAAGGGGTTAGATGGATCTTCTCCGCAGAGAGAAATGAAAATAAGCGGGGTGACAGGGGCTTCTCTCCAGGCTAAAAAGGAAATGGGTGAAGAGAAGGGGCGTCAGGAAATTCCTCCTAGCACTGGGCAGAGGTAGGGTCTGGAGACAGTAGGAAGGGGTAGGGATGGTTCTCTGGATCCCCGGGCTGGGGCTACCTCGAGAGGTCACCTTCCCGCGGAGGGCTGGCGGGGGGAGGGGTGCCGCTCGCCACTCTGGGCTCCCCATTCGGGCAGCCGAGGCTCCGGGAACACGCGGCCGGCCAGGCCCGGGCTGATGTAATCGGCTCCGCGCCGCGCGCACCCGGCCGGGCGGGGGAGGGCGGGCACCGAGCGGGACGCGAGCGGGGACGGGCGGGGTTGGCGCGGCGCAGGTGGCCCAGCAGGGAGGGGGGGTCCCCGCAGCAATCCACCCCAAAACTTTTCCCAAACTCGCGGCGAGGGCTGAAGAGACCGAGTGGCAGTGACAGCAAGCCCCCTCTCCCTCCTGCGCCCTGCCCCCTCCACGCTCTCTGCCCTCCCGCGGTCCAAGGTCCGAGCACCCCCTGCCCACTGGTCTCTGGCTCCCGCCCCCGCTGCTCAGACTTCCAGTTCGTCCGGGACCAGCGGCCGGGAGCAAACTTCAGCCGGCAGCGGCAACGCAAGCCCAGCCCCCTCGGCCTCCTCCTCCGGCTCCCGCCCTCGGCTGGTCGGCCCAGATCGTACGTGCGGTGACTCCGGTGGGTGGGCAGGGCCCGCGTGGGCGGTGAGCCTCTCTCCGGGTACCCTCCCACCTAGCGCGCGCGCCCCCTCCCCCTGCACCTAAGACGACAGAGGGGGACGCCGCACGCCTGGTGCCCATGGACCCGCGTGGGGCACGGAGCCCCCACGCGCGCGCTCGCACGCACGTCCCCAGCCGGGAGAGGCGCTCGCAGCGGCCCGCGGCGCCAGCAGGGCACGACCGCTTACCTTGGCATGGTGGAGGTAGAGCAGCAAGGCAAGGCTCCAATGCACCCAAGACAGCAGAAAGTTCATGGTTTCGGAGGCCCGACCGGGGCCGGCGCGGCTCGCGCTCCCTCTCCGGCTCGGGCTGTGGGGCGGCCCGCTCTCCTCGGCGCCTCGGCGAGCTACTCTTCCTCCCCGGCCCGAGGCCCGGGCCAGGGCCTGGGGAGCGCGCGCGGCTGGAGCACTGTCTGCGCACACCGCCGCCTCACCCGTCCATGAGCCCGGCTTCCGAGCGCCGAGTCGCCACTGCGGCCCCCTCTCCTCTTCCTTCTCTTCTTCCTCCTCCCCCTCCTCCGGCTGCGGCTCCTCCCGGCCCGAGCTAGCACTTCTCGCGGCTCCGCTCGGCTCGGCTTCCCCCGCGCGGACCACGGCTCCTCCGAAGCGAGAACAGCCCAGAAGTTGGACGAAAAGTTTCAGTGCGACGCCGCGAGCCCCGACCCCCTCCACCCCGCCTCCGGGCGCGGGCTCCGGCCCCTGCCCGCGGCTCGCCGCCGCGTCCACTGTCCGCCGCCGGCCGGGGAGGAGGTGGTAGCTGGGGCTGGGGGCGGTGTCTGTCTGTCTGTCCGTCAGCGCGACTGGTCAGCTGCGGGATCCCAAGGGGGAGGGCTCACGCCGCGCTCCGGCGGTCACCCCCAAAAGCAGGTCACTCACTTTGCCCCTGTCGCTTTCGCTGCTCGCACGCCCGCGCGCTCTCTCTGACCCCGTCTCTCTCTTCCTCGACTTCTCTCTGGAGCTCTTGCTACCTCTTTCCTCTTTCTGCTGGTTTCCAAAATCCACAGTGATTTGGGGAAGTAGAGCAATCTCCCCAAGCCGTCGGCCCGATTCAAGTGGGGAATGGCAAGCAAAAATAAATTAAAACGAGAAACAATACAGTTTTAAAAAAAAATGTTTAAGAAAAAAGAAGAGGGATAAAACCCGGATCAATGAATATCAAATTCCAGCACCGAGCGCCCTGGCCGGTGAGTCCGCTGACCGGTCCACCTAACCGCTGCGCCTCCCGACAGAGCGCTGGTGCTAGCCCCCAGCGCCACGACCTCCGAGCTACCCGGCTGCCCCAAGCCTCCGCGATCCTCCCCGCTACCAGCCGACTTTTAAAAAAAAAAGGGGGGGGCGCATGGCTCCGCCCCGCCGGGACCCCGCCCCCGGCCCGCCCCGGGGGGCGGGGACAGGCGAGCCTCAGCCCTTCCACACGCGGCTCGGGCCCGGGCTCTGCGGACGCTCAGTGAAGCCTGGCCCGCAGCCCGCCGCAATGAAGGGGAAGCTCGACCCCCACCAAGGTTCACAGCCTGAAAATTACCCATCCGCCCCCGGAAACTCTGTCCAGAGACACGCGCCCGCGGGGCATTGGCGAGGAGGGAGCAGGAAAGTGAGGTTACGTGCGGACAGGGCCTGAGAGCCGTTCCCTCTTTGCTAGGAATATTGAAGGGGGCAGGGGAAGGCGGAGAGCCGGACAGGGACGGGTGGGGAGAGGGACACACAGATCTATTGGAATCCTGGAGTGACCCCTGGCCTTCTCCCCGCTCCAACGCCCTCAACCCCACACGCACACACTCACTCACCCACACAGACACACACGTCCTCACTCTCGAAGACGCTGCTCGCTCCATTCACCCAGCTTCCCTGTGGTGGCCGAGCGCCCCCTAGTGACTGCCGTCTGCACACCCCGGCTCTGGCTAAAGAGGGAATGGGCTTTGGAAAGGGGGTGGGGGGAGTTTGCTCCTGGACCCCCTATTTCTGACCTCCCAAACAGCTACATATTTGGGACTGGAGTTGCTTCATGTACAGAGAGCCCAGGGCTGGGCACAGGGGCCACAGTGTGTCCCTCTGACAATGTGCCATCTGGAGCCCTCATCTGGCCTGCAGACATCAAAGTGAGCGGCAGCCAACAGGCTGGAGTGACTGGGGTCCTTTGGGAAGTGTCCAGGGATGCTTCCCAGGGGAGAAGAATTTGGCACCAAGTTTGTGGAGCTGAGAACGGGAAGCTGTGTGGTTCCGGGGTTAGTCAGTGACTGGGAGGGAAGAGGACCTGTTGGAGCCCACGTATGCACTGTGGAGTCTGGCAAAACCCAAAGGGGGAGGCAGCTGGGCAGACAGAGGCCCTTGTTCCTGCTGCCCCCCCAACCCCAGATGTTGCCAGGGAACTGAGGCCAGGGGGCTGGTGGGGGCGGGTGGAGGCCAGGGCCTGCGTGATGATTCAAACCTACCCGCCAGCACTAAGGAACGTCTGTAGGCCAGCTGCCCAGAGCTCCCACCAGGCCAGGGGCCAAGGCTTCTATCAGCCCAAGCCCAGACTCATAGCTCATCTTCTGAATAGAAATGGGGGTTTCGTCTCAGCTCCCCCATTCCCTCAGGATCCCTTGGCTACTTCTCCAGGCTCACAGCTTCTCCCCTATCCTTCCCCCAGTCCCCTCCCTTACCTCCAAGCCCCCTTTTCCTCCAACTCTCCACATCTTCCCTAAGTGCTCCCAAAGGCCCCATCCCATTCTTGCATATAGGAAGCAGCTTGGAAAAATTCCTAGCTGGTTTCTGACCTGGCTATTTCCAGGCTGCCCCAGGGAACAAAGTTGGGGCTCTGAGGCCTGTGGGAAGAGTGGGACCAGTCAGTCTGATTATCCACCCAGATCTTGCCAGGGTCTGGCCTACAGCTGGCATAGCCTCTGTGGAGGCATGGACTGAGAATGGGAATGCAGCAATTTCCCTCAATTTAACCAAAACGCTCCAGGGAGCTTACCTAGTCAGCCCCATCCTCAGCACATGTTGCTGTGGTTTGGTGGAGGTGCTAGGTTACCTCCCCAGTACCCCCAGTTCCATCGGTATGGTGTCCTAAGGCCCTTATGAGGAAAAGGGCTGGCTCCCACCCACCCCAACCCTCCCTTTCCATCATTCGTGCACTAGTCCTGTCTCCACCACTTGGCAGGCTCCCCAGCAGCAGGGACAAGGTCTTTGTACAGTTAGTAAATGTTTATTTCCTGGCTCAGGGCCCCCTCCCAGGCAGGCCTCCTCACCTGGGCTCCATGCTCTAGGCTGATGAACGGGATATGGAAGGGAAGCCACTAACTTTCCTCCTTGTGCGCCTCTAGCACCCCAGGAGCACAAGCTGTAGACATCTTGGGGCAGGATGGAGGCTCTGAGCCCTAAGGGCTCATTCTGGCCCCCTCCCTTGCATCCCTTCTCAACTCGGCCTTCTTCAGCCCCTAAAAGAGCCAACAGACCTGAAAGAGCAGGTCTTAGTAAAAAACAAATAAACAAATCTGAAGCTAAGAGGAGGCTGGAGGGGTTCCAAGGAGGGATAGCCATCACCAGTCACTCCGTGGCCCCAGGCACCCCCCACCCCCATAAGCCAACTGTCCTCCATGGTGGTACCCAGCAAGGTGTGTTACAACAACCTGTTTGTGTTTCCCTCTGGGGCTTTGCCCAGGGATCCAGGGGAGTGAGGGCACAGAATTCCTTTTATATAAGGCTAGGATTACAACCTGGCCTAGGGGTTTTTGAGCTACCTTCATTAGGGCGAGAAAGTATGGCCCACCTCCCCCCTTCATTGTGGAGATATAACCTGGCTGTGACCTGGAGGGGTTAACTCTGGATCCCATGCCCCAGTGTGTTGTCACCGGCATTTACAACAATGTACTCTTAAGGACTCAGCCAGTGCCCACATTGTCACCAAATTAAAAGCTCAAGTCACCTAGTCACCTGAGCTTTCAAAAAAGGGGAAAAAGCACAAAACAACAATCACAAGACCACATGTATCTCTGTGGCATCTTCCCTTCCATGGGCTTAGCCCCCTGAACAACTTGACTTCACTTATCCTCACCTCCCTCCCCAGGCTGCTTGCTGCAGGGGAAGGGGCGTCAGAGCAGACTGTCTCCCCAAAGAATCCTCCGAAGGCCCAGAGAGGGCACAAAGGGGCCCAGGGTCACCTAGCAGATTGGGGGAAGGGGCAGTGAAGCAGAGAGCAGCCCACACAGAGGTCATGCTGGCTCCCAGTTGAGGGGCAAACTCGGCCCCGCTTGGAGGGCCTCACCTTGGGAGCGCAGTGGCCACTCCCCACAGTCTGTGGCTCTGAAGGCAGTTCAGAAGGAGCCAAGGAGGAAGGGGAAGGTGTTCCAGGTGAGGGGGAAGGGGAGAAAGGGGTGGGGGTGGAGAAAAGTGCGAAAGGCAGCCAGGAGCCAGCGGCGGCCCCAGACAAAGAAAGTAGTGATTGGGCCAAGGCACAATAGTTGTACTTTGTCCTGATGTCCTGTCACCTCCAATATTCAGGGAAACTCTCGCCTGTGTGGGTGTGGGTGGTTAATCTAGAAGCCGGTGGATGAAGGGACAAAATCTCTCCTGAGATTGGAAAGAAGGTGAGGAGAGAGTCACTGGGTCTTGCTGTTTTCCACACATTTCTCCAAGTGGCTTCACTGCAATGGAAGGAGGTCTTGTCCTTCACTCCATCCCCTGACCCCCAGGTGACTAGCAGGACACTGATCTGCAGGAAGGGCAGGATACAAACCTGGTGAATTGAAGGAGAGAGAATTGGGTTGGTTCCCCTCAATTCCCTGACCCTGACTGTGGGTCAATCTCTGTCTCTCTCTCTCTCTCTCTCTCCCCGCCTAGGTCTTTGCAACAAAGCATTAAAAAGACAAAGAGAAAGCAAAGGAAAGGGCCTCTTTGGTCCAGTGCCAATGTCCTAGCCCCATGTGGATCTGGAGGTTTGACTTGAGGTAATGATAAGTAATGATGGCCAACTGATAAAAAGATTGGAGCAGAGGAAGCCAAGGAGGGTAACTCTCCCAAGAGGATCCAGTCAGGAAAGGGGGAAGGAATGGGGAAGAGGACCTAGCTGGAGAGAGGGCAGGGCAGAGTCACTGTCTGGGGAAGCTCACCTACCCACACCACCCCTAGGCCCATCAGCCTCTGCCTCTCCTTCATGGGCCCCAGTCTAATCCCCTGACACTAAGCTGTCCCTGATGAATTGCATCTCCCCAACACCCCCAGGCATGCTCACCTTCTGACACTCCAATCTCTGCTATTCCTCCAAGTCTGACCCCAAAACATGCCCATTTCTGCCCCTGTTCACATCCTCCACCCCTACCCTGTCTTGGAGGGAGTCCTTCTGCTGGGAAGAAGGTATGGCATGTGGTGGCAACTAAGGTCCCAAAGCTGTATCTGCCCTTTTGACCTGGGCCTTGCCTGAGAGCTGAGCTAAGCTCCAATTTGTGAATATTTGTAGGGACTACCAGGCACCAGGCTCCATGCTGATTTTATAGGAGGTACAGGGACATCTAGGTAGGGCAGTGGAAAGTACAGGGACTTTGGATTCAAATGGACCCAAGTCACATTCCTGGCTCTGCCACTCACTGTGTGGCCTTAGGTTATTCAACCTCTCTGAGCCACAGCTCCCCTCATCAAAAATAGGAGTAAAAATCCCTGCCTTAGAGAGTTGCTGCACACAGACAAATGTGCACACAGCTGCCCCAGAAAGCAAGATGAGAAAGAGGCCCTGGGGGAGGCACAAGTGTTGTGAAGGTATGGAAGCAAAGAGCCAGACTGGCTAGAATGGGCATCTGGAAGGGCTTCCTGCAGGAGGTGGCTTGGGACATGTATTCCACAAGCAATTATTAAACTCAGCTTGTGATCTCTGCTTTGTGTTGCACCCTGGGACTACAACAGTGTCAGTGGGGGCTTCCTGTCTGGAGGTAAACCAAAGAGTAAACCAAAAATGGGAATTCTCTGAGGAGCATTTAATTGCTGGGAGTAGGGGAAGGCTTCCTGGAGATGATACTTGAGTTGGGTCTTTTTTTTTTTTTTTTTTTTTTGAGATAGGGTCTCACTCTGTCGCCCAGACTGGAGTGCAGTGGCGCCATGTCGGCTCACTGCAACCCCTGCCTCCCAGGTTCGAGCAATTCTCCTGCCTCAGCCTCCGGAGTAGCTGGGACTGCAGGTGCCTGCCACCACACCTGGCTAATTTTTGTGTTTTTAGTAGAGATGGTGTTTCACCATGTTGCCCAGGCTGGTCTCGAACTCCTGACCTCAAGTGATCGGCCCACCTCTGCCTCCCAGAGTGCTGGGATTACAGGCGTGAGCCACCGTGCCTGGCCTTGAGTTGGGTCTTGATGGAAGAGCAGGAGTTTAGCAAACCAAGTGGACTGCGCAAAGAGAACAAGCAAGGGAAGATACCCTGGAAGGTTCTGATGGCTCACACTGAGCCCTCCCAGTACTCCTCTGAGTGATAGAGACTTTGAGGCTAGGCAGGGCAAGGGATTAGGGCGTCTTCAGAAACATTCCCAGCCAAAGCCCACAGAGACAATGCTGCTCCCTCAGGGGGTGAGCTCCACACTGCCTTCCCCGCCCCCCGGGACAGTTTGTCTCTGTCAGAGAATTTAAACAAGCCAACACTAGTGGTAGGTCCAGCTCACACATGGAACACCACTGTTGCTTGCCCCAGGAGTGAGGGGAGGAGAGCAGAGGACACCAGCCTGTGACGAGCACAGGGCCACTCAGCTGGGCCAAGGCATAAAGCAGAAAGATACATTTCCTCCAGCTTTAATCCCTCACTTCATTACCTGGTACCCAGAGCCCTCCTGTCTACCTGTCACAGGCATGTGGCGACTTCGAAACAGCACTGGGCAAAAAAGTCCTGAGTCTGGCTGGGTGTGGTGGCTCACGTCTGTAATCTCAGCACTTTGGGAGGCCGAGATGGGCAGATCACCTGAGGTCAGGAGTTCAAGATCAGCCTGGCCAACATGGTGAAACCCTGTCTCTACTAAAAATACAAAAGTTAGCCAGGCGTGGTTGTGCATGCCTATAGTACCAACTACTTGGGAGGCTGAGGCAGGAGAATCACTTAAACCCAGGAGGCAAGTAAGCCAAGATGGCACCACTGCACTCCAGCCTGGGCGACAAAGCGAGACTCCGTCTAAAAAAAAAAAAAAATTTCCAGAGTCTGTTGCATGCTGTGTGACCTTGGCCGAGTCAGCTCCCCTTGCTGGACCTCAGGCTTCTCCTGGGTAAAGCATGAGGTTCCACTCCCTAAGCTCTGAGGCTCTGTGAGCCTGTAACATCTCCCTCAAACACTCCAGATGAGATGACTGATACCAAATGTCACATCTTCCAGGGCCTGTGTGTTTTAAAAGCCTCTTGGAGAGGGCAGTGCTTAACTCAAAGAAATCTAGCACTAGTGGTGAAATCTGGGGCTCAGCACCAAGTGATGGAAGGGAGAAGCAGTTCTTATGAACCCCTCAAATCCCAGCAGGTAGGGAACCGCTTCCTCTGTTACCTGAGATGCCAGACCTCTGTCCTTTCAGGAAAGACACCAGCTTGATGAACCCTCACTGTGAAAAGCCTCAGCCACCCACCCACTCCCCTTTCTCCACCCCACCACCCCCATAGCGAGTAATGGAAAAAGCCAGACAGGCTGGGTTTGATCTTGGTTCAACACTTCCAAGCTTTGAGACTTGGACAATTCACTTATCTTGTCTGAGCCTCAGTTTCCTCATCTGTAAAATGAGGTTCATGGTTCTTACCTCCCAGGGTTGTAGGGAAATATATGGAAACAGCAAACATCAGCTAAGCTCCTTGCCCAGAGTAGGTATCATATAAATGTTTTTCCCTTCCCTGTCTCCTGTTCCCACCCCCATTCGTGAGCAAACTCTTAGAGAATGCAAACCCACTATCATCTGGCTAAAGTAAAACAGAAACAAATAGGGAAATGGGTTTACCCCACCCCTGGTTAAAAAAAAAGAAAAGCAAGAAATTACATAATGCGTGCCAAAGATGACTAGGGGTTGGGGGATCTGTTGGCTTGGATCCTGCTTTAGTCTTTATTTGAAGCAACTATGTAACTAGGTTGTCACTGAGTTGACTGCAATGTGAGTTCCTTCGGGGAAGTCCCAGGAAAAAAAAGAGGCAGGGACCCAAGGCGCCCCCTACCTCCCAGCAAGAAGGGCCCCTTCCCCCAGCAGCCCCCTGGGCCTGGGCTGGAAGCTGGGGCGATGACCTGGGCCCCCCAGGATGGTTCACAAAGATAAAGCCAGTTAATGATTGGCCCCCTGATTGGCCCCCTGAGAGCTGAGCTAAGCTCCAATTTGTGAATATTTGTAGGGACTACCAGGCACCAGGCTCTATGCTGATTTTACAGGAGGTACAGGGACATCTAGGTAGGGCAGTGGAAAGTACAGGGACTTTGGATTCAAAGTCCCACCATACTCCCTGCTTTCCCAGACCCAGAAGTACAGGGCATGAGGAGTGGGGAGGCCTCCCCTCAGCTTCCAGGATCAGCCTGGCCCAATAGCCTCGAGATATTCAGGGAAGCAGGCAATTAGTCAGAGGATATCCATGTCAGGAGAACATCAGACTGTGCTCCTAGGAGTCTTGAGGGTCCTCAGAGATGGGACAGGTAGCAGGAAGGTGTGGGAGTGGGCAAACACAGTACATGCAGTTTTATCTGCTTCATTTATTGGCCCCTCACTTGGAATTTCATTTGAGGAAAAGTTTCCACTGCTAAAGAAGCTTACTGGCCAGAGGAGCAGAAGGAAGCCCAGAGTTGTCCAAAGCCGGAGCGCTGCATAGAGTCAAGACCTCAACCCAGATCACTCAACTCACAGCCTGGGGCTCTTTCTACCTCCCCAGGCCACTTCATCATTTAATCGGGGCCCAGCACTGAGCCAGGCACCTTTGGGATACACTGGGCTTCTGCCTCTAAGAGCTGACTGGCTGGGTGGGGAGCCAGGCAGTGCCAGAGAGGAGGTGCTAGAACTAGATGCCGCGTGCATAGGAGTGTGTCAGCAGCTGACCCAGGGATCTGTTGTTTGCTCCTCCTTCCCTAGAGGGGCTCAGCACTCCCTTACTCCAGGCAGTGCCCTGCAGAGGCCACAGCTAAACCATTCCCTACTGGGGTCTCCTGGAGAGATGGTCCCGCCTACATCTCCCTGCATGCCAGCCTGCTTATCCAGACCCATCTCCTTCCAGAACACAGCTGGAAGCATCAGGAGAAGTGAGGCAGGGCATGCTCAGAGCTGCTGTGCCTGCTGCCAGCTTCTCCAAGTTCCAGGACCTGGTCGCAGTCAGCTCCAGCTGTGGGGCACAAGGCCCCTGCGGAGCTCAGGATGATGGCCAAAACATTTAACACCTGCTATGGCTCAGGCACAGTTCACATAGAGCTGACGGCGTATGCCAAGCCAGACATAAACCTCAATTTCTGGATGGTGGAGAGGTCCAGGGGACCAAGTAAGGGACTGGGGTGGCCAGAGAGGCACAGGGGGAACTCAAGGACTGGAACAACAGCTATTTACCAATCAATCAGGAGGCGTGCTGGGGTACACCAGGTGAATGTCTGCCCTGCCCCAGTCCGCTCTTGACTCTAGGCTGGAATGTGCAGCTCCCTGCTGAGAATGAGGCCTGTCTGGGTCCCTGGTCTGCACGCCTCCCTACCTCCTCCTCTCTTGGAAAGGCCAGGCCAGGACTCCCCACTAATCTTCATGCATAAGTGTAGCCCACACCCAACATAGCAGGTACCTCACCAGGCCTTCAATTCCAGAGGCCAGGCCTGAGGCGGTGGACTCATGGGACCTAGACACTGTTGAAAACATGGTAGACAAGGCAAGCCCCAGCTCTGGGGTGGAATTCCAACCCCAAGTGTCCAGATCATGGACAGTTATGGGTGAACAGAGCATTTCCTTTTCCCTTCCTTCTCTGTCTTTCCTCAGATGTCTCCATCCCTCCTTGCCTCCTTCTTTCTTGCTCCTTTCTGCCTAGCCCCATTGTCCCGGGGCCCTCCTGGGTCAGTCCCATTGACTAAGTGCTCCTCTGTGAGCTTAGCTACTCTGTCCTCAGCTTTCTGGAGCCCCCTGGGAAGGTGACTGCTCCCCACTTCCCATTCACTGTCGGGGAGCAAGCCTGGGCAGTGGGGAACAAGCTAGGAGGAAAGATGCTCTTCACATCCCCTCAGTTCCTTCTAGCCCTCCAAGAACTAGGAAGAACCTGCAAAAAGGGCATTTCTGTGGCTATGGGACATACTCCTGCCTGTCGGGATGCCAGGAGAGTTGGTACAGCAACTCCAGAGAGAGCAACAAATACAGTGCGGAGCACCAAGCCCCCTCCATAAGACCCTGGCATGACCAGAGGTCTTAAGGAGGACAGAGGGAGGCACGGTGAATCTGCCCTTCACCAACTCTGACCGTAGCCCTGCGGTGGCATCTCCTCCCCCACTGCATTTCCCTCCCGTCACTCATCCACCAACCCCCTGCCTCTCCATGCCTCCTCAGCTTTCCAGGCTGAAGGCTGCAGGGACTACTAAACCACACATACACACACACAAACAAACCCCGTCTACCACCACCACCCACGACAGGGCCCCATAGAGAAGAGAGAAGTGTTTCCAGAAACCCAGCTGTTCCAGGCAAGCTGACCTGGGTCACAGTGGCCTCCCCACCAAGGCTACAGAGAGACTAGGCATCGGCTGAGCACCCCCTCCCAACACCACCACAGGAGTTACCTTGAAAGCCCCTCTGACAAATAGTGTCCCTGAAGCCCTGTCATTAAGCACTCTGCTCCCCGAGCAGTTCCTCAGATTGCCATGTGTGGGTCCTGGAGGTTAGGACACCTGGGTTCAAACGCAGCCACTGTCACTGCCTTGTTGTGTGGCCTGGAGCAAGGCACCGCCCATCCCTGCCTCAGTGTCCTCCTTTCCAGACTGAAGGGGCTGGACTGATTGCTAAAACCCCGTTAGGGCTCCCCCTCTATTGCTGTAGGGAACGGGAAGGAAGCTGTAAAATGAGAGCTGTGGATACTCCCGCCTGTGTCCTGGCCGACTGCAAGAGACAGGGAAGGACCAGGGAGCACCATTCCAGGACCATCTTTTAGAGATACTATAAAGATTACTCAAGTACAGTTGGGCAGGGAAGCAGAGAAAAGTAAACTCTTCAGTCCATTGTCTGACCAACATCCTGAGTTTGCCCATTGCCACCAACCAGAACAGCTGAGATTACAGCAAGAAGAATTTAAATCAGATAAGCAGAGGTCTACCAAACTCATCTTCTCTAGAGGATTTGTGGAGTGATAGCAGCGGGATGTCTTTCTACAGACTTCTAGGCCCATTTCTGGCTTGGATGAAATGCTGGGGAGTGGGGGAAAGGAAGAGAAGACAAAGGAGGAGAAGGTGAGCCAAGATGTCAGCTCCCAGGCACCCGCTTTGGGAGAGGGGATAGGCAGGGTGCCCCTGCCTGCGATCCAGGAGCTGAAGTGGGGGAAGGAATGTGTCAGGGGTGTGGTGGGGCTGAGAGAGGCGGGAGAATGGAATGAAAAGGCTGTCAAGTGGTGATATGAGTGTTTGTGGGAAATACCGAGAAAGACCCTTTCCTGGTGGGAGGGGATGAAAGGGAGCCTCAGCCCTGGGCTCCCCCAGCCTGACTCCAGGGACTACGGAACCATGTTGGTGCAGGGCCTGAGGCCTCCACTATGACATTAGCTTGGGCAGGGGAGCCCAGAGCCACTGTTTGAGGTGAGATAACACACACCTAGCCCTGGCCCCAGGCACTGGGGAGGGTAACAGGACAGAGATCATGAGGAGTAAGGGTGCTTGCTTCCTTCCCCCAGACTCCTGGGCTGCCCAGACCACCCCTGCTCTTCCTCTGGGTGGAAGCCCCAGACCTCCCCAGGGGCAGCAGGTAAGGCTCTAGGGAGACATCTATCCTCGCTCTACTCGTGGCCTGGCCCTGGGGCAGGTGGAATAATTCTGTGACTCATTCCACAGTTACTCCTCCTTCTCTTCCAAACCCAGGAATCTGGGAGATAAGGAAAAGGATGAGCAAGAGAATGGGTCCCCTTTCCCCATACTTTAGTCAAAAATAATGGACCATTTGAGGCAAGGCCAGTTACTTCGATGGGGGCCAGGTGAGCAGGTGTGTTGTTATGCAAATGAGCTTATGCATATGTATTATGAGGAAGGGTGGGTCTGCCCTGCTTACTCCCCTCTGGAGGCCCACACCCCAGCACCGAGTCTCCCCGCCCAGAAAGGTTTGTTAAGTGATTCCACAGCCTCTGTCCACTCTGGCCTCTCCCCCAGGCTGTCTCCACACCACCATCCTCACCTTTTTCTATGTGTCCTTCCCTACCAGGAGTTGAAGATTTCTTCCACCGTCTCCCAGGTTCTGCCTACATCAACCCCGATCACAGCCACCTTGGGACACAGCTCCTCACACTTCCTCCCCTCCTGTCCTAAAGGTCCTCAGGGATGTCTGGCTCTCTAGAACGGGGCCACAGTCCCCCAGGGCTGGCAGGGGCAGCCTCCAGGCTCCTCGAAGCTGCCCAAGAGGGAGGTAGGAGTTGGAGAGGGGCTGTCCCACTGGCCTGGCTGGGTGCGGGTTAGGGAGCCCCTTCTCTGGCCCACAGGAGGGAAGACCCGCAACACCCAGACAGAGGTGGGCGGCCTTGAACCCCCTTCTGCCTGAGACGACAGAACAACCTTGCTGGGCACCTTCCATCAGTGGGCTTCAGATGTAGCTGTTGCCCAACCGTGGCCACACTCCAGACATTCTCTGGAAGCCCAGGGCCCCCTCCTCAGTCAGGACCCCTCCCAGGTACCTCACCTAGTGCCACCCCGAGCCTCTAGAGGGCGAGGGAGAGCAGTGCTGGACTTCCCAGCCTCTGGGGCATGCCCAGGAGGCTTTCTGCACAGGCCCCTGGTCCCTGAGGAGGGGGCACCACGCCGGAGGCTGTCTATCCAGACTCACCCTCTAGGAGCAGAGAAGTATGAGGTATGAGCCAGGGCTGGGACGGGGACTGCTTGGAGGATTCAGGGACAGAAAGGTAGGCTGGACTGTGGAGGACCCTGAAGAAGGGTAGGTTTGAGTGGTGGAAATATTATCTGAGTAATATTCAGATAATATGCTGAAATACACTGTTCATTTGAGTACAGAAAGGAGAGCAATGGCTTCAGCCTCAGGAATCTCTGCCTGACCTTGGAAGAGAAAGAGACTTCTTGGCTCACATTGCAAAGCACCACTACCCTCGCCCCATCCAGGGTCAGAACTAGGGAGAGGCAAGCGAGGCAGCTAGGCGAGGACCAAATGTAAGGAGTAAGGAGCTGCTCACTCTTATAAGGGTCGTGCAGGTGCAGCGCAGGCCCTAAGAGTGAGTACCTCCTTAAACACTGCACCAGGCCCCGCCCTCTTGGGAGCCTGCCTGGGGACTAAAGCTGCAGGGACATTTAAGACAGAGTTGGGGTGAGGAGTAGGGTCACTTTTTCACACTGGACCCCTCAAAGGAAAGAACTAGCACCTAACTCAACTAAAGGAGAGTGGGGCCACAGATGAGGTGAAACAGACAACTGTCTTGGCCGCGCCTGGGCTCTGTGTGTGTGTGCCTGTCTGTGACAGTGTCTGTGCGTGTAATTTGTTCATTCAGATTGTGGATCTCCCCACTTCTAGCTATCTGTCCCTGGGCAAGTCATGCAACCTCTCTAAACCTGAGTTTCCTTGAAAACCCATGCTAATAATACCTATACAGGGTTCTTGTGAGGATTGAATGAGATAATATATGGAAAGGGTGTAGCAAGAGCACCTGGCCTGTGCATAGCAGGAACCAAACAAATGGTAGTTTCTATTCCCATTATTATTCATAATATGATTGTGTGTGGCCCCTTCTTTCCCCTGCCCCCTTACACATCCATCCCACTCCAGCCAGCCAGGTCTTCTGACAGCCCCAAGCACAGGTTGCTCATTTCTTCATCCTGGTCTATACAGTGCCAGCCGTGAAGATTTGCCTCTTAAAACATGAAGCCTTCTTAGACCACTTCTGCTCAGCAGTCTCCCCTAAACTCCTACAGCATGAGCTGTCTATACCTCTTCATCCAGCCTCAAATGCTGTCTGATGTATTTAATTTTGTAAAGGGGTGTGTGTGTGTGTGTGTGTGTGTGTGTGTGTTATCTTTCTCCAAGTGCATTCACAGAGAGAGTGTATTTTTCAGTGATCTCTTACCCCATACAAGCCTAAGGACTAATACAGGCCTGCAGGTATAGACATCCACATGTAGACTTCTTTTCTTTTTTTTTGTTTTTGTTTTTATTTTTGTTTTTTGAGACAGGGTCTTGCCCTGTTTACCAGGCTGGAGCGCAGTGGCATGATCTCAGCTTACTGCAGCTTCGACCTCCTGGGCACCTCAGCTGCCTGGGTAGCTGGGACCACAGGCATGTGCCTCTATGCCTGGCGAATTTTTGTGATTTTGTTTGTTTGTTTTGCAGAGACAAGGTTTAGCCATTTTGCCCAGGTTGGTCTCCAACCCCGGGGCTCAAGCAATCTGCCTGTGTTGGCCTCCCAAAGTGCCGGGATTACAGGTGTGAGCCACCATGCCCAGTTTACTTGTAAACTCTTTATGAATGAAAATAATAATGGTGACCGGGCGCAGGGGTTCACGCCTGTAGTCCCAGCACTTTGGGAGGCCGAGGCAGGTGGATCACCTGAGGTCAGGAGTTTGCCAGCCTGGCCAACATGGTGAAACCCTGTCTCTAATTAAAAAATACAAAAATTAGCCAGGTGTAGTGGCAGGTGCCTGTAGTCCCAGCTACTCGAGAGGCTGAGGCAGAAGAATCACTTGAAGCTGGGAGACGGAGGTTGCAGTGAGCCAAAATCGTGCCACTGCACTCCAGCCTGGGCAACGGGGTGACAATTGGTCTCAAAAAAAAAAAAGAAAATAATAAAGGTAAATACTGTCTGGGATCATATCCCTACTGTGTGCCTTATGTTATCTCATTAATCCCAACAATAGCCCTGTGAAGTAGATTACAATTATAAAACAAAGGCCAGGAGAGTTTAGGTAACTTGCTCACAGTCATACAGCAAATAAGCAATAGCGCTGGGATTTAAACTCAACTCTCTCTGGCTCCAAAACCAGCACTCTTAACCACTATGGCTTGAATACAAGAATGAACAATCAACAAACCAAAATTTCCTTTCTGTACTCAAAGAAAGAAAGAACCAAAAAGCAAGCAGATATCAGAACTTCAGTCAAATGCTTTCAAGGTTTCAAATCAGAATCTGTTGGGGTTCAAGTTCAGAATGTTCTGCTGTTCATATTGAGACCAGAGCCCCCACCTGGTCATTACACCCAGATGGTCTCAGAGGCACCCAGAGGGTCCTGCCTTACTCAATAGGGTTTTAGACCATTTTTTCAACAAATGGGGTTGAAAAAATATTCATCCCAGAGTGAGTCAGAAAAATCACTTACTTTGTTCAATTCCCAGAATGTTCCTGTCGACCCTAGCTCTATTTTAACTTCTGTAGGAGAAACTTTTATTTGCTCTCCATTTGTTTATTAACAATTTGGCAACTTTTTGATAACTAAATGGACAACATTGGCCAGTCAGCCATATTACATGGAGTAACTACCAGAAAACCACTCACTGACTCATTTTCACACATACTCCCATCAATCCCCAACTGTTACAATAAAATGTTGTCAAGGGGAAATGTATCCCCTTCAGGCCTCCGTTCTCCTTTGCCATCTTCCTTTTGCTGCTGTGGCATTAAACTGCCTTGGAATCTCTACATTACATTCCCCTCTCTGTGACTCAGTGTCCTTACCTGGGAAATGAGGATCATAAGACCACCAACTCTACAGGGCCGTGGCAAGGATCCAACCAGGCAATGTGTAGAAAACACAGCGACTGGCATGGAGGGAGAGCAGAGGAAATATTTGGGGCTTTAGGTGCTGTCATTTCAAGCCTGGTAAAGATGCCCAGAGGCCTGACCCTCTCTAGCTGTGGGAAAACTGCTTCTCCCAGCACGCTTTCCTACCTGTCTCCTAGGATCCATGTCCCTGAAAATCAGCCCTCACTCACTACTCTCTCGTCCCTCCAGTCACACCCCAGCCCCTCAAGACTTAGAATCATCAAACTCCATGACTAAGAAGGCAGTGAGAGCTCATCTGGCTCAACTTTATTTTTTCTGAAAGGAAAGGCAAAACTCTGCAATGTAAATGGTTTGCCTCTAATCACATATCATTTGCTTCTAATTCACCTGCAAAATCCTATACATTCAAAAAGTGGACCCTACACACCTAGGCCAACAAAACCAAATTTGCTCATAGCATTTTTGGACTTTACTTCCCCTTATGAATTGATCTTAGACTTCATTATACACCAAACAAGGAAATCAATTTCTTAATTTGGTGCCACACCTTGTTTTGGACCAAAAAAAAAAAGGTGCTGCTATTACCTACTCAGTTTGCTCAGTCTCCTGGGTCACACACCTGGGCACTAAACAACTTTTGGTTATTTCCACTTACATTTAGTTCCCAAGGATTAAGTTTTTTGTTTGTTTGTTTTTTGTTTTTTTGTTTTTTTTTTAGAAGGAGTCTCACTCTTTTGCCCAGGCTGGAGTGCAATGGCGCAATCTCGGCTCACTGCAACCTCTGCCTCCCGGGTTCAAGCGATTCTCCTGTCTCAGCCTCCCAAGTAGCTGGGATTACAGGTGTCCACCACGTTGGCCAGGCTGGTTTCAAACTCCTGACCTCAAGTGATCTGCCTGCTTCGGCCTCCCAAAGTGCTAGGATTACAGGTGTGAGCCACCACACCTGGCCAGGATGAAGTCTTGACATCATTGTGGAATATTTTTAACATGATAAAGGCTACGAAAGCAGCTTATTTGTTTGTTTATCCATAAATTTAGTAAATATCTATTGATACTTCCTTATATACCAGGCCCTGTGCTAGGGGATGGAAATGGCACAGTAAACCAGACTGACTCAATTTCAGAGCATACCTGATCTGTTCTTTCAGTATGATTACATGGAATTGATAATAATAATAATAGCTGGGCACAATGGTGCACACCTGTAGCCCCAGCTACTCCGAAGGCTAAGGCAGGAGTCCAAGGCTGTAGTGCATGAAGACTGTGCCTATGTATAGCCCCTGCTCACCAGCCAGGGTGACATAATGAGACCCCCAGCTCTAAAAAATAAAAAATTTAAATTAAAAAAGCATCTAAAAATAAATTAAAAGACTTCCAGGAAAAATTGGCAGCCTGAACTCTTACATCTAATTTTCTTGTTCCTGAATCTCCACTTTAGCAAAGTTAGCAAAGACACTAACACTGGGGGCAAAATGAAACATCCCAGCCAGGTCACCCTAGTGTGAGGCTCACAGAACCACACCCACATACACAGACTCACATATGCACACACATCTACACACATACATACATATACTCACATACACAATCACATATACACACACCTACACACACATGCACACACACATACACACATACGCACACACACCTACACACCCACATACATACACTAGCATACACAGTCACATATACACACACACATGCACACACAGACACACACATACACACTCACATATGCACACACACCTACACACCCACATGCATGCACTCGTATACATACTCACATATACACACATACCTACACATACATAGTCACACACCTACACAGCTTCCAACTAGCTTTACAAATCTCCACACCTAAAAATAAGCAAACAACTGAGAATTATGAGACATTTGAGGAAAGCTTCTAACACAAAAGACAGAGGCCAAAACAAATAAAAAAGTGACTTGAAGGAAGCTGAGTCTACATAGCGTGAAGAAAGCTTAAAAATAACAACACATTATTATCATATCCTGTGAATGATAAGAAAAAATATTGCAGAGATGAAACAAAAACAGAACAGTGTTTTTTAAAAAAACAGAATAAGAGACAGGTCTTAAAAAATCAAATGTGATAGCAGAAATAAAAAATTTAGTGGAAATTTGGAAGATAAAGCTGAGGAAATGTCCACAAAGTAGAGAGAAAATAACAAAAGGATGGAAAGTTACAAGTAACTAAGCAATAAAACTACAGGACCACTCCAGCAGAGACAACAACATCTAAATAACAGGAGAAACAGAGAAACTAAGGGAAAGACATCCTTAGTGACATAATCTAAGAAAATTTCCCATAACTGAGGAATCCTTGAGAGCCCAGTGCAACAGATAATATTTTTAAGTATTATTTTTAAATTTCAAGTTCCAATGGTTCATTGCTCATATTTAGGAATATAATTGATTTTTGTATACCACTTTTGTGTCTCACTACCATACTAAATTCATTTATTAGTTCTAGTAGCTTCCTTGTAGATTCCATCAGACCTTCTATAGGGTTGATCATGTCATCTGCAAATAATGAAAATTTTACTTCTTCGTGTCCTATCTGAATGCCTTGTATTTTTCTTGCCTTATTACATTACAGTGGTTAGAGCCTCTGGTACAATGTTGAATAAAAGCAATAAGAGTGGACATCCTTGTTCTATTCTTTTTTTTTTTTTTTTAGGAAGGGAGCCAAAGGCCAAAAGCCTACAGCACCCAGTATTCCAAGGTGGTCTCCCATCCAAGCACTAACTAGGCCCACCCTGCTTAGCTTTACAAGATCAGATCAGATGAGATCAAGCACATTCAGGAGAAAATATTCTATCTTTTCACCATTATAGTTTTTTTTTTTTTTGGTAGAGGCTTATTATCAGGTTGTGGAAGTTCCTTTATATTCTTAGTTTGCTTAAGTTTTAAAAATCAGAAATGCATGTTGTGTTTTGTCAAATGTATTTTCTACATCTATTGAGATGATTGTATGGGTTTTTCTTTTTAATTTGTTAATATAATGAATTACATTGAATTGTTGAATGCTAAACTAACCTTGAATTCCTAGGATAAGCTCTACTTGGTCATGATGTTATTAGTGTACATGTATATACACTAGTACATATATATATACTAATACACATATAGATGATACAGCATACTACATACCTAGGCTATGTAGTATAGCCTATTACTTCTAAGCTACAAACCTGTATAGCATGTTACTCTACTAAATACTGTAAGCAATAGTAACACAATGGTAAGTATTCATGTATCTAAACATTGAAAAGTTGCAGTAAAAATACAGTATTATAATCTTATAGAATCATCATCATACATAAGGTCCATCATTGACCAAAAAATCATTATGCAGTGCATGAATATGTATATATAGTATGTGTATAGGTGATAGAGTTCAATTATATTTACATGAATTTGGTGTAGAAATTTTTCATCTATACTCATGAGAGATATTGGCCAGTAGTTTTCTGTTCTTGTAGTATCTTTGTTTGGTTTTAGCCTTATCTGATGAGTTGGGAGGTATTTCTGCCTCCTGAATATTCTAGAAAAGTTTGTATAGAATTATTATTATTTCTTCCTTAAATGTTTGGTAGTATACATCAGTAAAGCCATCTGGGCCTGGATTTTCTTTGTGGAGAGGCTTTCAACTGCAAATTCAGTCTTTAAAAAATTACATATAAGTCCATTCAAGTTATCTGTTTCTTCTAGATAACCTGAATGGAGTGGAGTGGCACAATCTCAGCTCACTGCAACCTCCACCTCCCAGGTTCAAGCGATTCTCATGCCTCAGCCTCTCAAGTAGCTGGCATTACAGGCGTGCGCCACCACACCTGGCTAATTTTTGTATTTCTGTATTTTTAGTAGAGATGGGGTTTCACTATGGTGGCCAGGCTGGTCTCCAACTCCTGACCTCAGGTGATCCGCCCACCTTGGCCTCCCAAAGTGCTGGGATTACAGGCATGAGCCATCACGCCCTGCCTCTGTTTCTTCTTGAGTAAGCTACCATAGTATGTGTCTTTGACAGAATTAGTTCATTTCATCTAAGTTATGGAATTTATTGGAGTAAAATTTTTCATAATATTACCTTCTTATCTTTTTACTATCTATACAGTCTGTAGTCAATCACAGCTTTCATTCCTGATACTGGTAATTTGTGTCTTCTCTTTTTTTCCCGATCAATCTGGCTAGAGGTTTATCAATATTATTGATTTTCTTGAAATAACAGCTTTTGGTTTTATTGATTGTCTCAATGTTCTTCTATTTTCAACTTCATTATTCTCTGATATTTTTCTTTTTTTAGACAGAGTCTCGCTCTATCACCCAGGCTAGAGCGCAGTGGTGCAATCTCGGCTCACCACAACCTCCACCTCCCAGGTTCAAGCAATTCTCATGCCTCAGCCTCCCGAGTAGGTGGGATTACAGGCACTTGCCACCACGCTGAGTTAATTTTTGTATTTTTTAGTAGAGTTAGGGTTTTGCCATGTTGGCCAGGCTGATCTCGAATTCCTGACCTCAAGTGATCCACCTGCCTCGGCCTCCCCAAGTGCTGGGATTACAGGCGTGAGCCGCCGCACCTAGCTACATTTTTCTCTGATCTTTATTATCTAATGTCTTCTCCTTACTTTGTGTTTAACTTGCTCTAGTCAAAGGTTTTTAAATTCATTAAAAATGTTAAACTATAAAACAAAAAGTACAGAAATAATTTTTCATCTGATTTGTGCTCTAAAATAAACTTTTCATTTCAAAATTTCTCAGTCTGAAAACACATCCAATCATTTATTCATCAAATATTTATCGAGCACCTACTATGTGCTAGGCACTATTCTAGGCACCAGAGATAGTGAATAAAACAAAGGTCATGCCCTCACTGACCTTATATTCTAATTGGAGATGCACAACAAACAGATAAATATATCATAAGTTCAAATTAATTATGTAGGCCAGGCGTGGTGGCTCATCCCTGTAATTCCAACATTTTGGGAGGCCGAGGCAGGTGGATCACTTGAGGCCAGGAATTCAAGACCAGCCTGGCCAACATGGTGAAACCCCGTCTCTACTAAAAGTACAAAAATTAGCCAGGCGTGGTGGTGCACGCCTATAGTCCCAGCTACTGGGGAGGCTGAGGCAAGAGGATTGCTTGAACCTGGGAGACGGAGATTGCAGTGAGCCAAGATCATGCTACTGCACTCCAGCCTGGGTGACAGAGCAAGACTCCATCTCAATAAAGAAATAACCACTCACATACACACACACACAAATGGACTATGTAATTTGTTGTTGTTGTTTGTTGATTGGTTTGAGACGGAGTCTCACTCTGTCACCCAGGCTGGAGTGCAGTGGCGTGATCTTGGCTTACTGTAACCTCTGCCTCCCGGGTTCAAGTGATTCTCCTGTCTCAGCCTCCAGAGGAGCTGGGACTACAGGCACACGCCACCACGCCTGGCTAATTTTTGTATTTTTAGTAGAGATGGTATTTCACCATGTTGGCCAGGCTGGTCTTGAACTCCTGACCTCAAGTGATCTGCCCTCCTGAGCCTCCCAAAGTGCTGGGATTACAGGCATGAGCCACCATGCCCGGCACTGACTATGTAATTTAATAAATAAATTTATTTTTTAAAAATAGTGTTGATAAATGCTATGCAGACAAATAAAGCAAGGTGAGGGGATAGAGACTGAGCAGGTTTTGGGGGAAGGGGCTGTTTCTATTTTAGATGAGGTCAACAAAGGGCTCATTCTGAGTAGAGATCTGAAGGAAATGAGGGGGAACGCCTGGAAATATCTAGGGAAAGGGCATTCCAGGCTGAGACAGAAGCAAGGGCAAATTCCCTGAAACCAGAACATGCTTGTCTTTTTGAGGAAAAGTAAGAATGTCTAAACGGCAAAGGAGAGAGGTAGCTAGGGGCCAAAACATGTAAAGCCTTATAGGCCACTGTAAAAACTTCATATTTAATTCTAAGTGTGGTAGGGAGAATTCTAAGATGACCCACCAAAATCCCCTGCTCCTTGGTTTGCCCCTATACATAATCCCAGGACTGTGAATATGATAGGTTTCACCCCCGCAGTTAGGTTGTTCCATGGCATAGGTGACTCTAAAAATGAGATTATCCATGGCCAGGCCTGGTGGCTCATGCCTGAATCACATGAGCTCAGGAGTTCAAGACCAGCCTGGGCAACATAGTGGGACCCCCTCTCTACAAAAATTTTGAAAATTAGCCAGGTGTGGTGGTGCACATCTGTGGTCCTAGCTGCTCAGGAGGATGAGGTAAGAGGATCACTTGAGCCCAGGAGTTCAAGGCTGCAGCAAGCCATGATCACACCACTGCACTCTATCCTGGGCAACAGAGTGAAACCTTGTCTCAACGACAACAAAAACAAAAAGAACTCAGTTCAGCTGACATTTTGATTTCAGCCTTGTGACACCCTGAGCGAGAAGCCCACTCACACTGTCCCTGACTTCTGACCTACAGAACTGTAGGCTAATCAATAGGTGTTATTTGGAGGTGCTAAGTTTGTGGTCATTTGTTGCACAGCAATAAAAAAGCTATTATGTTCTATATGATGGGAAGTCATAGATACACAGACCCTTTCTTATGAGTTTGACTTTAATATCACCCTAATTAGAGAGTAAGCTCCCTAAAGGCAGAAACCAACAGTCTACATGTCTCCTGCACTAGACTGCGCCAGGCACCTAGTGGACACACAAGAAATATCCCATAAATAAGTAAAAAATGTGTTGAACAAAGGCGAGCTCTTTGGAAAACTTGCCTGGCCTCTTGTACTGACCACTTTGAAGGACTGCTGATATTTGTAGAAGTTCTTTCAGAAAAATTGCATTCTGTGTATGCACAGCTTGCCTTCAGTCCTGCCTTGTTTGTGGTGGGGCATGGGGTAGGACGACCTCTCTTTAAATGCAGCATGTTGCACCAGAACTCACCTTCCATTCAAACATGGCTCCAACAGACTTCCCTTTCTGTTGCCACCATCTTTGGGGGACCCAAGTTCTGAACCTTGGGCTGATGCTCAATTCCTCCTTCTGTTACCCTCTCCATAGTCAGAGTCCTGGAGATTGATTTTCCAAAATGCCTTTCTATGAGTCCTAGCATCTGTGTTCCCACTGCCATCAGCCTATCTGAGGCCTCTCAGCTCTCACCTGCGTGATGGCAAAGGGCTCCCAGCAAGCTTCACCATCTCTTCTGCCCTGTGCTCAATCCACCTTGGTCACCACCACCTGGCTAATCTCCCTTAGATAACACTTGGTACATGTAAGCCCTTCCTCTAAAACTTTCATAGGCTCATCATTGCACACTCAAGTGAGCGGGGTGCCCCATAGTGAGCTGTGAGCATCTTGAGAGCAAGGGCCAGGTGTTTAATGTCTTTGAGGCATCATTGGTGTTCAACATCCATATGAGGCTGTTGATGGCAATGGTCATGACCATGAACATGAGAAGGATGTCTTTTCTTTTAGGTCAGAGAAGACAGCTGGTCTGTTAGTCTTCCAGGCTTTAAAGACTTAACCAGCAGTAGGGGAAAACTATGAAGTGTGTCCACTCTTCTCTTTAACCCTCTGCCCCCAACTCCTCCCCATCCCTGGGAATCTTGGCCAGCAAGCCTCCCACCCCTGTTACTCCATATCAATGTCAGCTGTCAGATCTTTTGTTCATGCCGAAGAGGTTTCCTTCCCAAGAGTGTTTGCAATTTCACAAGGAGATGACCGTAAAGGAGGCAAATATTAATGGTAGGGTTTCACGTATCAGCTGCTGGGTGGAGTGAGATGTTTGGACAGGGATATAAAGCTTTGCTCCTGCACCCAAAAACATGTCCCCGCCCATGCAGCAAGACTGATGTTAATAAAAGCATAGCATTGAACACATGTACCCTCCCCCGACAGGTGGGGACGGAACAAGTCCACGCGGTAGGCAGGATCTGGAGTAGGCTGCTGAAAAGCTCCAGCCAAATGATGAAGAAGAAATTCAAGAGAAGTTGAATGCCCTATAGATCTTAGAAAAAAAGAACAGTTTAGAAGCACAGGAAAAATTGCTATGCCTTTGGTCTTTTTTTTTTTTTTTTTTTTTTTTGAGACCGAGTCTCACCATGTTGCCCATGGTCTCAAACCATGGCCCATGGTTGCCCAGGCTGGTCTCAAACTCCTGGGCTCAAATGATTCTCCCACCTTGGCCTCTAAAAGTGCTGGGATTACAGACGTGAGCCACCACACCCAGCCAACCTTTGGTCATTTTTATGTCCCCATCCTCAATACCAACTCTGAAGAGAGTGGACCCCTTTCCACAGGACGGGCCCACCCCCAGGCGTGGACCATAGGGAGGAAGAAGCAGCTTCCAGACTCAGGAGCCCCTCCATCTTCCTTTTGTTCTGTTCTCCCTGCTAAAGTGTTGGAAGGGGAACTTTTGCACCCCTTTCCTCCCCTGAACAGTGGCTCACAGCTTCCTGGGCCCAGGGAGGGGAAGCCTGTGATGGGGGTGAGGGGGGACATGGAAAAGGAGGAAGGGAGGAAGCTGTGCACAGCTTGGCGGGGGGCTGGCCCTCTGGCATCCTGGGGGAGTCGTCCTCCTTAATTGCTTGAGTTCTACAGCTGTCATTGCTAACGAGAAATTAAAAAGCACCCTGACCCCTGCCCCAACTCCTGCCCTCATGGCTCACAAGTGCTCCCTCAGCACGTTGCTCTCAGAAGAGCACGGGCAGCGGAGCCGTGGAGACGTGGGGAAGCCTGGAGCTGACCGCTCCCAGCCCCCCAAGGGAGGGGGCAGGATGCCAAATTAGGGGAATGGGAGTCAGTCCCAGGCCAGCTTCTCCACTCCTCCTGCTACCGTCAAGCTCCACGTTCCTGGACGCCCCTGATTTTACACATCCTGCCTCATAATCCCCGCAGCTCTTCTGGGACTTGTCAGACCTCAGGCCCAGATTTTGGGGGTTGGGAAACAGGGTTCCTGGAACTGCAGATTGAAGATTTACACTGAGCTGCCCTGGGCCCAGCGAGCAGTGATGTAAAATGCAGAGAAATGAAGAGGGGATGGGGAAAAACACACAGCAAGAAGGATCTTCGTGTAGGGAGGAACTTCCCGGCTGTCTCACACCACATCCAGAGACGACATCTCCTCTCTAAGGATAAGGATTCTCTGCCTCACATGGTCCACCGGAACCTGTGTGGTCTGGCTCTTGCCTGCCTCTTCAGCCTCCTCTCCCCACCCCAGAACTCAAAGCCAGACACTAACTTTGCTCTCAGAAAGGACTTCTCAGCACCCACAGATTTCAGCCATCAGCACAGCTCCTTCCTGTCACTTACCTCCCCCTCCTCCCCCAGAGACCACTGAATTTTCACAAGCAAAACACTGTGTTCTAATACATTCCCTTCCCATTCTTCACATGTGCCCTCCTCCACACACACACACACGCACACACACATACACACACACATATACACACATATACACAGTTCCATACAGTACAGTGCTGCATTTACATGGTGGAGTCACGTACCCAAGTAGGGGACAATATCTCCCAACAGACCCTAGTTATTTGACTTTAAATTATAATGCTGTCATGAACATCTTTGCTCACATAGTCAAGTGAATAATATTCCTGAATGCATTTGCTATTTTTCTTTCAAACTTATGTAGATACTATGGAGATCAATAATATGTGATAATTTCAAATTATTTCTAACTTCACCACAGTTTGTTGTCTTCATGGATTTTTCTCAGATGATGAATATCTGTTATACAATCACTGTCTTTTGGAGTTCTCTGAAGGTTTTGTTTTTGTTTTTGTTTTTTAGTGTTAAAATAGGGTTTTCCAGCTCAAAATGTTTGGGAATCACTACCTGAAATCAACCAGCCATTGCCACACACACACAGTCCCCAAATCAAGCTAGTATTCTGTTCTGGTAAATCTTAAGTAAGTCCATTTTTGCATAAGTCAGAGTTGTTTCAAGTGAGAATATAAATGAAGCAGGTGCCCGCTTGGCAGCAATGTAAACAGAGGGAAGAGCATGGAGACTGGGTAGTGAGGGTGCCCCCAGCTCTCCTTGCCTGCAAACAAGGGTTACTTCAGAGCAAAGGAGCCCGATACACACACTTACACCCCGTCAACCAGTGCACCCGGCAAAGCTGGTGGAAAAGCCTGACTCAGGCCGCGTTTACCTAAGTCACCCTTACGTAAGCATGCCTATAAAGATTTTGGAAGGTACAAGGAGAAAAGTAAATAGCTGGGATTATGGGTATGAGTTTAATGTGGGGTTCCTGATATTGCAAGACTGCTTGAAAAATAATTTAAGTATACTCAAAATTAAACTTGGGCACAATGCTTATATGTGCCCAGCCCTGTGGAGGGGTTGTCAGATAATTAAGAGATGTTATGAGACGGCCTCTGCCTTAATGAAGCTTACGATCAAGTTGCAGAGAGGAGCTCTAGATTCGGCAAAAGCAGGCCTGCCGTCTACCTCCCCTTCGGCTGGGCCGGGCTGGGCGGCTGTTGGCTCACTCTTAACACCCTCTACTCCCTCACAGGTCCCATTGCCCCCTAGCCAAGCCCTCTCCTCATACTGTCCCCAGCTCATCCCCACAAAGGAGCGGCCTTCTTCGTGTTTGGGGCATTCCTTTGCATGTCACTGATATTCACAGCTATGGCAATGTCAAAAGGTACCCTCTCCTGGGTTCCCCTCCTCCAGCTCCCTTTCATGCCTCCCCAGTATTTCTGGGGGACTCTGGTGTTTCTGACTCCTATCTCTCCCCAGCCCTCCCCTCAAAACACAACCCAGAGGAACTGCCACCACCATCTGCATGTTCTCAGCAATCAGTCCTCCCCCAGCGCCTGTCCCCAGAGCTGGGAGGGGGCAACTGCTGAGTCAGCCTATTCCTCACATTCCCTCCCTTCTCCCCTGCCGGCCAAATGCCACGGACCCTGCCTCTGAGTGACGGACCTCAGCTGAAAGGCTGCCCCTCTCCACCCTGACCCCAGCTCAAGACCGGCCTTCCTCCCTCACACCCCAGCGGGAGGCCCAGGAAGAAGGTCATGCTGCCCACACTCCATTGGAGCCCTGGCCGGACGTAGGGCTGGGGTGCCATACCACCCCATCTTCCTCCCTCATTCCAAGCTCCATCTCCCTAACCAGCCTCACTCAGAGGATCTGATCAGGAAAGGACAGGGAAGGTGATGGAAAACCAAAAGCAAACCCTCCCCACACAATACACACATACACACACACACGTGTGCACACACACAGCCAACTGGGCACCACACCAGGCACAGTCACCCCTCTAGTGCAACGTTGGGTCTGCCAAGGGAAGCCTAGGGGGAGTCCCAAGAAAGACTTCCAACCCCAGGGACCCCCAGTCTGAAAGGAGAGCTTGCCCTATCCTCAGAGAGCTCCTAGTATGATGAAGAAGACCCCCAAAGAACTATGGCCAAGGGAGGAAGGAGGCTGCTCTCTGTCACTCACATAAAAAGTAAACAAAGGCTCAGAAGGTCAAGGGCAAAGCTATGAGAGAGCCTGGAAAGGGGAAGAAGCATGGGACTAACCAGCAGGTAAAACTGTCCAAACAGGAAAGGAAGACCTCCTGGAAGAGGAGAGCTTGGGGGACAGAGAAGCTTTTTGGAGGCCCAGGAATAAGCAGGGGGAAGGCAAGCGAAGGCCCAGGATGGAAACAAGGCCTTCCTGGCACAGCTGGGCCTGGGGTGAGCACTGGTTAAGGAGTAAGAGCGGCAGGCCCCATTCCTGGCTGTGATGTTGCCTCCCAGGGTAGCAGAGGCCAGGGCCCTTCCCCTCTCAGGCCACAGATCTCTCCTCAGCACAATGTGGGACTCATATTTCTTTTTTCACTGGGCCCACAAATTATGCAACCTGTCCTGCCCTCCAACTTGGAAAGCCTATTTTCCTCTCTGTGTCTTCTGCTCTGGAGAAGCCCTAGTGGGAAGGCCTTAGCTCCCCATCCCGCAGGAACATACGTGTGAGTTTAATTTGGGGTTCCTGATATGGCAAGACTGCTTTTAAAATAATTTAAGCATATTCAAAATTAAACTTGGGAAGAATGCCCGTCTGTGTCTAGCCCTTGCTCCTGGAGGCTGTGTGCAGAGAGGAGACTGACCAGAGTCTCAACGCACACAGGTCCCCAGCCTGACCCTTGGCAGCCCACGGCAGCCCACTCAGCCCATAAATGGCCTCATCTCTTAGAGAGCCCAGCAGGATCGTTTCACAACCATGTGTGCTCGACAGAGCCTGTTCTTGGAAAGCTGAGGACGGGACAGCTCAGTTCTGGGTGTTGGAGAGGCCTCAGCCCCTGGGGTCTGCATTTGAACCATAAACAACCGTGGGCCTGCTTGGGTAGCAGGGGGAGTGAGGACAAGGTTAGCCGGTGCTCTGCAGCTGGAGGGGAGCAAAGGGCCCCCTGCAAGAGCTCACCACACACTGTTCCCTCTTCAGGGGGACACCCCAGTCTGATGAAGGACAGGCACACCACAGGTCTCCACTGGATGAAGCTGGGATTCAAGGCAAGAGGGATGTGGTGTGGTGGGGGCAGGGGGACATTATAGCCCAGCAGGCTGAGAGGGTTCTGAGGGCAGGGCCACCCCACCGCCTATCACAGTGCCTAGCTCCCCAATAGCACACCACACAAATTTGGGAGGTAAAATGCTATGAATTAAAGGTGAGGCATCAGTATCCTAGTGCCAGATCACCAGTCCTTTTACAACTGGTAGCTGGCCACGTGAGACGGGACAGGTAGGCAGGAAAGAAGCCCAGACCACAGGAGGGAACAATTTGCAGGGTATACACTATATTCTGAGAGCACTAAGAAACAGGGCAGGAAAGCTGAGTGGAGGACAGACGTTTTCAAAGAAAGTTTTCTGGAGAAGGGGCTTGAAACCTGTTTTGAAAGAAAGGGAAAGAGAGGAATTTTGCACAGCACAGAACCAAGACTGTCCTGGCAGAGGGAGCAGGCTCTACAAAGGCCTAGAAGTGCCTGGGAAATGAAGATCCCTTCCCCTGTTGCGGGTGAGATTGGGGATGGTGAGAGAAGCAGAGGAGCTGCCACATCTTCAGGCCGATCCCTGGAAAGAAGCCTCTGATGAGGGATCAGGGCCAATCCCCCTTTGATGTGCCAGTTCGAATAGCTGAGCCTGGATGCTCCTAACAGGCAGGGGCCAGGTGGGGGCTGCTGAAGGAGGGACTTAGCACAGAGACTGTCATGGTGCAGGTGTTCAATAAGTGTCTTAATGAATGGATTGATTGGATGATTGATTGATTGACTGACTCATAGGGGTAATAAGTCAGGGGCCTCACTTTTCTGGGGAACTGGCAAAGGCAGCCTTTGGGCTCAGGCCCCTTCTGATGCCTCCAAAGGTTATAGAGACACTGCAGACTTCACACATGGAACGGCCCCTCCTCCAGGCTGCCTCCTCAGCTTTCCTGGCACCTCTGACTCTAGCCACTGGTGTCCTCAGACCTTAGCCTCTAGAACAATGAAAGATTCGGGAGCTGAAGGACTTTCATATACATATAAAGTCCTTGTACATATAATAGCAACAGCAATAATAGTTAACATTTAATGACAGTTTACTTTATACCAGGTACTGTGCTGATGGCTTTACATCATCTTTTACATCATACATTTATGCCTAATCTCAGAAACCTCAGTAAACACTTCTAAGTAAACACTACAAGATGCAGAACACTATGGACACTATGTCCAAGACAAATGTTGATAGAAATGTTTTTAACTTTATTTTGATTCTCTGACACACATTTTCCACATTTAACATCTGAACTCAGGATGTTCCCCGGGATCAATAACAAAAAGGCACTGTGTCAGAGTTTAATTAGCAGCGGTTTTCCTTCTTAGTGGTGTGTAATTTAATTGTGCGTCTTGCTTTTGATGAAATACAGTTGATTATGTATGAGGTCTAGGTAACTGACCACCTGCCCCTTTCAGCCAACACTGGACGACATAGAGTGTGTGTTTCTCTGATTCCAAACGTGGTTTCTGGGGACAGAGGCTCTGTCTTGGGAGGCTGTCTGTTAGCCTGGGAGGCTGTCTGTTTTCCCTTCCCAGAGCTCCCAATAGCCCCCAGCCCAGCATCCCCAACTCAGGAGGCCTGGTAGATATGGGGTGATAATGATGGGCCTGGAAAACCTTGGGCCTCCCAACAAAGCCCTTTTTTATGCAGCATAGAAGGGGAAGGCTTAGAGAAGCTGCTCTCGGCAGCCTCAGGGAGGAATGGAGGTAAAAGGGAAGGAATGAGATTGCTCCACACTTCACTGGGAACCTCTGGACCAGTGGAAATAATGCAGGCCAGCACTTGGCCACAGGGACCAGGAGCCAATTACAAATGCTTAGCAAACGCTGACCCCTGCCTCCTCCTGCACTTGCTATGCTTACCTGCCAAAATGTGTTCTCTTTGGCCTTTCCCTCTGCCCTCATGCTGGCCCAGGAGGGGAGGCAGGAGCAAGTGAGGAAGTGATCTGCCCCATTGGAGAGCAGAGGAAACTGAGGGCTCGAGGGCCCCTGGCCTGGATCCTGGGCCTTCATTGCTCCATTCCAGCAGAGGTGCCCTGAGCTGGGTGCCTGGGACTACCCTCTGAGGACCCCTCAGCAGGGGATTTCCGGGGTGGCAAGGGTGAAAGGAAGGGAGAAGTGTCTCTTGCCAGGGACTCTCCCACTTGGTCAGGACATTGCCACCACCTCCTCCTCCTATCCCTCTTTTCCCAGGACTCCTCCCCTCAGAAGCCTGTCTTCACCCTCCTCCATTTCCCAGAAGCTGTGTCCTGGGGTCCCAGTGGTCCCTAGACACCCACCGACCAGTGCTTTAGGAGCCTAGGCTCAGCCTGGTTGTGCAGAAGGACAGAGTCTATCACTTGTCCCCTCCCAGCCAGACCTGGGAGTGGAGGCCTCTGCATCTGCAGTGAGGGCTGGAGGATTAGAGTTTTTAATGAGGACCAAGACCAGGGTCTTAAGGGGTTAGAGAAGGGAGCTTTCATCCTGGCCTGGTGGGGGAGGGGAGGCCGGGGTCCCGTGCTAGGCTTCCCAAGCCCAGTCTTTCAGCACCTCCTCCCCACTCCACTGCCTTGGGAGGCCCAGTGATGGATCCTGCTGGGGTGTAGGTGGGAGGCCCCTCCTGTCCATGCCCCACCAGGACGCTGCAGCCAGGGCCTCCCTGAGCCACGTGATCAGGATCCCACTCATAGCTGGGGGTCTGGGAGACAAAGCTGTCCCTCCTTCCTGTCTTACACCATGTGCCCCTGCAGGCAGATTTCAGAGGTATCTTACCCTCTCTCCTGACCACGGGGAGTAAGGAGTAGGTCAATAACCAACCTGGGGCTCCTATGCCCCTGCCTAGTGAAAATGACCCATACCAATGCTAAGAGCTATCCAGGTATTAACTCACATAATTCCTCTCTGGGGAACTGAGGCCCAAAGAGGCCAATAACTGGCAGTCACACCCAGGGAGTCTGACTCTAGAGCTTGTAAATGTCTAGTTCAGTTATCTCTCCAGGTCACATCTTGGATTTGAGGCCTGAATCCTGAGGTTGGAGCTGAGTGAGTGTCTCTGGGGGTGCAGTAGTACAGGAGCTGGGGGTTGACCCAGGAGTGGGGAGTCTCCACCTGGTATGGGCACAGAGCTGGTCCCCAACCTGCCAGGACTATCCCAGTTCCCACCTGGAGGACACAGGGCTGGCAGGGAGACATGTGTCTATTTGCTTGTGTCCCTCCCAGTGTGGTGGGATCGCGTTGTAGGTGGAGCTGCCCTTGGGGTTGTCAGCTGAGCCTGGGCTCCACCGTCCCAGCCCACTCCACAGGGATGCAAGGAGACACCAGGTGGCAGGAAGGCAGTGTCTCCACAAGCCCAGAATCTCTCTGTGAACACTAACCTAGGCACAGAGCCAAGTGATAAGGGCCATATCTTCTCACCATCATATCTCCTGCCCCCGGCACAATGCCTGGCTATCAAAGACACTCAGTAACTGCTAAATGAATGACTGAGAAACATAAAGATCAATGGGGCACGGATCTGGCCTCCAAGAGGTGACACTCCAACAGGACAGTCAGTCATGTAGACACTAACTGTAACACAAGACAGAAAGAATGCAGTAGGAACTCAGCTGAGGGAGAGATTAATTCCAGCTGTGGGACTAGGGAAGGCTTCCCGGAGGAGGCAACATTTGAGCCGTCTAATAATAATAGTGATGATGACGGTTTATACCTATTGAATGCTATGTGTCTGGCATACTTCTCAGTGCTTTGCATATATTAACACATTCATTCTTCATATTACCACCAGATGTGGATACTATTAATATATCCATTTTACAGATGAGAAAACTGAGGCCCAAAGCCATGTAGCTATAATAAATGAGCAGAGCCATAATTTGAGCCCGATTCTGGCACAGAGGCAGGTATAGGACAGTCCTATACAACGGAATGGCAAAAAGTACAGTTTGGCTGGATGAGGAGGTTGCAAACTGGCACCCCGTGGACCACATCCCGTCCTCAGACATGTTCTGTCTGGCCCACCCGCATTGGCCTGCACAGCGTCCTCAGAAAAGGTGCAGCCCATCACCAAAGCCAGAAGGTAAACAGTGGAGTGGGGGTGGGAGGATGGGCTTTGGAGTCTTAAATTCCAGAAATGCAACAACCATTGAGAAGTTGAGTAGCACACCTCCTCCCATCGCCCCACCCTCATCCCCATCCTTTTCTGCCCCAGTCCACTTCCCTTGTCCCCAGTTACCTGTCTAGTTCCTGAAGACATTTAAGTTTGAGAACCTGGAGTCAAGCCCAGGGCACGGAAGGGAGCAGCAGCAGATAACCACGGGAAGGTACCTTGAGGTCTGAACACAAAGGGCCTTGAACACTGACCGGGTTAAAAAATAGGGGCTTCATGTCGGCAATAGCTCTGTAACTGCAGCCCCTCTAACCACCAGCAGTGTGGCAAGAAGGGCATGCATACACACACACTCACACACCATACTCACAGACACACCACACACACACAGACACCCCCACACACACGCACAGGCACACACACACACAGACACACACACACCGACACCACACACACACCACAGACACACACACAGACACCACACACACACACAGACACCACACACACACGCAGACACCACACACAGGCACATACACACACAGACTCACACACACACAGATACCACACACACACACAGACACCACACACACACACAGGCAACACACACACACACACACACAGGCAACACACACACACACATAGATGCCACACATACAGACACACACAGACACACAGACACCATACACACTCACATACACAGACACCACACACACACACACAGAGACACCACACAACAGATACACACACAGAGACACATACAGGTGCCACACACACACACAGATGCCACACGCACAGACACACACACAGACACCACACGCACACACACACAGACATGCACAGATGCAGACACACACAGACACCACACACACCACACACACACAGACACCACACATACACATAGATGCCACACATACAGACACACACACACACACACACACACACACAGGGGCTGAGATGGTCTAAACTGGTGTCAGCTGGATCCTGAGTCTCAGGAGAAATCTGGCACATGTCGTCACAACCCCAGCCTCCCTCTCACATCCCCGCCGCTCCCAAGCCCAGCCCTCAGTGGGACCAGCTGTGGCCACATCAGCTCCCCCTCAGCAGGCTCTCTCTCTCTCTTTTTTTTTTTCCTCTCTCTCTCCTTTGCACAGAAGGGAGTCCCAGAGCCAGTTCCCTTGCCCGGAGATGTTCCCAGCCCCAGGAGCTCCCAACCCCTTTGCAGGCTGGCTGGCCAGAGAGAGAATTTCGGACAGGATTTAGGCCTGGAATTTCCCTCCAAATGGGCGGTGTCGATCAGGTGAGCCAGGTTGCTGGGCTGGGGGCTGAGTGGAAAAATTTTATCTGTCCCAACCCCTTCTCCCGATGACTCAGGCCCACAGTGGCAGTGAGTCTGGGGAGGGAACAAGACAGGAACCCACAAAAAAATTTTCCCTTGTCTCTCTGGCTCTGCCACTGCCCAGCTCCCCTCCCCCATTAAACACACGCCCCACCTCACCACTCACTACAGCCACTGCCCGTACCTGGGCAACAGCCATGGAGCCCACACATCCCAGGCCCTTCCTAGCTCCCCTGGAGCAGGGCTGCTGGCCCACCGCCACTCGGGCCTTCCCCACGCCAGGCAGCCTGGACGGAGAAACGTGTCCCTGATGAAGGCCAGGGTGCACACTGGGGTAGGGTTGCCAAGTGTTACAAATGAAAATACAGGACACCCATGGGCCCATGCAATATTTGAGGCCTACTTATACTAAACATTTATTTTTTGCTTATTCTTTCTATGCAGAAGGGAGTCCCAGAGCTGAGGACTCTGAAATTCATATTTAACTGAGAAGCCTGTATTTTATCTGGCAACCTCTTGTGAGGGGCAGGGGTGGGGGTGGGGAATACCTAAGGCACCCTCTACACCCAGGATCACCCATTGTGCAAGACCTTCCTGTGCCCCCACCGTGTCACCCTACAAGGCCTTTGGCCTCAGGGCCTCTCTCAGCCCTTCCAAGCCCCCAGGCACCAGACTCTCTGAAAAGGAGAACCCCGGCACCCCAAATCAACACCAGACAGGGAGCCAGCAAGGATGTGGTGGAGGAATTTTTGGGGAGTGATTGTGCCTCAGGATACTCCATGCCCACAGCCTCCAGCTTCAGCTGGAAGGCCACAGTGGGGAAGGGGGCCCACAGCTCCAGGGGACCTCTTAGACACCCCTGTCTTCTACTCTCTTAAGTTTCTGCCCAAATCTGCCCCTCACCCACGGTCTGGTTGAAAGTATGTCTCTTTCCCTCTCTTCTTTTTTACCCCACATCCCTCCCAAAACACTCTTGCCCATGACTTTGTAATATTCCCCATCTCAAAGCCCCAGGTGAGGGGCTTTGTTGAGAAAACAGGGAAGCAGGCAAGAATTGAGTTTCATCAGCCATTTCTTCCTTCACCAGATGAGCACCTCCCATGTGCAGGCACTCTGTTAGGCCCCAGGACAGCAGCACCCAAGGCCTCACAGTGCTCACATCCCGGTGGGAGGCAGAGGACTTTCACCTAGCAGTGAGGGAGGGGCTGAGGCAGATGAGAGAAGGACAAAGGGCCATAGCTGCCTTTGGACTTGCAGATGCACCTAGCCAGCCACTGAGTCTAGGCTGCGGCTGTTGGGGGCTTCTCCCCCTCCTCCTGGGATTTAAATTGGGACTCTGTTGGCCCTAACTGTGGGCTGGCTGGCTCTAACAGTAAGCTCCCTGAGGGCAGGGCCACAGCCTGCCTGCCCCTGTGTCAGATGTTCTCTGGAGATTGAGGTGTTTTGACTCAGGATTGATTGACAATTGTCTTTGTGGCAGCAGCTGCCTCCGGCCTTGGGGTGAGGGATGGGTAGAAGCTAAAGGACCCTCTTGTCCCAGAGACCCACCCTCTCTTTCCTGGAGATTCCCACACCCACCTGCAGTGGAGAGGGCAGGGTCAGGACCCATTGTCCGGATGGAAAGACCAAATCCCAGTGACTCACCTAGAGTCATGCAGCTCATGGGGGAAGGGTAGAACCAGGAGAAGAACCTGGCAGGTTCAGAGCACCCCTCAGGGCTCCCACAGCCTCCCTACCTCCACCCACCTGCAGCCTTGTCTGGTGATGCTGTCTGTTTCAGGCAGCTCAGGCTGTTATAACCAAATACTACAGACTGGGTGGCTTACATAACAGATGTTTATTTCTTCTAGTTCTGGAGGCTGGGAAGTCCAAGATCAAGGTGCTCGTGAATTTGGTTTCTGATGAGGATTCTCTCCTCTTCCTGGCTTGCAGACAGCTGCTTTCTCACAGAGACAGAGAGAGAGAGACAGCCAGAAAACTCTCTGGTATCTTCTTACAGGGGCACTTATCCCACCATGGGGACCCCACCCTCATGACTTCATCTAAACCCAATTACCTCCCAAAGGCCCATCTCCAAATACCATCACACTGGAGTTTAGGGCTCCAACATATGAATTTGAGGGAATACAATTCAGTCCATGTCACTGGGCAAGAGGGAAGACTTTGAGACTGTGACCTTAGTAAGGCTCTTTTACTCTTTCAAGTAGATCAGTCATAAGTAAGGCTGGGTGCGGTGGCTCAGGTCTGTAATCCCAGCACTTTGGGAGGCTGAGGCCAGCAGATCACCCAAGGTCAGGAGTTCAAGACCAGCCTGGCCAACATGGTGAAACCCCGCCTCTACTAAAAATACAAAAATTAGCTGGGTGTGGTGGCACACACCTGTAATCCCAGCTACTCAGGAGGCTGAGGCACGAGAGTCATCCCTTGAACCTGGGAGGTGGAGGTTGCAGTGAGCTGAGATCATGCCACTGCACTCCAGCCTGGGCAACAGAGTGAGACTCCATCTCAAAAAAAAGAATTGAGAGAGGGAAGAGAAGGGTTTCTCTGACCTTCGGGACCCTTGAAAAGGGCCAGGGCAGGGCACACCACAGTCTGGACCCCCTGATGCCCGGGTTCTGAGTATGGCTCAGCAGGCCTTCCCCGACCTGCTTCACTGGGAATCCTGACTTCTGACTCCATGCGTCCTGCCCAGGTTGTTGCCTCCATATCTTTACACATCCTTCCCACACGTTAAGTTTGCCTTGAACAATCAGGTGCTGGCAAAAGTCAAATGTCAGACTGGATGGTCCAGTGGGCAGAGCACTGAGCTGTGAACCAAGCAGAGACAATCTGGCCACTGCCAAACCAGGCACTCCCCCACAGAATAGCCTCTGGTCTCTTGGTCAACAGCGAGGATTATGTTGTTGAAACAGAGGCTCCCTGAACCTGCTAGAAGTGAGGCTTCCCTCACTCCACCCCAAACACCCCACCAGTAAACTTGGACGCTTCAGCAGGGAGAAACTGGGAGTGGGAGAGGAGAGAGAGGCTCCAAGCAGGCCCATAATATCAGAGCTCTAAGGAAGTGTAGAGACCTACCAGACAGTAGACAGAGAGGGAAACTGAGGCTGTGGGGATAAAGGAAAGAAAAGGAGGCACCCAGAGCTCTGGGTTCTGGTCCTGGCTCAGCACTCTATGGCCCTGGGCTGGTCCCTTTCCCTCTGTGTGCTCCGGGCCTCCCCCCAGGCTTGCTGTCCCAGGGTTCTAACTGAAGCACCTTGCCCGAGGAGCTCAGGCCCAATCAGTCAGCCGCAGGTGGACTCCTGATTTCACCTCCAGGCCCCTGCCTTAGCCAGGTCCTGGGGACTTATGGCAGATGGGCTGGGGCAGGGGGAGGGGTGGGGAGAGGAGGAGGGGGAAGAGGTAAATGTCACGCCAGGGAGGGGCAGCAGGGAAGGGAAACTGAGTGTGTCCCTGGCTTGCCCCAGCCTGTCCCTTACATCCGGGGAAGGGTGAGAGTGACTGTCAGCTGGGGAAGGGGGGCAAGAAGGGTAAGCTGGGGAAGGGCAGGGAACCCCCGTCTGAACTTGTTGGGGCAGCCGGATGTAGCAGTTTCCGGCTGATGAAAGGGCCCTGATTGATGTGATAGTGACTGACTCTAACCCCCAAATCCGAGTTCTTCCCATCCTCCCCAACTTGGGCACTCCCAAAGGCCCACTTTGGAGACAGGCAAAAGCCAGAGAGAAGGGAGAAGAGTGGGGCTTCTCCTGCCACTGGGGACAACACCCCAAGGACAGGGTGGAGGGA
Organism: Homo sapiens; assembly: GCF_000001405.40. Classification (NCBI taxonomy): domain Eukaryota; kingdom Metazoa; phylum Chordata; class Mammalia; order Primates; family Hominidae; genus Homo; species Homo sapiens. Next base: position 43,733,913 of record NC_000006.12, on the reverse strand, counting down.
AGCTTGTCTAATCTTTCCCACTCCAGCCCAGCAGGGACCCGGGCCAATTCGAAGTGTGGAGGGAGGGGGATTGAGCCAGGATCAGAGGGCAGGGCCAGGGAAGAGGTGCAAAGGCCTTGCTCCCTCCTCTCCCCGTGTTGGACATTCAAATATACATGTACAGCCCCAAGGATGGCAGGGAGGAGAGCAGGGAGTGTCACTGAGCATTCATTTTACAACCTGTCTAGCCATTTGCCTTTTGCCAGGCCCATATAATAATAGCAAACATTGGTTGAATGTAGCAGGCATCCTTCTAAGTAAGAAGTTTAGTGCATGACCTTGCTGACTCCTCACCACAGCCCTACGAGGTAGGTGCCATCATCTCCCCTATTTTATGGATGAGGATATAGCAGCCCAGAGTGGTTAAGGAACTTAACCTTAGGGAGAGTGGAAATGTGAACCCAGACTACACTGCCTGGAGGGGGTTATCATGGGATAGGGGGACAGAGCCAACTTGTAACCAACCTGTAAACAAATAATGACCTTACAAGCAGGAAGAGTTTCAAAAAGAGATGTATGAGGTACAATGAGTCCCTGGAGGAGGGGCACAGTGGACAGGTGTTGAAGGGGAAAAGGAGAACCAGGAGAGTCTTCTAGGACAATAAACATTTAAATTGGATTTGGGAGGTTATGGGGTGTTTCCTAGTTTAGGTTGTTTTATTTTCTTTTTCACTTTTTTTATTATGGTAAAATATGTATAACATAAATAGTCACCATTTTAACTATTTTAAGTGTACAATTTAGTGGCAGTTTTTAATTTTGATGAAGTCCAATTTATCTATATTTTTCCTTTGTTGCCTGTGTTTTTGGTGTCATACTAAAGAAACCATTGCCAAATCCAAGGCCTTGAAGATTTTCCCCTGTTTGGTTTCATTTGTAGAGATGAGGTCCCACTATACTGCCCAGGCTAGTCTCAAACTCTGGGCTCAAGCAGTCCTCCCACCTCAGCCTCCCAAAATGCTGGGGTGACAGGCATGAACCACCACACCTGGCTCACTTTTTTTTTAAGAGTTTTACAGTTTTAGCTCTTAAATTTTGGTATTTTATCCATATCATCTGCAAACAGAGATCATTTTATTTCTTTCTTTCCAATCTGGGTGCCTTTTATTTCTTGCCTAATTGCTCTGGCTAGAACTTCCATTACTGTGTTGAATAGAAGTGACAAAAGCAGCCATTCTTATCTTGTCCTGATTGTAGGGGGAAAGCTTTCAATCTTTTGCCATTGAATATGATGTTAGCTGTGGGTTTTTCATATACAACTTTTTCATGTTAAGGAAGTTCTATTCCTAGTTTATTAAGTGTTTTTAATCAAGAAATTTTTGTATTTTCTCAAATGCTTTTTCTGCATCAACTGAAACAATTGTGTATGGCTCTTTTTTCCTTCATTCTATTAATGTAGTACATTATATTGACTGATTTTTGTATGTTAAACCATCCTTACATTATGGGGATAAATCCCACTTGGTCATGGTGTGTAATCCTTTTAATATGCTGCTAAATTTGGTTTGCCAGTTTTTTGTTGAGGATGTTTGCATCTCTATGCTTAAGGTATGTTGGCCTATAGTTTTCTTGTAGTGTCTTTGGCTTGGTATCAGGGTAACGTTGGCATCACAGAATGAGTTGGAAAGGTTCTCTCCTCTTCAATGTTTTGGAAGAGTTTGAGAAGGATTGGTGTCAATTTTTCTTTACATGTTAGGTAGAATTCACCAGTGAAGATATCTAGTCCTGGACTCTTATTTGTTGGGAGGTTTTTGATTGCTGATTCAATCTCTTCACTTGTTATATCTCTATTCAAGTTTTCTATTTCCTTTTAAGTTGGTTTTGATAGTTTGTGTTTCCAGGAATTTGTCCATTTCATCTAAGTCATCTAATTGGTTGGTGTGTAATTGTTCATAGTATTATCTTATAATCCTTTCTATGTCTATAAGATCAGTAGTAATGTCTCCACTTTCATGTCTGATTTTAGTAGCTTGAGTCTTCTCTCTTTTTCTTAGTCAATCTAGCTAAAGGTTTGTCAATTTTGTTGACCTTTTCAAAGAACCAATGTTTAGCTTTGTTTATTTTTTTCTATTGTTTTTCTATTATCTATTTTGTTTATCTCTATTCTAATTTTTATTATTTCCTTCCTTCTGCTAGTTTTAGGGTTAGTTTGCTTTTCTTTTTCTAGTTCCCTAAGGTGTACAGTTAAGTTCTTGATTTGAGATTTTTCTTCTTTTTAATGTAGGCATTAACAGCCATAAACTTCTCTCTGAGTACTACTTTTGATATACTCCATTAGTTTGGGTGTGTTGTGTTTTCGTTTCATTTTTCTCAAAGTGTTTTCTCATTTTCCTTGTGATTTCTTCTTGGACCCACTAGTTGTTTAAGAGTGTGTTGTTTAAATTCTACATAGTTCTAAAATTATTGTCTTCCTTCTGTTGTTGATTTCTAGTTGTATCCCTCTGTAATTGAACATATATTATTTCAATCTTTTTAAACTTAATAAGATTTGTCTTGTGACCTAACATGTGGTCCATCCTGGAGAAGGTTCCACGCATACTTGAGAAGAATGCTTATTCTGCTGTTGTTGATTGAAGTGTTCTATATATTTCTGTTAGATATAACTGACTCATGACATTGTTCAGTTGTCTATTTCTTTATTGATTTTCTGTCTGATTGTTCTATCCATTATTGAAAGTGAGGTGTTGAAGTCTCCAAGTATTATTTTAGAACTGTCTATTTCTCCCTTTAATTATGTCCATTTTTGCTTCATATAGTTTGGGTTTAGGTATGTATATGTTTTTAGGTATGTATATGTTTATAATTGTTATATCTGCTAGGTGAACTTTTTTGACTTAATATCTATTTTGTGTAGCAATAATATAGCTATCCCAGCTCTTTTTTGATTACTATTTATTTGCATTGGATATCTTTTTCCATCCTTTTACTTTCAATCACTTTATGCTCTTATATCTAAAATGAGTCTCTTGTAGACAGTATATCATTTTTTATTCAGTCTGCCAATCTCTGCCTTTTAATAAGAGAATTTTACTCATTTATATTTAATGTAATTACTGATAAAGAATGATTTACTTCTCCCATTTAGTTATTTGTTTTTCTGTATGCTTGTGTGTTTTTGTTCCCCAATTCCTCCATTACTACCTTTTATGTATTTAGTTGATTTTTTTCTAGTGTACCATTTTGATTCACTTCTGTTTCCTTTTTTGCATATTTTTTAGTCATTGTCTTAGTTACCTTGTGATTACAATTAACATCTTAACCTTATAACAACTTAGTTTTAATAATACCAACTTAGTTTCAATAGTATACAAATGTTCTGCTCCTTTTTTACAATTTTTTATTACTTATTTATTTATTTATTTGACATGAAGTCTCGCTCTGTCACCCAGGCTGGAGTGCAGTGGCACAATCTCAGCTCAATGCAACCTCTGCCTTCCAAGTTCAAGCAATTCTCCTGCCTCAGCCTCCCTAGTAGCTGGGATTACAGGCACTCACCACTATGCTCAAATTTTTGTATTTTTAGTAGAGATGGGGTTTCACCATGTTGGCCAGGCTGGTCTCAAACTCCTGACCTCAAGTGATCCACCCACCTTGGCCTCCCAAAGTGCTGGGATTACAGGCGTAAGCCACCATACCTAGCCTCCTTATTTATTTTTTTTAAAGATAGGGTCTCACTCTGTCACCCAGGCTGGAGTGGTGGCACAATCACAGCTCACTGAGGCCTCAACCTCCTAGGCTCAAGAGATTCTCCCGCCTCAGCCTCCCAAGTACTTAAGACTACAGGCATGCACCACCATGCCTGGCTAATTTTAAATTTGTTGTTGTTGTTGTTGTTGTTGTTGAATGGGGTCTCACTATGTTATCCAGGCTGGTCTCAAACTCCTGGCCTCAACTGATCCTCATGCCTCAGCCTCCAAAGTGCTGAGATTACAGGCATGAGCTACCATGCCCGGCCTCTGCTCCTTTGCCTATCCATTCTTCCCCCTTTATATTATTATTGTTACAGATTACATCTTTATACCTTGTGTGCGCATTAACGTAGATTTATAATTATTGTTTTACACATTTGCCTTTTAAATCAGTTAACGACCTTATAATTGGCAAAGATTTCAAAGAAAGAGGTACAAGGTACGATGAGTCCTCGGAGGTGGGGCACTGTGGGTGGGGACTGGGAGGGAAGTAGGAAACCAGGAGAGCCTTCCAGGAGAATAAACATTTGAATTGGAATTCAGTTTTGAAGAACAAAAAATTATTATGTAAAACTAATTATTCACAGGAAAAGATACCCAAAATATTTTACTCAGGACAAAAAGTAGGTTACCATATAGGGTGAATTATCTCATGTTTGCAAATATGTATGTATTTATACATATTTAAAGATATATGTGTATAAATGCATAGAAAAACATTCATGATTTTAACCACCGTATTTTAGCGGTGGTTATCTCCAGTTGTTGAAACTATGGGAAGAAGAAACATTTCCTTTTTTTTCTAGTTTTTTCTACAGTGTTTGAATTATATACAATGAGCGCTCTTCACTCTTATAACTGGGAAAAACAATAATGCCATTTTTGTTCTGAAGGGTAAAATGAATACGTGGACATTTACTACGGAGACAAAGTTGGAAAGAACCTGCTAGGCAGAGGGAACAGCACAGGTAAGAGCAAAGAGGAATGAAAATAATACCCTATTACAGGAATTGCCAACCATGTGGCATGGCTGGAGGGCATTGGGGGTGACTGAAAAAGAGTTGTTTCCACGGGCCACATTACCAATGCCTTTCATCTCATAAAAAGAGTTTAGAGTTGGTTCTTGGCACAAGGGCAGGAGAGTAACAAGTTTTGATTTACATATTCAGCAAATTAGTTAATAGGGGTGGAGAGAAGCCCAGAGTCTGGGAGGCCGATGATTGAGGAAGGAGAAGCTGGGGCTGGAGGTGAGTCAAGGCTTAGAAGGTAGAAAAGAAGAATGGAAATAAGAGATAAGTGGAAGCCAAATTAGATAATAATTATCCCTGAGTGGGAAGTAAGTTTGTCTGTCTTACCAGGATTTCCAGGGTTGCAGCCCAGCCTGGCATATTAATGGCAGGAGGCCAGGTCTAGAGATGATCATGATGAAGATGATGGTGATTCATGATGAGGAGGAGGAAATTTCCATTAAAAGATCCCGGTAGCCCTTTATAGCTTACAAAGTCCTCTGACTTCCATGTCCCAGAACATCAAAATGTTATGTTCCTATTCTGCAAATGAAGGTCTGAGGCCTGGAGAGGTGATAGAACCAGAGCAAGACCCAAGCACAAAGGACCTTCCCCTAGGTACACAGGTGGGCAGCCGCTGCTGTCCCCAGCAAGCCCGAGTGATGACTGTGTGTTCACTGGCTAGCTATGTGATCGTGGACGGACATTGCCCGTCTCTGTGCCTCAGTTTCCTCTTTTATAAAATGAGAAAAATACTTCATGTGGTTGCTGAAAGGATGATATGACTGAAAACAAGTAAAGAGCTTGGAGCAGAACCTGGCACATAGTATGTGCTCAATATATATGAGCTCTTATTGTTTGTTTGTTCATTTGTTTGTTTGTTTTGAAACAAGGTCTCACTCCATCACCCAGGCTGGAGTGCAGTGGCATGATCATGGCTTACTGTAGCCTCAACCTCCCCAGGCTCAGCTTCCTGAGTAGCTGGGACTACAGGCACGCGCCACCACATCTGGCTAATTTTTCTATCTTTTGTAGAGACAGGATTTCACCATATTGCCCAGGCTGGTCTTATCTTAAACTCCTGGGCTCAAGCAATCCACCTGCCTCAGCCTCCCAAAGTGCTGGGATTACAGGTGTAAGCCACTGTACCTGGCAGGGCTCTTATTATTTTTCCAATTATTATTCGTCTTTGCACAATACCCCACACAGATCATCTGGAAAGAATGACTGGGAAACCAGGCTTTAAGCGTTCACCAGACCCCTTCCTTACTTTCAGACCCTGACTCATGGAGAAAGGACCAAGGCTGGAATCTTTGTCCCTGGTCTGGTTCACCAGCACTCTGAGGTCCTTTGCAGCACTCACCCTTTCCAATCATTTCCATGCTCCTTTGTGCTCATGTGTGCATTCATTTATTCATTCATTCATTCATTCAGCAAACGTATCATATTCTAGTCTGAGCCCATCCTAGGGTCTGGGACTACAAAGAAAATCATGGCCTGGGCCTTTCTTCAAAGGCCTCACTCACTCATTCATTCATCAAACATTTACTAGGGGCCTCCTCTGGGCCCACACCTACATATTCTGTTTCTATCCTCTCTTGCCTTTGGACATGAAATAATTATTCAGGGAGTCATTTCCCAGAGATTATTTCATTTCCAATCTTCTTCTCATGCTTTCCGCCCTGTGTACCCACTCTGCGCACACACCAAATCACACAGAGAAACCAAAACAGAGATCCAGAAAGAATATTCTCCCACATCTCCTGTGGCTGAAGACTTTCCACTAGTTCCCAGAGTCTGGAAGGAAGAGCAACAGCAACTGAGTCCTCTGGAATTTTTTTCCATTCATTCATTCATTCATTTATTCACTCAACAAACAGTTTACTGAGCACTGTATCTGTGCCAGGCCCTGTGCTAGGAAGTGTGGGGGTAACAGAAATGAATAATCACAGAGTGCACCCTCGAGGAGTCTCCATTCAGTGGGCCAGTGGCTCATTCTTTCCACAAATATTCACTGAGCTTCTCTAAAGCATCAGTTAAGCTTTGGGAATGTGAACAAGAAAGATGAAGGCCCTGCACTCAAGGAGCTTGCTATCTATGAGGCGATGTCTCGTGCTGTCTGTGAGACAGACAATGGGCAAGTAAGCAAACCAGTAGACCACTGTTTTTCCAAGCAAGGCTCCGAAGAAAATAAAACAGGGTGATAGGACAGTGACTGAGGTTAGACAACACAAGTGAATTAAATTTGAGCAGGGCACTTACTTGCCTTCTCTGGGCTTCAGTTTCCTCAAGGAGAACAATCATATCCATCTCCACCATGGGAAGCAAACGAGTTAGTATATGTAAAGCCTGGAACATAGTGAGCACTATGTAAGTGTCATCAATTATTTATTTTTCCCAGGGAAGGGGAGGGTGGAATGGAGGAGTCTCACTCTGTCACCCAGGCTGGAGTGCAGTGGCATGATCGTGGCTCACTGCAGGCTTGACTGCCTGGGCTCAAGCAATCCTCCCACCTCAGCCTTCTGAGTAGCTGGGACTACAGGTGTGCACCACCACACCTGGCTAATTTGTTTACTTTTTGTAGAGATAGGGGTTTCATTATGTTGCCCAGGCTGGTCTCAAACTCCTGGACTCAAGCAATCCTCCCGCCTTGGCCTCCCAAAGTGCATCATTTGTTATTTTTAGGTAGATGCATAAGCAGATCATCAAAACATTAGGTGGTTAGTGCAGAATAAGGCAATGTAGATCCAGGGCATCCTGGGAGCACTGGAGAGGAGCCCCAACGTGCCAGGTACAGCCCAGCCAGGGAAGAGAGTCAGGACACTGGGCATAGATGCCCTCCCTGCGTCACCTAACCCTGCATCCCTGGAACCCACTGGCCACCCCCAAGGATGTTGCCTTTCTGAAGTGCTGGAGCAAGTGGAGAGGGGCAGAAGAAATGCATGTGCCCCACCTCCCTGCGGACAAGAGGGGAGAGAGGGTACACAGGTGGCCACAGGCAGGCAGAATAGGGCCTGCTTTCATGGGCCACCTCCTCCCAGGACCCTGGCTCTCCAAAGTGCCTGCCACCCTGTCTGGTGATAGAAATGCTGGGGAGTTGGGAGGAGGGCGGGTGCCCTAACACTCAATCCACATGGAGCAGAATGAAGGGGCAACTCCCCTTTCATGGAGTTCTTTCCTAGACCCTAGAGTTCAAGAGTTCAGGACTCCTGTTCACAGGAGCACACTATCTTTCCACCACTCTCAGCAGGGAGTATCACTGCCCCCACCTCTTAGATGAGTACATGGAGGCTGAGAAGGGACACTGATCTTTCTCAGTCACTCAGTTCAGAAGTGGCAGCGGAAAGTCAGCATCTGGGCTGGCTGCAAAGTGGCCACTCTTCTTCTCCTTCCCCGTTCTGCTTCTCCCAATTTGGGGTGCCCAGGAAAGCCTATTATGTAGGGAGGGCAGGGCTGTGAGACTCAGGGGAGGTGGGGGAGTGAGAGGCAGATATTGCTGTGTAAAATGACCTGGATCTGTGGTGAGGGCTCCAGGATTGGTGGAGAGAGCAGGGTACAGAACTGGGTTGGGGGGTTACAGCCAGGAAGAGATGGAACCACAGGGAGGAAGCCCCGCCTGCCCCCCATCCTCATCACAATAGGCATCGTGGCAAACAGAAGGAGGAAGGGGCAAGGCCCCAACCCCTCCTCCACAGTATCACCTGGCCAGGCAGCCCCATTCCCAGCCCTGCGCCCACAGGGACCAGGATGTGGGCAACTAGGGATAGACAAGCCCTGACGTAGACAACTCTGCGACCCCCATGCCTGGCCTCCTTAGCCACCAGCCAAATACTCTTTGTGGTTTGGGCACCGGCCAAGCGCCCACACCCCAGCTCACGGGACCACAGCTTCCCTGTTGCATCAGGTTACTGAGCGCGTGCACACGCCCCAGAGCCTGTTACACAACTGTGGTGCGCGTGCGCAGCACCCACACACCCTGGGTGGCTCCACAGTCCCACAGAAGAAACCGCAGCCTTGCCTGGAGTGCACAGGGCCCGCTCCAGACTCTTGGCATTGAGAGCTGGAGATGGGGGTTAGGGGGAGGAGGGTGCCTGGTCTGGGGCCAGGATCTGTGAGCTCCACCACTGGCTCATTGTGAAACACCAGTAAGTCATGGCCCCTCTCTGAGCCTGTTTCCCCACCTAGAAAGGAAGCTCACCTTCCACCCTGATGATCTACATACCCAATTGCCCTCTGCGCCCCTCAACACCCTCCAAACCACCACCACCATCTCCCTTCCTGTAGGAATGTCAGCAAGAGAGGGAAGCAAGAATCTGCACAGAGAGGAGACGGAGGGGTGGATAAGATGACCTCTAAAAGGGCCCTTTCCTCTTGGGGCTTCTCCCCAGTAGAAGTGGGTGTGCCTTGAGGGGAGCTCCATCATCACCCTTTCTCCAGGAAGACCGAGGACAGTGGCCAGAGCTCTTTTGAGAAGAGACTAAGGAGCAGGAGGCAGGGGATGGGTAACTTTCTTCTGGAGGCAGGGGATGGGTAACTTTCTTCTTTGTAGTTTTTTCCCCCACTTTTCTACAACAGACATGTGTCACACACTACTTGCAATGGGTGGAGGAGGGAGTGTGTTGGGAGGGCAAATGCTCTTGGGGAAGGTTAATGTATCAAGCACACCCCCTTTCCCACCCTTAAGCCAGCATTTCCCTAACTATGTTGTGGCAAACGGGCTCAAATAAGCACAGGAAACCTGAGTTAAACACAGTCTAACAGGTTTTCTTGACTGCAGGACTTCTCTGAGCCTCTAACATGCTAATCTGGGCTACAACCCTCAGAGACGAGGGACGAGACAAGGAAACGCATTTAATCTCAGAGCTCTTTATAGGGGAGCATCTCAAGATGCACTTACTAGGCACTGCTGGAACTCAGAGTCCGGTGGCACGCCAGGCCCACACCCCATTGGTGAAGAGCCTCCATGGAGGAGAGACAGCCTAGGCCCCGGAGGACACCAAGGGCAGATGCCCTAGGCAGCTACCTCCCACTGCGTGAGTCCAATCCCAATCCTTCTCCCCAGAACTGGTCCAAGACCTGTATCCCAGTTACGAAGGCAGGTAGTAATGTGGGAGGGCCCATGGGTGGCCCTGCCGCTTCCCTGAAGTTACTTAGATCTGCAGTGACCCCTGCTGGCTCTAGCCAAAATCACCCCTCCCCTTACTCCTCACCTTCCTCCTTGCCAATCCCTGGCCCTCCAGCCTCTTCCTCATTAGCCTTGACGCAGCCCCATCAGGACCCACCGTGACCACACCCAAACACCAGATCCTTTATGCTTTCCTTCATGCCTGGGGTTGGAATCTGGCCAGGCTTTGACTGAGCAACATGTTAGTGAGTTCTGAGGCCTGTGCTGGGGAGGCCCTGATGGCATGAGGAAGAGGGCTCCGAGGACAGCCTGACCCCTTATCAAGGGCACAGTCACCCGCATGGAAGTTCAAGACCACTATCATAACAGCAAACATTCATTGGCTTTTTCAGGAACAGAGCTGAATCCTTTATGTCGAGTATTCCATTTAATTCTCATAAGAATTCTACAGGCACTGTTCCTGCATTGATCCAGTTTTCCAATGAGAAACTGAGGCTCAGAAGTTTAAAAATTACCAAATGGCAAAACTCAGATTCAAATCTGGATTTCTGGATTTGAGCCCACCCGTTCCTTCCCCGTGCTATTTTGCTCTTCTTGCTTCTGCCCACCCCTCAATCCACCTACAGTGTTCAAGTGTAGTTTTTTCTGCCCAGTGCCCGTGGTTTTGGGGAAGATGACTCAAGTGGACTTGCCTCATGTCCTCCAAGCATGGCCTTGTGAGCAGACCTAGCCAGTCATTATACCCTTCCCCCTAGTCAACGGGAACACAGATTGGGTTTTCATCCCCCGGAACCCATTCTTTCTTCTGATAAATAGCCTCTTGATTTCCTCTGGGCAGTCCCTACACTCTCAGTAAAAGTGGCTTGGATGGAAATGACTCCATCTCCCTGTCTCCGTGGGAAGATTCAGACCACTCAAGCACAGAAAAAAAAAAAAAAAAAAAAAAAAGTCCTATCCATAGTGATTGGTTCAGGAAGGACATATGACCAAACCAGGCCCATCAGAGTCAATCCTGGAATTTTACTGGAGCCACTGGGAAGAAGAATGGCTTTCTGCTCTCTCCGAAGTTACTAAATGGGTACGTATATTCCAAGAGTTTCCAGGAGTACTGCCTAAGGAGAACATGCGCGAGAAGGAAGCCCACACAGAGGAGAGCAGAGACCAAGCCCTGCAGACATTGTCCGGGCTGTGCCAAAGACAGACTCACCCCTGGACTCTTCAGTGATATAAGCCAATAAATTACTTTTTTGTTGTTGTTTTTGTCTTAAGCAAGTATGAGTTGGGTTCCTGTCCTTTGAAACAAAGATCTATCGAAGCCTCCCCCCATTATTCCTCATTGTTAACAGCTGTGTTTCCTTCTTGCCTTTTTCTCCCATGCTTACACAGACATACTGGACACTTTCTAAATAAAAATTGACGCCACTGGCTACTCCTTTCTTCAAGATATACTCTTTCGCTTATTTTTGTAAAGCCTAGCTCCCGGTTTTCGGCTCTCTTCCTGCCCCTCTGAAGTCCTGTCCATCTTATTTTCCTTCACTGGCTCCTCTCTGTTTGCGAGTAACAGAAACCACCTCTGGCACTTATAAGAAAAAATAAAAAACAAAAGAATTAACTGGAAAAATATTAAGGAGCTAGGTCAGAGAATCGACTGGGAGTCTGGAGTACCTAACTTGGAAACCAGACAGAAGTGACTTGGCTGAACTCCAAAGGCCCCTTCCATCCTAGTGTCAGGATGCTCAAGATGCCCAGACCCAAGAGTCTGACCAGCTGAGTTTAGGTCAGATGGCCGCCCCTCGGCTGCTCCATGGAGGTGAAAGGGAGGGCCTGGTGCAATGAGTCTCCAGGGATCCTTCCAACTCTAGAGTAGGAAAGCAGATCATTTGTTTTTTCACCCCACAAGATGGAGAAGAGACAATGCCCCAAAAGGAAAACTCAAAATGAGGGTGAACATGTTCCCAGCATTCTCAAGGTTGTGCCCTAGGCTTTTTCTCTTCTCTCCACTGCTCCCTGGGCCTTCTCATTCCTCTCTTTGATGGCTGCAGCTGCCACCAATATGCCTACAATGCCCAGGATAGACCTCTACCCCAGACCTGTCTCTTGAGTCCAGACCCATATATCCATGAGCCTCTCTACACAGATGGCTCACAGCCCCTTCAACTCAATGCGTTCAAACTTAACTCTTCCTGGTCAGCAAACCTGCTCCTTCTTTGAGGTCCCTTAGCTTAGCAAATGCAACCACCAGACACTCCACTGATCACAGCAGAACCTGGGATCCTTGAGTCATTCTTAATGTCCCTCACCCTAGCAGTCTCAACTCTAGTACTCCCATCTTCACCTGAATAGTTCCTTGTGGCATAAATGTCTAGCCATCTCCCTTTCTTCTTTAGTGATAGGCCCATGGCTGCCCAAAATAAAGACAAATTCCCTGGCATCCTTTGCAGCTAGGAGAATCATGTGACTGAGCTCTGGCCAAAAGTCTGTGAGTAGAAATGGTGTGTCACCTACAAAGATGTGTTCTTAAAGGCAGGAGCATATCATTTCCTTCTCTCTCACCTTTTTCCTTCCTGCTGACTGGACTATGAACATAATGGCTGGAGCTGGAAAAGCCATTCTGGACTGAGATGTGAGAATGTGAGAATGGTGGAGCCACGGATTTAGCTAGAGGGAGCCTGGCACCTGTGATGACTATGGAGATTCTCCATCACCCCTGGACCACCCAGCTCTGGGCTTCACTTATGGAAGAAAATTAAACTTCTGTCTTGTTTAAACCACTCTTATTTTGGGGGTTTTCTGTCACTTACAGCTGAAGCTAATCCTGACACATTGCTCTCATCCCTGTAAACTTCAGCTTAAATGTCACTTCCTCCGAGAAGTCTTCCTGGATCACACAGATTCAGGCAGGTCCAGTTGTGATAAAATGTCATAGCATAGAAACTTATCCTGTGCTTCCCTTCACCGCTTCTCAGATTTGTATTGAAATCTTTTTTTTTTTTTTTTTCTGAGACAGAGTTTTGCTCTGTCACACAGGCTGGAGTGCAATGGCGCGATCTTGGCTCACTGCAACCTCTGCCTCCTGGGTTCAAATGATTCTCCTGCCTCAGCCTCCCTAGTAGCTGGGACTACAGGCACACGCCACCACACCTGGCTAATTTTTTGCATTTTTAGTAGAGATGGGGTTTCACCATGTTGGCCAGCCTGGTCTCGAACTCCTGACTTCGTGATCCGCCTGCCTCAGCCTCCCAAAGTGCTGAGATTACAGGCGTGAGCCACCGCGCCCAGCCTGAAATCATTTTTCATATAAAAATAGGTTTATTATCTTTCTCTCCAATGGAACACAATTTCCAAGAGGGCAGGAACTGAGGCTGCCTTTTTACTGCTGAAGTCCCAGTGTCTGGAATATGGCAGTCATTCAATAAACCTTGTTGGTGAATGAATGGATGAACTTAATATTTTAGATGAGATTATCCCCCATTTCACAGGTCAAGTTACTACAGTCACTTTTCGTAAGACATGAACCCAACCAGACCTACCACCTCAGACTCACCAGCTTCTGTAAGTGAGCCTCACTCCCCACATGGAAATTTGTCCTCCGCTACCTTCATCTCAGCTCTGTGGCTCTGTGCTCCTCTTTTTCTTAAAATTCTGGGATCATCTATTACCAAACTCAAGTTGGCCTTAACAGACTCTAGGGTTCCAGCTCAGCAAACAGGCTATTGTCCTGCTTGAAGTCACCTCCAGCAAGGGGAAAGATAGTACCCCATCCTCTTTCCACTCAAGCAGCCTAGGTAGTCATCATCAAAAAGGATCTCAGGACCAGGCGCACTCCTCCCAGGGCCTGCTGGCTCCAGCTCCCACTCTTGCTGCCTGCTCTGGTGCCCCCAGAACTTCCCTGGCCTTTGGGCCCTGAAGAATCCCTCCCCTGCCCTCTGCGCTCTGCCTTTGATGATCCTCCAAGTGGTGAAGCGTGGAGGGCAGGGAATGTGGGATGGGTTAGGGTTAATTCCCACTAGGCTGTGAGCACCTGAGGGCAGGAATCAAGCTTTTTCCATCCCTGTCTTCCTACACCTGGCACAGTGCCTGGCACATAGTAGGCTCAGAAAATGTGGCTGGATAAAAAGCAAGGCCATCTAAGGTATGGCTAGGAGAGGAAGAAAGGGCTGCATGGGGTGAGGAGGATAATCAGAGATGCTTGCTGCCCACTGGGTGCTCTGAAAGGAGGGTAAGGATCTGCCTACTCCTATCACCACTTGTGCGGGGAGGGGCCCAGTCAGGAGATGCCGGAGGAGTCCGGGGTTGGTGGGAACTGGATCCCGGCAGACCCTCTCCCCGCCCCACTGCCAGGCAGGGATCTGTGGGTGGGTGAGCATGTTTGGCTATTGTCTCTGATCTGTGCTCCTGCCGCTCCTCTTGATGGAGCACAGTCAAAGAGGTGGCTGCCATGGGGCCATGTGAGAGCTGTCCGGACACCCAGGGGTCCTCCAGGCCATTGGGTTCCACCCTCCAACTCCCATCTCCCCACCATTCCCAGGGCCCAGGCTGGCCCCACAAACAGGAACAGCTCCAAGCTGGGGTAGTTCAGCTCCAGATATCAGGCCGGGAGGGCTTTCAGGGATCCCTGGATGAGTCCAATGCTGGCACAGTGGGCAGATGGGGAAACTGAGGCTGGAGAGAGCAAGAATTTGCCCTCAGCCACAGAGCAAGGTTAGAGGCACAAGGACCCAAGGCTCCTGGCTCCCATTTCTGTGCTGTTTGCCATACCAGGTAGGGACCCTGGAGAAGAAGGGGTGGGTAGGTTTGGAGTGGGAACTCAAAAAATCCACCCCACTCCACCCCAGAGTAAAGAGCATGAGCTCTGAAGCCAGAAGAGCTGGACACAAATTCTAGCTCCACCTTCCATCATTCTAACCTTCAGCAAATGTCTTTAGCTGTCTGCGCCTCCGTTTCCTTAACTGTGAAATACATATAACAGTAATTGTAATAACCTCATAGTGATATTGGGAGGACTAAATGAGTGGACACATATAAAGTGCCTGGACAGGGCTCCATATGCAGTAAATGCTCAGTGAACACTAGCTGTCACTATCTTATGGTCCTCAAAAGGTCTCCGTGTCCTGTCGAAGTCCAAAGTCTTTCCTAAGCCAGCAAAAGGCCTTCCCCCAGGAATGATTGTAGTGAGAGGTGGCTCAGCCACAGCCATTTCCCAGGATGTGGGTGGAAGCCGGGGCCCTTCCCCAGTGCTCTCACTGACTCCACCCTCCGATCTCCTGTCTCAGGGACTCAGTGGCCGCTTGGCCCCTCCAGTCGCCAGCCTGTCTGCCGGGCTCTCACGCCTGATGCAGAGATAAACACATCCCACGATAGTATTGTTTCCCATTTCCCACAGCTCTCAAGTGAGATCTTAGAGGGTGGGATTAGCTGGGCATTTGGGCAGTTTCAGGGCTTGGAAGGGTTGAGAGAGGCTGTTCCCAGAGCTGGCCGGTCCCCAGTCTCTAAAGGCAGTGGAGGTGGCCAGGTGTGCAGGGAAGAGGTGAGGGGAGCGGCTGGGGCCCGAGTCTCTGGAACATTCTGCCACCATCTCCCTACACCACACACAGGCATATTGAGTCTAACAAGGAGGAAGTGTGGAGAAATAGTACGCCCTTCTCCACAGTCAATTCTCTCCCTACACCCAGATCAGAGCCTCTGGCCCCTGTATTCCCTCAGGTGGCTGATCCAACTATCAAGATGTCACCAGGGAATGGGAAACCCAGAGCCCTTGGCAGAGAGAGCCTGCAGCGCCCAGAACCCAGGCCCGGGGCAAGCTGGGCAGGCCGGAGGGAGGGCAGTCTGGGGAGATGGAGTGTCCAGGCTCGTGCTTACTTCATCGTTATGATCGTTATGGGTAGAGTCAGCCAGGGGAGAGAGGCCTTCCTCTCCCAGCCAGGGCGCGCCCCTCCTTTCCACCCCACTCCCCAGTACTCCCAGTACAGCCACTCTCATGACCTCACTGCTACGGCCAGGCCAGGCCAGGCAGGTGGCCACGAGCCAGGGACCCGCCAAAATCCACATCCCCCAGAGACCATCGTGAGCCAGGCAGGGGCAGGATGTGTTGCTAGAATAGCCTCCACCCACCCAAACCAACGCCCGCGAAGACAGCCTGTCCTACCAAGTGTTTACTCCAGCCAGGCAGACTCACCTCCCTCTCAACAAGGCTGAACCTAGGGCAGTCCTTCACTATGGACCCTGTCTGTCAGCCAGACACATCCCACCTCCTCCTCCTCCCCTGCTAAATCCTGCTCGGCTGTCCTGTCCTTCCCTGAGTGACTTACCGGCCTCTCACCTCTCCACCATTTTGCAGTGATGGTAGTGGGGGTAGAGGGGTTGTGATGGAGATGGTGACATGGACACAGAAGTACTGGTCGTGACAGCCATTATAGCAGTTTCAGGGTGGTGATGGTAACAGTGAAGGGGATGATGGTGAAGGTGATGGCGGTGGTGATGGAGGTGGCAATGATGGAGACAGCGATGGTGGTGGAGGGAGTGATGTGATTGTCATAGTGGGAATGAGGTGAGTAGGGATGCCTCCCTCTGTAGGGTACAGGACCATGAAGAAACCGTTGGCCATGTCACTGAGGCCTACAGGAACATCGTGGTGAGTCGAGATTTTCTAGGGCATCCAGCACAGCAGGCCCCCAGAGCAGTAATGGCCTCTTCCCCTGTTTCCCAGTAGAGCATCATTATGTTCCCCTCTCAGACTCCTGGAGACCCCTCCAACTTGAAAGCAAGTGTCATCTGCCCTGGAATCTACTGGGGCCACCCTTGAAAGAAGGTGGACAGAGGCCAGGCTTGGGAGACAGAGGATCCTGGGTTGGAATCCTAACTAAATGGAGTTCACTTGGGTCTGAACCTCACTGTAAAATGGAAACCATAATTCTCTGTGGCAGGGTCATTGTGAGGATAGAGATAAATATCTTTAAAAGTGCCTGGCACAGAATAGTGGCAAGATAAATGGTCAATATTTTGTATCCTGTTTTCCAAGGCTTTCTTATGAAGCCTCCACCTACCCACTCCCCCCACCCCAACCCTCCTCCATATGCCTCCCTGTCTTCATTTTCTAGAGCTGCCGAAACAAATGACCACAAACTTGGTGGCTTAGAACAACAGAAATTTATTTTCTCACAGTTCTGGAGGCCAGAAGTCTGAAATTGAGATGCCAGCAGGGCCAAGTTCCTGTCCAGCTTCTGGTGGCTCAAAGCATTCCTTGGCTGTGGGCTCCAGTCTCTGACACCACCTTCACATGCGTCTTCACACGGCTGTCCCCACCACGTCTCTCAGTGTTTTTACTTGTTTCTTAGGAGGACGCTTTCACTGGATTTGGGGCCCACACTAATCCAGCGTGATCGCATCTCAATCCTCACCTTCATTACCTCTGCAAAGATCCTATCTCCAAATAAGGTCCCATGCTCAGGTTCCAGGTGGGCATAAACTTTGGGGGTCTCTATTCAATCCACTACATTCCCCAACCTCAGAGTGAGCCAAGCTTAATTCCCCAGACTCCCTATTACCTGGCACAGCCATGGTCCCTGCCCAAGCCTGCTTCCAGACCCCCACCCCTCTGCCCCTGCATGTCCCAGGTCCCGTGGCCCTGCGCCTGGGCTCCCCAGTGCCATGCGTGCATGCCTATGTGCATGTGCACAGATTCCCCCTTCACTTGGCGGTGAGAAAGGGGGATTCTAGGCTTCAGCAGGAGCCTACAGGGGCCTCTCTGCTCGGAAATGCTTCTTCCTCTCCCCCTGGCAGCTGTTTGGCTTGGCGGGGGCCCATCTGGCAGGCTCAGCAGCCAAGGAGCCCTAGGGGGCAGTGGGAGGGAATGGTGAGGGGCAGGCAGCTCCGTAGTCCTCAGGCCCAGGCCCTGGGAGCTGGGCCAATGGCGGGCCTCCCTGCTGGCTGGCTCCAGCCCCTTCGCTCTTGGTTCTCCTCCTCCCTGGTCTCCCGTCCTCCCCATCCTGTAAAGGGGAATTCTGGAGACCCTCCACCACCCTGCACTAGCCAAGGAGAAGACGTGCAGAAGAGGAGCAGCAACTGGCAAAGCAAGAAACACACCCAGGGAAAGGGCAGTCAGTGGCTCCTGAGGATCCGCTCATGGGGGCTCTGGATACTCTTTGAGGGCACCCTAGGACAACCTGGACTTCTCCCAACCTCTGATATTCTGTCCTCTGCTCCTTCCATGTTCCTGAAATTTCCTGTCCCTGGTGTCCCCTCCAGGGCACTTGCCTTCTTCCAGGGCCCCTCTGAACCCCCAAGCTGTTGCCTACTTTTCTGGGTCAGGCCTCTCTTCAGTAAGCAGGACAGAAAATGATGCCCTCAGCCCCTAGCAGGTCCTACAACCTCTTTCTACTGATGGGAAAATGTAAAACACATGCGCACACACGCACACACACACACACACACACACAGGGAGGGGCACAGGATAATGAGCCTGGGCTTTAGGGTTCATTTGGCCTGGGTTCAAGTTGCAACCCTGCACTTGACACCTGTGTGATCCTGGACAGGTAACTTAGCCTCTCTGAGCCTTGATATAGCCTCATAAAAGTAAGACTACTCATAGCTAACTTCCAGGGTTGCAAGGATAAAATTGCATAGCCTCTGAAATAAGGTAGGTATTCTCTAAATGACAACAACTTCCTATGTGCCAGGCACTGCATTAAGCACTTTGCATAGATTATCTCATTTAATACTAATAATAACTTTATGAAATAGAAACTATTTCATGGCTAAGGAAGCTGAGCAGTTTGCTTTGGGTCCCAGAACTGGTTGAGAGATTGAGCTGAGATTTGATTCTAAGCGCTGTGAATCCAAACCCTGCACTCGAAACTACCATGCTCTGTTGCCTATGCTACTGGCAGTGTAGACATGGTAGATGGTGTTAGTATTAATACCACAGAGAGCAGCTGGGCTGCAGGGGTTTTCCCGGGGCCCCTGCAGGTGCAGCTTGGAGGTCAACCTTACCCTGCACACAGATTTGCATGCAGCTTGAAAGTCGGGATCTGCCTGGCTGCCTTAGTAATTCTGGAGTCCTGGACACGAGGGCCAACCCATCCCAGTCACAGGAGACCACTGAAACTGAAGCTCCCAAGGCTCTCGTGCCTTGGCACATCTGGAAGCTATTAGCCTCCTTTCTACCACCTACCCCCTCAACCCCGCCCCCCAGCCAGCTGTTCACAGTGGCTAATTCTGGGAAGTGCCCCTCAGCCAGTGGCTGCCTGCAGGGGAGCGGGGAGGGGGGTTCCTCACCAACACATCCATGGGGTGGAGGGGAGGTGGGCAGGCAGCAGAGGGTTAATCTGAGTAACTACAGCTGCTGGTCTCCTCCCCCAACCCACAGATAGATAGCCAGTGGGGTTACTCCTGGTTGAGTAATGAGGAGGGAAGAGAGCGGGAGGAGGCAGGGGTGAGTGTGGAGGGAGACCAAGGAGCAGAGACTGAGAAAATGTTTCTGCTGGCAAAGATCTTTAAAAGGTCATCTGATATTGTCCATCCCCCTGTTTCCTGGGGGTCACGGTGACCTCATGGTGTAGTGGAAAGAGGGCAGTCTTTGTAGTTGAGCAAAGCTGGGTCACAATCCTGACTCCGTCGCTGTCAGTCTGTACAACCTTGAGCAAGGTCCTTACCCTCTCCAGGCCTAAGCAGCCTCATTTGTGCAATGGGAGAACAGCACCCCTCTGGCAAGGCTGCCAAGAGAGTTCTGGGAGATACAGTCTGGTCCATGCCCAAAAACATTCGCTCCCTCATCTCTAAGAGCGGCAAGAAGCTTCGAGAGAGGTCTTCCCTTGGTTCCACTACCTGCCTCACTTTCTGGGATCTCACCGTCTAGATCCTGAATCCAGCACACCCATCTTACTGTGAGGCCTGCCGTCAAAGCCATGCCCTGCCTAGAGACTTGACTTGCCCTCCTCTCTGCCCAGCGCTGCCCTCCTCACTTTCTAAACTTGCTGAAGACCCCCACCGCCGGCACTGACAGCTCCCACTGGCTCCAATTGTCCCAAACCTCCCTCCACCCCGTAGTACCTGTGTCATTCAGGAGGTTATCTGACATCTCTGAACTCAGTTATCCTGGGGGTTAAATGTCGCTGCTGCAAAAATGCCTCCTTATATACTACTGCGCGTAATCTTCATAGCAATTCTTGAAAATAAGATCTAACCACAATTTTGTATATCGAGAGGGAAGAACAGATGCTAACTTTTTTTTTGTTTTTCAGATTTGAGACAGGATGTCACTCTGTCACCAAGGCTGGAGTGCAGTGGTGCAATCTGCTCACTGCATGCAAACTTCACCTCCTGGGCTCAAACAATCCTCCCATCTCAGCCTCCCAAGTAGCTGGGATTACAGGTGCATGCCACCACACCTGACTTTTTTTTTTTTTTTTTTTTGAGGTGAAGTTTCATTCTTGTTGCCTAGGCTGGAGTGCTGGGGTATAATCTTGGCTCACTGCAACCTCCGCCTCCCGGGTTCAAGTGATTCTCCTGCCTCAGCCTCCCGAATAGCTGGGATTGCAGGCACCCACCACCACATCCAGCTAATTTTTTTTTTTTTTTTTTTGAGACGGAGTCTCGCTCTGTCGCCCAGGCCAGACTGCGGACTGCAGTGGCGCAATCTCGGCTCACTGCAAGCTCCGCTTCCCAGGTTCACGCCATTCTCCTGCCTCAGCCTCCGAGTAGCTGGGACTACAGGCGCCCGCCACCGCGCCCAGCTAATTTTTTGTATTTTTAGTAGAGACGGGGTTTCACCTTGTTAGCCAGGATGGTCTCGATCTCCTGACCTCATGATCCACCCGCCTCGGCCTCCCAAAGTGCTGGGATTACAGGCGTGAGCCACCGCGCCCGGCCAATTTTTGTATTTTTAGTAGAGATGGGGTTCCACCACGTTGGCCAGGCTGGTCTTGAACTCCTGACCTCAGGTGATCCACCCACCCCAACCTCCCAAAGTGCTGGGATTATAGGCGTGAGCCATGGCACCTGGCCGATGCTAACATTTATTAAAGACTTGCTGCACACCAAGCCATGGACTGGGCCTGAGAGAAAAGCTGAGGAAATCCTGGATTTTCCCCTTAGAAGACTTTAATACTTGAAGAATTTTAATAAATGAAGAACTGGTTAGTATCTCCTACTGGTGCTACTGCGCAAAGGGCCTGTGTCCCCAGGCAACCAGACAGCCTCCCCCTCATTATCCTGGCTGGGACACAGAGAACAGCTGCTGAGCCCTAACCCAAGGGGCTGTTCCGTCACCTGCAATTGGGTGGCCCCTACACCCCCTTTCACAAGTCATTCCCCTTCCTGTTGCCCGACAAGCTCTAGTCCCTCTGGAGCAATGAAATCACATCCCACATGCTCCTAGCCTCCATTCTTAGCTTTTCCTCGAATCCACACCCGCTTAACCCATTTGATGACTGATCTGCAGGAGCCAATCCAGGTTAGTTCTTTGCCGTTATTTAACCACTGTTCACTGAGTGCTTCTTCCGTGCTAGGCACTGTCTACTATCTCTTTTGTTTGTTTGTTTGTTTTTGTTGTTGTTTTTTGTTTTTTTGAGACAGAGTCTTGCTCTGTCACCCAGGCTGGGGCGCAACGGTGCAATCTCAGCTCACTACAGCCTCCACCTCCCAGTTTCAAGTGATCCTCCTGCCTCAGCCCCCTGAGTAGCTGGGATTACAGGCGTGTGCCACAATGCCCAGCTAATTTTTGTATTTGTAGTAGAGATGGGATTTCGCCATGTTGGTCAGGCTGGTCTCAAACTTCTGACCTCAGGTGATCTGCCTGCCTCAGCCTCCCAAAGTGCTGGGACTACAGGCATGAGCCACCTGTCCAGCCTCTACTATCTCATTGAACACTATACACACACACAAACACACACACACACACACACACACACACACACACACAGAGTAACCCCAAAATGAGTATTATTATGTCAATCTTACAAATGAGGACACCAAGCCTCAGAAGCAGTCCCACCCCAAATCCTGCCCAGTCCTAGTCCATGGGAACAGCACCCACCTGCCTTGGGAAGGGCACAGCAGCAGCCCTGCTCAAGTGGTAAGTTCACCCAGATCAAAGGATTCCAGACTTGAATAGTCAGCCATCTAGGCATCAGCCCACCAGCCCATCTCAGACTCAACATGGCCAAAACCAAACCTCTGATCTTTTCCTTCAAACGTGCTTCATCCACAGCTTCCCTATCTCCACTAATAGCAACTCTATCCTTCCAACAGCTCGGGCCAGCAATCTTGGATCCACCTTTGACACCTCTCCCTCTCACCTTCAACCATCAAGAAATCTTGTTGGCTCGACCCTTGAAATATATTCAGGACCCACCACTCCCAGCCACCTCCACCGCTTGCACCAAGCTCCCAGCCCCTCTCTCCTGGACTACTTCAGTCTTCCTGCAGGTTTCCCTCCTGCCCTGGGACCCTACAGTCTACTCTCCACTTAGTAACCAGAGTTCTATTTGACTCTTTTTAAGCCAACCACATCCCTCCTCTGCCCAACCCACCCCAGTGACTCCCTTCCCACTCACAGGAAAAGCCAGGACCTCACAATGGCCTTCAGAACCACACCATCTGACCTCAGCCCCCTTCCTCTCCACCCCCTACTCTCCTCGGTCCCTCTGCTCCAGCCACACTGGCCTCAAACCCTCAAGGCACGCTCCTGCCTCACGGCCTTTGCTCCAGCTGTTTTCTTTGCCTTGAACGCTCTTCCCCCAAATATCATCATGGCTCACTCCCTCATATCCCTTTAGCTTTTGATCCTAAATCTCTCTACCCTTACCAAACTATTTATTTCTGTAACCACACTTCCCTTGACACTCTGTCTTCTCTCCTTATCTTAGTCAACTCTTATTTTCCAAAGCCTTTATCAGCCTCTAATATGCCCTATAATTTACTTATTTTTATGCGTTCCTCTTTATCTCCTCTCTCACCCACTAGAATGTCAAATCTATGTGGGCAGGCAAATCTGTGTTGTTCATTGTGGTATCCCAAATACCTGGAATTATGCTTGACACATAGTAGGTGTTTAATAAACATTTTTTGAAAGAATGAGGCAACTGAGCTGGTATGTATCCTGAGGATGCATTTGGGAAAGCACAAGTGAATTTGTTCTTTCACTAAACATTTTTGGAGGGCTCTCTTCTGTGTCAGGCCCTGTACTGAGCCCAGAAGAATGATTAGGAGTAGATGTGGTCCCTTCTCCCGAGACTCGTCAGCCAAAAGAAGACACAAGCACCACCTCCAGCAAGGGATGAGGGGCCAGCCAACTTAATGCAGTCATCATTGAGCACACAGCATATGGGAGGCCCCTTGCTGAGAGATCATTTTTGCCTTGCCCTTAAAATGGTTTCATATTTGAAAACGCCTTCACAGCCATATCTCCTGGGACCCTCACCATCACCTCGCAGACATTAGTCTCCCTGCCTTCCTCCTCCTTTCCTTCCACCCTCCCTTCCTCCCTCCCTCCATTTCTTCTCTCCTTTCTTCTTTTCTTTCAGAAAACTTACTGGACACCCGCTCCATTCACAGCCCAGCAAGGTGGAGGTTATAAGGTACCAATATGGCCGGGTGAGATGGCTCATGCCTGTGATCCCAGCACTTTGGGAGGCCAAGGCAGGCAGATCACCTGAGGTCAGGAGTTTGAGACCAGCCTGGCCAACATGGTGAAACCCTGTCTCTACTAAATATACAAAAATTAGCCGGGCATGGTGGTGGGTACTTGTAATCCCAGCTACTTGGGAGGCTGGGGCGGGAGAGTCATTTAGAACCTGGGAGGCGGGGGTTGCAGTGAGCCAAGATCACACCACTGCACTCCAGCCTGGGCAACAAAAGTGAAACTCCATCTCAAAAAAAAAAAAAAAAGGTACCAATGTGGTTCCAGAGTCCAAGGGGATTAAAAACTGCAGCCTTGATTTCAATAACAAAACCAAGCTGTTAGATAAGGAACAGAGCGAGCTTTAGGCCCAGAGAGCAGGCAGGCTGAGTCAAAGATACAGGGAGCTCTTGTGGAGAAAGTACGGAGATCTGAGCCAGACCTTTTTTTTTTTTTTAAGGGAATTTTCAGATATTCCAAGGTAGAAAAGAGGAAGGAAAAGGGCGCCAGGTGGAAGGACCGGCTTGAACAAAGGCTTGGAGAGAATGAACCCAGCATGAAGGGCACCAATCTTGTTGGAACAGGAAGGTCATTTGAAGGGTGATGGGATGCAAGGAGCACCTGCAAGTGACAAGTGTGAAGGTCAACAGCTGGACCTCGCAGCTGTACTGGCCACAGGGACAACAGGCAGTGTAGCAAGCACTGGCTCTGGACTCACATAGACCTGGGTTCAAATCCTGGCCAAGTCTTTTGGGCCAGTCACTTTCTCTTGGCCTTGGATTTCTCACCTCTAAAAGAGTGAAAATAATCCCCAGCTCACAGAGTGTTTAGAGGATTAAATGAGATGATATATATGAAAAGCTCTTGCATCGTACCTCATAGACATTCTTTTCCTAATGTTTACTGATTCTGAGAAAATGAAGGCAGTGGGTGTGAACCACTCATTCAAGTGGTTTAGTCACGGAAGGAGGGAAACATATTGCACAATGTCCAGAAAGTGCAGACCAGGGTCAAGGGAGGCTCTTTCTAAGTTGAGGAGACCTGTGGGTGTTTGAAAGCTGAGCAGAATGGGTGCTGCCAAAAGATGGGCTGGTAAGGAAAACGCTCTAAAACGGATTGTGTGGCAGTTGCACAAGTCTGTGAATACACTGAAACCACTGAATTGTACACTTTCAGTGGGTGAGTTGGGAGATATGTGAATTATATCTCAATAAAGCTGTTTAAAACTAAAAAAGACAGGCTGGATAAACTACAAGTTCCTTTGGGAGTCAGGAAGGAGAGGGGGAAGAGGGGAAGGAGGGGGAGGAGGGGGAGGAGGGAGACTTGGGTGAGGGCCAGACAGAGAATAGAGGATGATGTAGCTTTCATCCAAGACACAGAATGGTAGGCTGGTGGCCTCACTCATTGGTCCCACAAACTTGATGGGTGCCTACTGCATGCCAGGCCCTGTGCCAAAAGGACTGAGATGACCTAGAATTGCCCACAGCCCCCAGGCCAGCCCAATATGAGCAGAGCCATGCAGAGCTATGGGCAGTAAAGAGTGTGGGAAGTGGCCACGCACAGTGGTAATCCCAGCACTTTGGGAGGCCGAGGTGGGCAGATCACCTGAGGTCAGGAGTTCAAGACCAGCTTGGCCAAAATGAAAAAACCTCATCTCTACAAAAATACAAATATTAGCAGGGTGTGGTAGTGCATGCCTATAGTCCCAGCTGCTCAGGAGGCTGAGGCAGGAGAATCGCTTGAACCTGGGAGGCAGAAATTGCAGTAAGCCGAGATCACACCACTGCACTCCAGCCTCGGCCACAGAGCAAGACTCTGTGTCAAAAAATAAATAAATAAATAAATAAATAAATAAAGCAGGCATGGTGGCTCACGCCTGTAATCCCAGCACTTTGGGAGGCCGAGGCGGGTGGATCTCCTGAGGTCAGGAGTTTGAGACCAGCCTGGCCAACATGATGAAACCCTGTCTCTACTAAAAATACAAAATTTAGCTGGGCATGGTGGCGGGCACCTGTAATCCCAGCTACTCGGGAGGCTGAGGCAGGAGAACCATTTGAACCCGGGAGGCAGAGGTTGCAGTGAGCCAAGATCGCGCCATTGCACTCCAGCCTGTGGGACAAGAGCAAGACTCCGTCTCAAAATAAATAAATAAATAAAGTCTGGTGAGCGCCCAGGCAGGAAGGGAGGAGCTGCCACCCTGCTCCATCCCTGGGTCTTTACCTGTGCAGTGGGTGTGGCCTCTGGGTCTGAGACAGACCCACGGGGTGATCAGACCTGCAGCAAGAGTAGTTGAAAGTGCCCCATCCTTGGATGAGGTCAGAAAGTCCTGAAGCCATCACTACCAAGTCTCTATCATTACACCTCAGCAGGAGATGCTGAGAGCATTTATGGAGTCCTCATTGTGTACACAGTTCTACCCTGCATGTGGTTTCTTTGTGTTTCTTGAGTAAATGCTCTCCCTGCTGCCCCAAAAACACTGTGGGTGGGCCCTGCTTATCTGGTAAAGTGATGCTGCTGATGACAGGTGGGGAGAGAGGAACTAATGGGCCTGGAGACAGGGCAAGGAGCCAGTTCAGGCCACAGAAACACCACCGAGGGGACAAACCACAGTTGGAGAGAGTATTAAGAGAGTCAACATCAGGGGGCTGCAAGACACATCCCAGACCCACCTGTAATATCAGAGGGTCTGCCTGTCTGCAGGCACCAGGCTGCCCCACCACTCTTCTGGCGGAATCACAGCCATTCTCTTCATCCCCAGAGCCACACCCCTGCTGACTCCTGCCCCTGCCTCGCTGTGGCCCCTCCGAGCCCATCAGGCAAACTGAGGCAGTGTGTTGGAGGGAGGACCTAAAGGGTTTCTGGGTTCTAGCCCTGGCTCTGCCACCAATGAGCTGAGTGACATCCCCCTGGGCTCAGTCTCCTCAGCAGTGTAGAGAGGTGGAATGCGTGAAGGGTAAGAGCATAGGCCCCAGACAAGCTCCTGGGGTTTCAGTCCCAGCGCTTTGCGTACCGGCTTTGTGAACCTGGCTGTATCTTCTTTGCATCTCGGTTTCTTCAAATAGTGTGAGGATTAAATGAGTTAATAGATAAAAAGCACTTGGAATGCTACAGAGCATGCAAGGCTCAATAAATTTTAACTCTGTATTATTATGACTCTAAGGAGGAGTACTCAGTGGTCTCTGAGGCCCCTTCCGGCTGTGGCATTCTATGACCTTGAATTCTGCCTGTACTATTATCTTTGTCTGAATTTCTAATTAGGCACCACATGTTGCCATTATTTGAGCAACCCGGGCATCTCCAATCTGGATGACTTCTTGACCTTGGGCCTCCTTGACTTACCCTTTCCTGTAACACCCAGTAGGAAGGCTGGTGCCCCCACCCATAGACTGTGGAAGGTGCCAAGCCCTTCTCAGCGCTTCTGAGGGCTAAACCTGGGGGTTCTCCCAAGCCTTTCCTCACGGAAGCCCTCTGCTTTATGGCAATCTGCCCCTAAGCCCACATCTATGCGTCAGACTTTCCTGAAGGTTCACTGTATGGTGGGAAACCGCAGCACAGAGCAGGAAGCAAGTTCAACACCAAGGTGAAACAACAGGAGTCCGGGTAAATAAACCCTGGTACGTCTACATAGTGGAACACCGTGCAGCTGTAAAAAATCACAATAATGAGGGGACAGTTGGCACTGGGAAGATGGTAGCTGGGTTCAAAACCACGGAACCTCTGGTAATTACAGGAGATTTCTGAAAGAGATCTGCCTTGCTGATGAAAGAGAACTTGGTGAATTCAGAACCACAACTGTCAACACAGGTTCAATTAGTACTGCAGTCGGTTCTCCTTTAGTGAAGCTGGGAAATACTACAGTAATGTGTAAGGTTAAAGCAGAGTTTGCAGCACCATCCACAGATGCTTCCATAAAGGATCTGTGGCTCCCACTGGGGCTCTGCCACCCTTGTGTTCCACTGAGATTTCAGTCTGGACCTCCTGGAGAAGAGATCCAAGCCACTAGCCAGATCACTGAAGATATCACTGAAAATTCACAGATAATTCAGAAAAGGAATTTATGCATTTCTCCAGGAAAGCGTGCTTGAATTCTATGCTATGATCTCATTCGCCTCTCTCATTTGCCTATTATGGAAGCATTTTGGATGCCTGCACATTTGCTTTGTAAGCAGCTTTTTAAAATGTACAGTTGCCTGAAGTTGCTAGAAAGAGACTATTTTAGCAGAAGTTAAGAAGAGAAGTTATTTGAATACTAGAACTTACCCAGCTGCAACTTCCTTTGCCGTGTTTGATGACACTTTGCTCATAGCTGACCTGACTGGAGAGGAGGAACATCTGGCAACTGGAATCTTAATAACAGTAATGGAAGAGGAAGCAGGCTCTGGTGTCCTCACCAAGCAGGTAAAAGTGGGCTGACTGGAGCTAGACTCCAGGACTAGATGAACCGAGCTGTTACAAGACACAAAGCTATTTAAAATGCAATGGATGAAGTAAATAGTATGAAACCCGAAGAAATGACCACCACATTTTCAAAGCAGATTTGTAAAAATTGTATTTGTTACACTGTGCACAAAACTTTTATACTATTAGCTGGGCGTGATAGTGCACGCCTGTAGTCCCAGCTACTCAGGAGGCTGGGGCGGAAGGGTTGCCTGAGCCCAGGAGGCAGAGGTTGCAGTAAGCCAAGATCTGCACTCAGACACTGTCTCAAAAAAAAAAAAAAAGAAAATTTTATACTCAATAAATATCAAACTACATTCTTCTGAAATATAGTTCTAGTATTTCTAGATGTTTCTAGTGTTTATGGTCACTTCACACATATATTATGTACAGTGAAACCATTTTTTTTTTCCTTTTCTTTCTGAGGCAGGGTCTCGCTCTGTCACCCAGGCTGGAGAGCAATGGCTTAGGCAAACCAACCCTAGTATGTTAAACCATTTCCCTGTTATTATTTAAAAACCATAGGATTGTGCTTCTCTATAAAGTGTGTACATTTAGCAGTGTAAAATACTGACACATTAAAAAACAAAAACAGAGGCCGGGTGCAGTGGCTCATGCCTGTAATCCCAGCACTTTGGGATGCCGAGGCAGGCAGATCACCTGCGGTCAGGAGTTTGAGACCAATCTGGCCAACATGGCGAAACCTCGTCTCTACTAAAAGTACAAAAATTAGCCAGGCGTGGTGGTAGTGTGCCTGTAATCCCAGCTACTCAAGAGGCTGAGGCAGGAGAATTACTTGAACCCGGGAGGCGGAAAAGCTTGCAGTGAGCTGAGATCATGCCATTGTACTCCAGCCTGGATGACAGAGCGAGAATCCATCTCAAAAAAAGAAAAAGAAAACAAAACAAAACTAAACAAAAAAAAAACAGAAAAAATAACGAGGAAGCTCTTGCTGCTCATGGTATGCTCACTAAGTAAATACAGTGCTAAGCAAATGCTGAGTAAATACAAAGCTAGGTGCAGAATACTGTGAATGGCATATTTACCAAAGAAAGGGGGAGGGTGTGGGAGTGGGGGAAGTGAAAACATGTTGATATACATTTGCTGCGTATACCTAGAATATCTCTGGGAAACCACATAAGAATCTGGTGAGGGGAGAAGGGGAGGGAGACTTTTCATTATATATACTTTCACACTCTTAAAATTTTAAAAGGCCGGGTGCGGTGGCTCACGCCTGTAATCCCAGCACTTTGGGAGGCCGAGGTGGGCGGATCACGAGGTCAGGAGTTCGAGACCAGCCTGACCAACATAGTGAAACCCTGCCTCTACTAAAAACACAAAAATTAGCCGGGCGTGGTGGTGCGTGCCTGTAATCCCAGCTACTCAGGAGGCTGAAGCAGGAGAATCGCTTGAACCCGGGAGGCAGAGGTTGGAGTGAGCCGAGATCATGCCACTGCACTCCAGCCTGGGCAACAGAGTGAGACTCCATCTCAAAAAAAAAAAAAATTAAAATATGAAAATATACCACTACAAACAAAAATGCTTTTTAAAAATCAAGATGAGGCTTAATTCTGCCTGGAGATTTATTTGATGGTAGTCCTCACCCACTGGCCCTCTTCCGAGGGCCCCATCTCCACTCCTCTCTGGCCAGTTGTCTCAGAGATAGATGCCAGCTTCCTCAAATCTTATGCAAAATTATCACTGTCTTGACTTCATCTTCACATAGTCAAGCCATGCCTTTTTCGCACAAAGGGCCCATTGCTGTGATTTCCCCACAAAAGAATCATTTCCCCAAGAGGAACCATGCCATGTCCCTAGAAAGCAGAAAGAGTGACAGTATCCTCTGTATTAAACAGCCCTGAAGTGTTTCTGCCAGGTCTGTTTCCATGCTTGCCTCTTCCGGCCTGGATTGTGGGTCTTGAGAGCAAAAACCTGTTTTATGCATCTCTGGGTCCCCGGCTTCATAGGTGATTCCAAATGCACCACATCCCTTCTTCAATGCCTGGCACAGCATGGTTCACACAGAGGACCCCTAGTAAATGTTTACCAGGTTGAGTCGCTTTGGTGAGGTGTGTGAACATGGAGAGATAAGACAGAGGGTGGAAGTTGGGCCAGATCTGGAGCAGAGCCAGAGGGTAATTAATAAAAACAGCTCACATTTATTGAGCATTTTACTACTTGCCAGGTGCTCTTCTCAATGCCTTTCTGCATTAGCTCATATAATCTTCACAACAACCCTACCAAGCAAGTTCCATTATTATCCCCATTGTACAGATGAGGAAACTGAGGCACAGAGCGACTAAGAAACAGTGTGTTGTTCAAATACTGTCATGTTCTATGGGTGCCATGATGTATCTGTGGCTAGGAAGTAGTTTTCTAGAACGTGGCTTTAAATTAGACTCACTCGGGGATCTTCTAAAACTCCTGATGCTCAGGCCACAAACTACACCAATTAAATCAGCATCTCTGGAGGATGAAATTGTCAATGGTAGTTTTTAAAGCTCCCCGAAAGATTCCAAAGCGCAACTGAATTTGGGAACTAGGGATCTGGGCCAAATCCTTTAATCCTTTATAATTAACGCACATGGAGATGTCACGGCGCAGAGAGAAGTGATTGCACAGGGGCACACAGGAGGGCAGTGGCTGAACCTCTGTCCTCCAGTGCCCAAGGTAGGTCTTCTTCTGCACCCCCAGCCCCTTCCTCCATGTTGCTGTAGGCACTGAGCTGGCAGGCTGCTAGGCCCACATGGATCTTACAGGTCTTGGCTCAAGGCTGGCTTGGAGGAAGATCCCCAGGACAGGCTAACTGATCCCCCTCATCCCAACGTGCCCCCATTCAAGCAGCTCCACAGGCTGGATGCCTTAGGGCAGAGCCCAACCTGGAAATTCTCCAGGCTTGGACACCACCCTGGATTTAGACAGAGCTCAGGGAGACTCAGGATGGGTGGGGCTTGGGGCAAAACACCACGGGAGTTGTGCCACAGTCACAGGCAAAAGAGCCGGGGCAGGCCCAGAGGCTAATTTCCCTGACCCCGCCCTGTGGGGCCTGTGTACTCCCCTCCTCCTCTCCCCACCCTCTGATGACGCACTGACCCCGGCCCTCCCCCTCAGTTCCCTCACCCCTCATTGGGAGGTGACGGAAATTCATTTCTGGCGGCCTGAGGGCTGTCAGCAACTTGTTTTCATTCTAGGGTCTGGCTGGTCCAGATAGGTCCATCCGGGCCCTATGTCACACAGGGGACACACACACAAACACACACACACACACACACACACACAAACACACACATTCACACACCCCAAACAGAACCTCTGGAGGAAAAGAAGGGAGGCACTCCAGGGGTTCTGAGTCACGGGATTCAGGGCATTCATAGCCAAATGCCACTCTTGGGAAAGCGGTGGAGCAGTTCACAAGGAAAGTCAAAGAGGCTGGACAGGGAACCAGTTCTCCTGTAGTCTTCCTCCGCTCTCCTCTAGCCCAGTGGTTCTCAACCCTGGCTGCACATAGAACCATTTAAGGAGCCTTTAAAAAACGCTGCTGCCTGGGCTCCAGCCCTGAGAGAGTTCAATTCAACTGTTCTGTTTAACTCCGGGGAGAGGCCAGGCCATCATCTTTTAATTCCCTGGTTGATGCTGATGAGCAGCCAGGAATGAGAGCCCTTGCTGATGGAATCATCCAGGCAGGATGGATTCACTCCCAATCTCACTGGGCAGATGGTCAGGGGAAGAGTCTGCCCTTTCTGTTGGAGAGGGGAGGGAGGTGTTGCAGGCAATATACCCCAAGACCTCATCTTCATGTCCATCATCAACACAATTCAGTAAAATGGTGGTTAAAGAACAGGAGCAGGTGCTCATTCTGGCTCTCCCCTTTCGTCACCTCGGACAAATTACTTGGCTTGTCAGAGCCTCAATTTCTTCATTCATAAAATGGAGAGAATAGTTGCCACCTAGGAGGTACTTGTGACAATTAAATGATTAAGTCTACACAGTCCTGAGCACATAATAAGCAATCAATAAAAAATAGGCTTTAATAATAAAAAAATGAAAGCCGGTTTGTACACCTATGTTCATAGCAGCTTATTCACAACAGCTAAAAGGCAGAAGCAACCCAAGTGCACATAAGCAAAATGTGGTTCGTACATGCAATGGAATATAACCTTAAAAAGGAAGGGAATGGCCAGGCGCAGTGGCTCACACCTGTAATCCCAGCATTTTGGGAGGCCAAGGTGGGTGGATCACTTGAGCTCAGGAATTTGAGACCAGGCTGGGCAACATGGTGAAACCCCATCTCTACAAAAAAATACAAAAAGTAACGGACATGGTGGCACATGTCTGTAGTCCCAGCTACTTGGGGGGCTGAGGCAGGGGGATCACTTGAAACCGGGAGGTGGAGGCTACAGTGAGCAAGATCATGTCACTGCACTCCACCCAGCCTGGGGGACAAAGTGAGACCCTGCCTCAGAACAAAAAAAAAAAAAGGAAGGGAATTCTGACACTTGCTGCAATATGGATGAACCTGAGGACATCATGCTAAGTGAAATAAACCAGTCACAAAGAGACAAATACTGAGTGATTCCCCTTATATGAGGCACCTAGAGTCATCAAATCCAGAGACAAAGTGAAAGCGTGGTGCCAGGGAAAGGGGAAGAAGAGGGAATGGGGAATTTGTGTAAATTAATGCAGAGTTTCAGTTTTATAAGATGAACAGAATTCTGGAGATAGAAGGTGGGGATGGTTGCCTAACAATATGAATTTTTTTTGTTTTGTTTTGTTTTGTTTGTTTTTTTGAGATGAAGTCTCACTGTGTCACCGAGGCTGAAGTGCAGTGGCGCAATCTCGGCTCGCTGCAACCTCTGCCTCCCAGTTCAAGCAATTCTCCTGCCTCAGCCTCCTGAGTAGCTGGGATTACAGGCACCCGCCACCACGCCCGGCTAATTTTTTTTTTTTTTAGATGGATTCTTGCTCTGTTGCCAGGCTGGAGTGCAGTGGCACGATCTTGGCTAACTGCAACCTCTGCCTCCTGGGTTCAAGCAATTCTCCCGCCTCAGCCTCCTGAGTAGTTGGGATTACAGGCACGTGCCACCACGCCCAGCTAATTTTTGTATTTTTAGTAGAGACGCAGTTTCACCGTGTTGGCCAGGATGGTCTCGATCTCTTGACCTTGCGATCCTCCCGCCTCGGCCTCTCTAAGTGCTGGAATTAAAGGCATGAGCTACTGCACCCAGCCAATTTTTTGTATTTTTAGTGGAGACAGGATTTCACCATGTTGGTCAGGCTGGTCTGGAACTCCTGACCTCAGGTGATCCACCCACCTTGGCCTCCCAAAGTGCTGGGATTACAGGCGTGAGCCACGGCGCCCAGCCATATGAATGTATTTAATACTACTAGAGCTATACATTTAAAAATGGTTAAGATGGGCTGGGCGCGGTGGCTCATGCCTGTAATCCTAGCACTTTGGGAGGCCAAGGCAGGCAGATCACCTGATGTTGGGAGTGCAAGGCCAGCCTGACCACCATAGAGAAACCCCATCTCTACTAAAAATACAAAAAATCAGCCAGGCGTGGTGGTGCATGCCTGTAATCCCAGCTACTTGGGAGGCTGAGTTAGGAGAATCGCTTGAACCCGGGAGACGGAGGTTGCAGTGAGCCAAGATTGTGCCATTGCACTCCAGCCTAGGCAACAAGAGTGAAACTCCATCTCAAAAAAAAAAAGTTAAGGTGGTAAAATTTATGCATATTTTGCCACAATTTTTAAGTTGGAGAAAGAAATAAAATAAATAAAAGACAAAATTAGCAATCCAGTTGCCCTGAGTGACTCTGTACTCCTAGAAAAGAGTGGACATATGGCCCTGGCTTCAGGCCTCCCCTTCTGAGATAGACACCAGGGGACAGATGCTCAATGAATGAACTCAGGATTTATGCTGATAATAAACAGGAAATAATAGATCGGTTTAAATATTTACATGGTGGTGTGCAGGCTTCAGGGCAAGGACATTACCAGGGAGGGGAGTGGGGGGTCAGACAGAAGACACAAAGAGAATGTAAATGTTAGTGGAACATGGGGCTGAAGCCACCCAGACGTGTCTTTCAAGCGCACTCAGGAAGAGAGGGACAACTGCAGGAGGGGAAAACCCCTGCCCAGGCTCAGGGAGTCTGCCAGAAGCCTGGGCCACCCCGTTCCTTCCTTCCAGGGGAGATCCTTGTTTACCTTGCGAGGCTGGAAGACAATGTAATCAAATTATGACTCATTATTCTAAATGACTTGTCTCCAGTGGAGAAGGCAGGCAGGGAGGCCGGGAAGGGGATACAAGTTGTTTTCCAGGACTTTGTTTGCTCATTTTCCAGCTCCCTCTGTCCCCAAGCCCTTTCCTCTCTTTCGGCCTCCCCCTGTCCTGGCCTCTCCCTCCCTCTTTCCCCACTCTGCTCTTTCCCCTCCATCTGCTCCTTGGGCATACCCAGGGTTGAGGGAGCAGAGCAGGTTCTTCTCAGTCTCGGCAGGTGACAATGAATAGGACAACAGGAATATCCTGCCCCCCAAGAAATCCCTTCCTCCCAACCAGAGAGCAAATGCAGTATCTCTATCTGGGATTGAAGTCAGGTCATTTGATTGAATAGGACTCTGTCTCTGACTTGCTGGGTCACTTTGGGCAAGTCACTTGTCCTCTCTGGAGCTAGTGTGAGTAGGGGGGTTCATTCCAGAAAGAGGAACCCCCTCTGCCTGCCCTTTCCTGCCTCCCAGAACTGGTGTAAGAATGAGAGGCCATCCCACCCATCAGAGACCCTCAGATCTCAGAGACTCAGGGGCCTGAGGCAGATGAAATACACAGGTTTTCAGCAACATTCCATCACCTCAGACACACCCCTGGTATCTAAGGTGATGGAATGGCCCTGAGCCCTGGACCCCGACAGAGATCTGGGGACCAACCTAGCCTGGAAGCAGTGTGCTGGATACCTACCTAATGGTCCATGTTCCCCCATCCCCCTCCCTGCCTTCATTCAAACGTGCATGCAGTTTCTGAGAGGAAGGCAGCAGGGCACAAGTCCCTTTAAAAGGTCAGATGGGAAAAAAAAAAGGGCAAAGAAACATTCTCTCTCTCCCTCCGTTCTGGCCAGCTGCCTCCCAATGACCCAGTAGGAGTAAGCAGAGAGGCCGGCTCCACTTCCTCCCCTGGGTTCTCACGTTCCATGACCTGGCAGCTCCTAGTGACAAATGCATCAGAAAATCTTCTCTGGATAGCTGCTCATAGAGCTAAAAAAAAAAAAAGTCTTCTCTGGGGTCAAAAGGAAACTGTAAGCAAATGGAAAAACATGGCATTTTTCCAAATATCGAGTTATAACAGCTCTCTCTCTCACACACACACACACACAAACACACACACGCGCACACACAAGCTGTCTGTGGAGCACATACCACATGGCATGAGTACCCATGTCCCAGGCAAAATCTAGTTTATATTATTTTAATATGAATACCCTCAACTTTAATAAATTCACCCTGAAACCATCAGATCCAAAGTTCACTCAGAGGTTTCTTCAAGTCATGAACAGTATTAATGAAGGAGTGTTGTGACTGCCCCTGTCCTGCCTGCCCTGCAGCCTTCTCATGCCCTGCACCCCCTGCCACCCCCACCTAAGCACGGTCTTCCTGGAGGGCTGCAGAAAAGAAAAGAAAAAAGAAAAGAAAAGAAACATTAAACCGTAGCAGTAGAGCAGATTGGAGGTGGGAAGCTTGAAGGCAATAGGAAAATCAAGGTACTATAGAAGGTGGTGGGAATTGAAACAGCAAGGAAGAGGGGGAAATTATGAGGTAACTTTGAAATTTATGAAATGTGGGAAAACTTTGAAAATTGAGGGGAGGGCAGTTGATGGTGACTCTGTGAGTGACCAGGAGACCAACATCAGGGATGGCATTTATTAGGAAGGTGATGATGGCTGGCCTGGCACAGTGGCTTACGCCTGTAATCCCAGCACTTTGGGAGGCCAAGGTGGGTGGATCACAAGGTCAGGAGTTCGAGACCAGCTTGGCCAATATGGTGAAACCCCACCTCTACTAAAAATACAAAAAAATTAGCCAGGCATGGTAGCGCATGCCTGTGGTCCCAGCTGCTCGGAAGGCTGAGGCAGAAGAATCACTTGAACCTGGGAGGCGGGGGTTGCAGTGATCTGAGATCCCGCCGCTGCACTCCAGCCTGGGCGACAGAGTGAGACTCCATCTCAAAAAAAAAAAAAAAGAAGGTTGTGATGCACTTACCTAGACACTGTGCATTTAAGATCCTTCAGAAGAACCAGACAGAAACTTCTGTAGGCAGTTGGATACTAAAGGCTAGAGCTCAAAAGAATATTGCTGTGGCTTTGGGGCTTATTGGCTTTGAGGGGATTGCTGAGGATAAAAGCGGGTGAGACTGAAGAACAGCAGAGCAGGGAGGAGGCTACACACTGAACTCGTGCCACTCTAGGGACCAATGATGGGCCTGTTTATGGCAGAATTCTAGAACCAAATGGGACTCTTTACAGATGGAGAAACTGAAGCCCAGAGAACATGAGTATCTCATTGCATATTTCCAGTTGGTTAGGGGACAGCCTGATTTCCCAACTGCAGTGCTTTCCTCCTGCTTCTGTATCATTTTTTACTTTTTTTTGAGACAAGATTTCACTCTGTCACCCAGGCTGGGGTGCAATGGCATGATCTCGGCTCACTGCAACCTCCACCTCCCAGGTTCAAGCAATTCTCCCACCTCAGCCTCCCAAGCAGCTGGGACTACAGGTGTGCACCACCACACCTGGCTAATTTTTGTATTTTTAGTAGAGATGGGGTTTCGCCATGTTGGCCAGGCTGGTCTAGAACTCCTGGCCTCAAGTGATCCACCTACCTCAGCCTCCCAAACTGCTGGGATTACAGGTGTGAGCCACTGCACCCAGCCCTGTATCTTTTTTTAAATTTAAATTTAAATTTTTTTAAAGACAGGGTCTCACCCCGGCTAGAGTACAGTGGCACATTCATAGCTCGCTGTAGGCTTGAACTGCTAGCCTCAAGCGATCGTCCCACCTTGGCCTGCCAAAGTCCTGGGATTACAGGCATGAGCCACCTCACCCGGGCTTGACTTTATCTATTTCTTCATAGGGGAAGAAACAGATGACACACAGGGATGTACACAGGAGACAGTGTCTCCCTAGGGCGCCATTTTGTGCGTGTTAGCAAAAATAGCCAATAGTTCCAAAGTGTCCTAAGAAGCTAAAACCTTTTCCTTACACACAAAAAACTGCATGTGGACACCAGGAGAAAGGAATTGGGTGCATCTCTTCGCATAACAAGGACATCGTGGCCTTTTCAGAAAGGGCATCTGGCATTCTGTAAAAATGTCTGGCCAGGGTTTGCTTACACTGGGAGAGACCTGAGCTGAGCAGGCCTCACTGGCCCCAATCACAGCCTGAACCTCTCACTTGGATTGGATCCTGGCTCGTGCCTGGGAGTGCACCCAAATGCCACAGCAGGCCTCCTCCCCTGTGGCAGGCAGTTTTGGTTGGGGCCTTCTTCCTCTGGCCTCAGTTTCCCAGAAGGCTTTGGGATCTGAAGTTCCCTAACTCTACCTCTCACCAATTCCACTTCTTTTTTGTGTTTTCCCTCATTATCCATATTAG